>NC_000015.10:40852631-41155661 GCF_000001405.40 Homo sapiens | reverse complement strand
GAGTGAGACTCCATCTCAAAATATATATCTATATATTTTTTTTCAATTTTTTAAAATTAAATTTTAAAAGATTATGAGGCTAGGATTAGGAATATTCTTTTACAATATATAATAATCTGGTAAAAATGAATATACTGTGTAAAAGACATATCAGATTTATCATGCTGGGAGCCACTGCAGGTAACTCTCACTGTATCTGAAATTAACCAGTACTCAGAGTCTGTCTTCTTTGTACATATTCTCTGCTCCTAGTTTTTATCAGTTCTTTCTCATAAATTATTTCTCTTTTCCAAAGTACTTTTTTCTTGTCTTAGTTCAAGCATTTATCTCCTTATTTTTGTTTATTGGTTGGTTGGTTTGTCACTCAGTCTGGAGTACAGTGGCACAATCTTGGGTGAGCCACCACGCCCAGCCAATTAGACAGTTTTTATATTTAAGGCCTTATAATCTGAAAAACAAGATATGTAAAAATAAGTATTTTAATGGAATAGCTCTTGGATTCACATGCCGGGAGCTCCTAGTAAGGACCTTAGAATGGGGGAGACAGGTGGGGCGTGGTGGCTTATGCCTGTAACCCCAGCACTTTGAGAGACCGAGGCAGGTGGAACACGAGGCCAAGAGATGGAGATCATCCTGGCCAACATGGTGAAACACCGTATCTACTAAAAATACATAAATTAGCTGGGCGTGGTGGCGCGTGCCTGTAGTCCCAGCTACTCGGGAGGCTGAGGCAGGAGAATCACTTGAACCGGGGAAGCGGAGGTTGCAGTGAGCTGGGATTGCACCACTGCACTCCAGCCTGGCGACAGAGCAAGACTGTCAAAAAAAAAAAAAAGAATGTGGAAGTCTAGGATAAATCAGGGGATCTGGGAGGAAGCCCCATAATGGGGTCCTAAGAACATAATTTTGGGGTCAGTCTTTGAGGGCCCCAAAGAGAGGGGTCAGGATATGGGTGCAGGATTTGTCATCAGCAAAGATGCTGGCCACAAAGTAGAACAAGAAGGGTCATGTGAGTCAGTGTAAAGGATACTGCAGAAAGAGTCGGTTAGAAACTGTGTAAGGGGTCAGAGCTTCCGCTGAAAAGGCTCCAGGGCCAGGCTGCTGCCCTGAAAGGAAACTGGAATGACAGCCAGGGACCCAAGCTGGAAGTCTGTTGTTCAGACTGACTGTGTTTATTGCATAGGCAAACAGGAAGACTCAATTCAGTGTTTTTTTGTTTTGTTTGTTTTTTGTTTTTGAGATGGAGTTTCGCTCTTGTTCCCCAGGCTGGAGTGCAGTGGCACGATCTCAGCTCACTGCAACCTCCGCCTCCTGCGTTCAAGCGATTCTCCTGCCTCAGCCTCCCGAGTTGCTGGGATTACAGGCGCCCGCCACCACGCCCAGCTAATTTTTTGTATTTTTAATAGAGACGGGGTTTCACCATGTTGTTCAGGCTGGTCTTGAACTCCTGACCTCAGGTGATCTGCCCGCCTCGGCCTCCCAAAGTGCTGGGATTACTGGCGTGAGCCACCGTGCCTGGCCCTCAATTCAGTGTTTCTTCAGACATCCAACACTGTATACTCCAGGCCAAGGCAGCTGACTACATCCTCACTAAAGGGAAAAGAAAATAACTTACGCCAGGCAGCCAGGCATGGTGCCTAACGCCTGTAATCCCAGTACTTTGGGAGGCTGACGTGGGCAGACCACTTGAGTCCAGGAGTTTGAGACCAACCTGGGCAAAATGGAGAGACCCCATCTCTACAAAAATTAGCAGGGTGTGGTGGTGTACACCTGTGGTTACAGCTA
This sequence comes from Homo sapiens, assembly GCF_000001405.40. Taxonomy (NCBI): domain Eukaryota; kingdom Metazoa; phylum Chordata; class Mammalia; order Primates; family Hominidae; genus Homo; species Homo sapiens. The sequence continues at coordinate 41,153,876 of NC_000015.10, read as the reverse complement.
CTTGGGAGGCTGAGGTAGGAGGATCGCTTGAGCCCCAGGAAGTCCAGACTGCACTCCAGCCTGGGCAACAGAGTGAGACCCTGTCTCCGAGAGAGAGAGAGAAATGGTAGAAATTGTGGCAGGCAAGGTCCTCATTGCTTTGGTGCTAGTGGGGCCGACCTCTGTAGGTAGCAAACCGTCAGTGCTCAGAAATGTGGGTCCATGGAATATGCAGGAATCAGTTCACATCAGAATGTGATTTTTAGCCTAGACAACATAGTGAGACCCTGCCTCAACAACAACAAAAATTATTCAGGCGTGGTGGCACGTGCCTATAGTCCCTACTATTGGAGGAGGGCAGGGGTGCTAGGGCAGGAGAATTGCTTGAGCCCAGGAGTTGGAGGATGCAGTAAGCTATAATCTTGTCAGTGCATTTCAGCCTGATGGACGAGACAGCAAGACCCTGCCTTAACAAAGAGAAAGAAGGAATGTGATTTTTGCAAAAGAAAGGTACGTCTGGTTTGACAGAGGTTTAGCAAGAGAGAAACGGAATCAGGGAATGTTTCATGAAGGAGTAAGAATTTGAAAGGGCTTGAGATTAGTGGCATGCGCCTGTAATCCCAGCTACTTGGGAGGCTAAGACAGGAGAATCACTTTAACCCGGGAGGCGGAAGTTGCAGTGAGCCAAGATCGTGCTACTGCACTCCAGCCTGGGCGACAGAGTGAAACTCTGTCTCAAATATAAATAAGTTAATTAATTAAGGAATATTTTTAATGTATAAACATCCATATCTAATAGTTCAGGATTTCTTTTTAGGGTTTCACTAAAGTTTTTGGTTTCTAGATATCACGTAATTCTGTATACAAAATGTGCCAGAAAGGGTTATATTATTAGTAAAAAAAGATTAATAATTCTTTTAAACTTGATAATTAATTAGAAACATTTGGGTAATTTTTTCATAGTTAAAGCTCTTCGTCTTGATTAAAATAGGAAGTATTGTAAAAATGCATCAGCAGTTTGGCAATTCTTTTTTACATAGTTAAGTGTAGTGGTGCATCCGGAATTGGTGGGTTCTTGGTCTCACTGACTTCAAGAATGAAGCTGCGGACCCTCACAGTGAGTGTTATAGCTGTTAAAGCCCGCATGGCCAGAGTTTGTTCCTTCTGATGTTTGGATGTGTTCCGAGTTTCTTCCTTCTCGCGGGTTCGTAGTCTCGCTGGCTCAGAAGTGAAGCTGCAAACTTTCCTGGTGAGTGTTACAGCTCTTAAGGCGGCACGTCTGGAGTTGTTTATTCCTCCTGGGGGGGTTCGTGGTCTCGCTAGCTTCAGGAGCAAAGCTGCACACCTTCACAGTGAGTATTACAGCTCATAAGATCAGCGTGGACCCAAAGACTGAGAGTGAGCAACAGCAAGACATATCGCAAAGAACAAACCTCACACTACATGTAACGTGATCCGAGCGGGTTGCCATTACCGGCTCAGTCAGCCTGCTTTTATTCTCTTATCTGGCCCCACCCACATCCTGCTGATTGGTCCATTTTACAGAGAGCCGATTGGTCCATTTTGACAGGGTGCTGATTGGTGCATTTACAATCCCTGAGCTAGACACAAAAGTTCTCCACATCCCCACTAGATTAGCTAGATACAGTGTAGATTGTTGCATTCACAAACCCTGAGCTAGACACACGGTGCTGATTGGTGTGTTTACAAACCTTGAACTAGATACAGAGTGCCGATTGGTGTATTTACAATCCGTTAGCTAGACATAAAGGTTCTCCAAGTCCCCAACAGACTCAGGAGCCCAGCTGGCTTCACTCAGTGGATCCCCCACCGGGGCGCAGGTGGAGCTGCCTGCCAGTCCCGCGCCGTTCGCCCCCCACTCCTCAGGCCTTGGGTGGTTGATGGGACTGGGCGCCGTGGAGCAGGGGGCGGCGCTCCTCCGGGAGGCTCCCGCGGCACAGGAGCCCACGGAGTGGCAGGGAGGCTCAGGCGTGGCAGGCTGCAGGTCCCAAACCCTGCCCCGCGGGGAGGCAGCTAAGGCCTGGTGAGAAATTGAGCACAGCAGCTGCTGGCCCAGATGCTAAGCACCTCACTGCCCGAGGCGGCGGGGCCGGCTGGCCGCTCCGAGTGCGGGCTGGCGAGCCCATGCCCACCCAGAATTCAGGCTGGCCTGGAAGCACCGCGCACAGCCCCGGTTCCGGTTCCCGTAGGCGCCTCTCCCTCTACACCTCCGGGCAAGCTGAGGGAGCCGGCTTCGGCCTTGGCCAGCCCAGAAAGGGGCTCCCACAGTGCAGCGGGAGGCTGAAGGGCTCCTCAAGCGCGGCCAGAGTGGGCGCCAAGGCGGAGGAGGCGCAGAGAGCGAGCAAGGGCTGTGAGGGCTGCCAGCACGATGTCACCTTTCAATGGCTCAAGGGATTCACCTTGCCCAATGCCTAGAAAGACCCGATTCATCAAGACGGGAATTGCAATAGAGAAACAGTAATCACGCAGAGCTCGCTGTGTGGAAGACCAGAGTTTTTTTGTTTCTTTTTTTTTGAGAAGGAGTCTTGCTCTGTCACCCAGGCTGGAGTGCAGTGGAGCGATCTCTGCTCACTGCAACCTCTGCCTCCAGGTTCAAGCGATTCTCCTGCCTCAGCCTCACAAGCCGCTGGGACTACAGGCGCACACCACCACACCTGGTTAATTTTTGTATTTTTAGTAGAGACGGGGTTTCACCATGTTGGCTAGGCTGGTCTTAAACTCCTGACCTCGTGATCCACCCGCCTTGGCCTCCCAAAGTGCTGGGATTACAAGGCGTGAGCCACGGCATCCCACCCGAGTTGTATTATTACTTAAATTACTCTTTCCAAGCATTTGGGGAGCAGAGTTTCTAAGGATAACTTGGTGGGTGGAGGGAAGTCAGTGAGCCAGGAGTGCTGATTGGTCAGAGATAAAATCATAGAGCGTCTGAGCTGTCTTCTTCTTCTGTTCTGAGTCAGTTCCTGGATGGAGGCCACAAGATCAGATGAGCCAGTGTATTGATCTGGGTGGTGCCAGCTGATCCAGCAAGTGCAGGATCTGCAAAATGTCTAAAGCACTGATCTAAGGAGCAGTTTAGGCAGGGTCAGAATCTTGTAGCCTCCAGCTGCAGGACTCCTAAACCATAATTTCTAATCTTGTGGCTAAATTAGTCCTACTAAGGCAGTCTAGTCCCCAGGCAAGAAGGAGGACTGCTTTAAGAAAGGGCCTTTACCATCTTTGTTTAAACTATAAACGACAAACTAAGTTTCTTCCAAAGTTAGTTCAGTCTACGCCCAGGAATGAACTAGGACAGCTTGGGGGTTAGAAGCAAGATGGAGCCAGTTAAGTTAGATCTCTTTCACTGTCTCGGTCATAATTCTGCAAAGGCACTTTCACAAGCATGAACCTGGATTTAGCGTAAAGTTGCCTGCATTGCTTCACACTATGTTTACTGTTTTGCCTGGATAGTGCTAGATTACTTATTGGTTGTGTGCCTAAAGTGGATTTCTTGATTGCACAGAATGTATAATGATATTGGTGAACTTAAGGATATTGAATTGTGTATCAGGAATAAAATATTCATTATATGGGTTTTTTGGGGCCCTGGGTAACACTGTGGCCTCCAGAGTAAATTGAGCAGGAAAATTTATGGTTGGTTTCCTGTTTGTTTTTGCTTCTGGTTTTCATTTGTTTGCTGTTTATTCTCCTCTGGCTTTACTTGTGTATGCATATATATAAAACCATGGTTTTTTTTTAGTTCCTAGTGGAAGGCTTTTATTTAGTTCTGTGTTTCTATGCATTTCTAGCAAGTCATCATACATTCCATATATCTGGAATTCCTGAGCTACCTTTGTCAGGCCTGCAGGAATTAATGGAGCATGCCAACTTTTTATCCTTAAAATAACTTTTTGGATTTTGGGCTTCCTGATACTTTAAGCATATTGAGTATACTCTCACAAATAGAATTTGAGTCATATTTCTCTCTCTGCCTAGATTCTCCAAAATTTGTAAACAATTTGTGAATATTCTTAATTCATGGCAATATGTTTGTCTGCATACAGTCAAGCATGGGTCGCCAGGGCCGCTCAGGGAGAGAGAACCCAGAAAGCTGGCATGTCGGCAAAAGGGTAATAATTTCGTACCACTCAGTCTCTGACTTCTTTCTGTCTGTGCAAAGTGATTAATCTCCTCTGTAAAGTTTTAAATTAATTGGTTTAATAATAATAAGAGCTTAAATCAAACATTTTGCCAGAAAAGTAGAACGTGTAATGCCCTTTAGTTCATGTGACTTTAGCAATCTTCGGGAAATAAAGACAGTTTTAAAGATTATTGGTCAAATACAATTGTCTTCTAAATGTAAACGTGGTCTAAATTATGTTCAAATATTAGGTTTGCTAAATGCTTTAAGGTCACAGACTGCTTCTTTGGCTTTTGAAAACTGTTTAACTTGCCTGCTTTCCAGCTAGGTAAGGCCTGAGGACATGTGGAGTTGGCCACGCCCCTAGCTGTGCTGGAAATAGTCAAACCTTATCAGAAAATAACTTATTAGGTTTTACATTAAAATTCACCATTATAATATGCAATTAAGACTACTAGAGGCGGCCAGGCTTGGTGGCTCATGCCTGTAATCCCAGCACTTTGGGAGGCCAAGGAGGGCAGATCACCTGAGGTCAGGAGTTTGAGAGACCAGCCTGGCCAACATGGAGAAACCCCATTTTATTAAAAATACAAAATTAGCCAGGCGTGGTGGCGCATGCCTGTAATCCCAGCTATTCCAGAGGCTGAGGCAAGAGAATCACTTGAACCTGGGAGGCGGAGGTGGTGGTGAGTGGTGCGCCGAGATCATGCCATTGCAGTCTAGCCTGGGCAACAAGAGTGAAACTGTCTCAAAAAAAAAAAAAAAAAAAAAAAAAAGACTACTAGAGGCCGGCGCGGTGGCTCGTGCCTATAATCCCAGCACTTTAGGAGGCCAAGGCGGGCAGATCACCTGAGGTCAGGAGTTTGAAACCAGACTGGTCAACATGGTGAAACCCCATCTCTACTAAAAATACAAAAAATAGCCAGGCATGGTGGTGCATGCCTGTAATCCTAGCCACTCAGGAGGCCGAGGCAGGAGACTCGCTTGAGCCCAGGAGGCAGAGGTTGCAGTGAGCCAAGATCATGCCATTGCACTCCAGCCTGGGCAACAAGAGCAAAACTCCGTCTCAAAAACAAACAAATACAACTAGACTCCAGGAGTGGTGGCTTATGCCTGAAATCCCATCACTTTAGGAGGCTAAGGTGAGTGGATTACCTGAGGTCAGGAGTTCGATACCAGCCTGGCCAACATGGTGAAAACCTATCTGTACTGAAAATACAAAAATTGGTTGGGCACAGTAGTGTGCACGTGTAGTCCCAGCTACTCAGGAGGCTGAGGAGGGAGAATCACTTGAACCTGGGAGGCGGAGGTTGCAGTGAGCCCAGGTGGTACCACTGCACTCCAGTCTGGGCAACAGAGCAAGACTCTGTCTCAAAAAAAAAGAAAAAAAGACTACTAGAAATGGTTGTTCATGCAAGGTGTGTAAAAACAATAGAATACAATGTATTTTGTTTTGTTGTTAAAGGTTATAAAAGGCTTTTGCTTCTTTAAAATTTCTGAGTCATCACTTTGGCAAAATAAATAATTTATGGTAATCTGGAATTCCAAAATCAAACTTCCGTTTCAAAATTATCTTTCCTAATGCTTGGCTTTCTGGATGGATCAGAGGGCCCCTGAAAACATCCAGAAAAGAGGTAAACAGGATTATTTGACCTGTTTAGGTACATGGAATTGCCAAAATGATGTTCAATCTTCTTTAGGTTGTATTTGTGTGAATAATACTAATATATATCCCAAAATTTTATGGGATTTCTAAAATTCTAATGTCTAAGTATATGGTACCAATCACAATTATAGTTATTATGTTAAGTTATTGTAAACTACAGAAATAACCAAATTTCCTTGTATGAAGCTACTAACCCAAGTAGAACAACAACAACAAAAAATTAAATATCAAGAAAATACTTTCATGTTCAGCTAACACTGAAATTGTTTTTGTTTGTTTGTTTTGAGACAGAGTCTTGCTCTGTCACCCAGGCTGGAGTGCAGGGGTGCGATCTCAGATCACTGCAAACTCCACCTCCCGGGTTCAAGTGATACTCCGCCTCCCGGGTTCAAGTGATTCTTCTGCCTCAGCCTCTGGAATAGCTGGGATTACAGGCACCCACCACAATGCCTGGCTAATTTTTGTATATTTAGTAGAGACAGGGTTTCACCATGTTGGCCAGGCTGGGCCCGAACTCCTGACCTCAAGTGATCCACCCGCCTCGGCCTCCCAAACTGTTAGGATTAAAGGGGTGAGCCTTCGCGCCCAGCTGATTTTTATTTTCAATGTATGTTTTCTTCTTGTATGAAAGCTTTCTCATGCAAGAGGGCTGATGTTATAACAGTAGATTATTACGGTACAGTGTATTTTCACCAGGTAAAGAAAGTTTTTTATAGTTTGAATCTTCTGGAAACATCAGAGAATAACTGTCCTTTCCACACTACAAGAAAACTTCGGGACCTTGAATGGGTTCATAATCTCACAGCTGAGAAGGGTCCTCCGTGCTCTTAGAGCTGTGCACCCACTGGATCCCTTAAGGTAAAACTAACCAGGGAAAATTCTCCCAAGAAGAGGATGTCATCCTTGATGTGAACAGCTTTTCCCAAGTTCACAGGTGAAGACTTCTACTATCATGACGTTTTATCTTTGAATATTTTTTTTCTTGCTTATGCCTCTATAAACAATAGAAGTGAAAAAGGGGTCTGTTATGGGCACTAATGGGGTATACTTTTATTTGTAAAGGAGTTTGCAGCCAGCCTTATACGTGGATAACCTTATACATTAATAGATTAAAAAATGAAGGCCCTTGGGAGGCCGAGGTGGGCGGATCATGAGGTCAGGAGTTCGAGACCAGCCTGACCAACATGGAGAAACCCCGTCTCTACTAAAAATACAAAAATTAGCCAGGCATGGTGGCCCACGCCTGTAATCCCAGCTACTCAGGAGGCTGAGGCAGGAGAATCACTTGAACCCGGGAGGCGGAGGTTGCAGTACGCCAAGATCGCACCACTGCACTCCAGCCTGGGCAACAGAGTGAGACTCTATCTCAAAAAAAAAAAAAAAAAAAAAAAAAAAGAAGGCCCAATGTGGATAAGAAACTTTAATGGTACATACGTTCATACGTTGCCTCATAATAAGTCAAAAACAAAACATTGGTTCACTCCTCTTTTTTTTTTTGAGACAGAGTTTTGCTCTTATAGCCCAGGCTGAAGTGCAACGGCACCATCTCGGCTCATTGCAACCTCTGCCTCCAGAGTTCAAGCGACTCTCCTGACTCAGTTTCTGAGTAGCTGGGGTTACAGGGATGCGCCACCACACCCTGCTAAATTGTTTTGTATTTTTAGTAGAGAGGGGGGTTTCTCCATGTTGGTCAGGCTGGTCTCGAACTCCTGACCTCAGGTGATCCACCCGCCTCAGCCTCCCAAAGTGCTGGGATTACAGGCTGTGAGCCACCATGCCCAGCCAGAGTTTCCCTCTTCTCACCCAGGCTGGAGTGCAATGGCACAATCTCGGCTCACCGTAACCTCTGCCTCCTGGGTTCAAGCCTCCCAAGTACCTGGGGTTACAGGCGCCCGCCACCAAGCCTGGCTAGTATTTATTCATTTATTTATTTTTGAGACAGAGCCTCACTCTGTCACCCAGGCTGGAGTGCAGTGGCACTATCTCAGCTCACTGCAAGCTCCGCCTCCCAGGTTCAAGCCATTCTCCTGCCTCAGCCTCCCGAGTAGCTGGGACTACAGGCGCCCGCTACCACGCCCGGCTTATTTGTGTGTGTGTGTGTGTGTGTGTGTGTGTGTGTGTGTGTGTGCGCGCGCGCGCGCGCGCATGTGTGTGTGTGTGTATTTTTAGTAGAGACGGGATTTCACCATGTTAGCCAGGGTGGTCTCGATCTCCTGACCTCGTGATCCGCCTGCCTCGGCCTCCCAAAGTGCTGGGATGACAGTCGTGAGCCACCATGCCTGGCCGAGCCTGGCTAGTTTTTAATTTTTAGTAGAGACAGGGTTTCTCCATGTTGGTCAGGCTGGTCTCATAAACTCCTGACCTCAGGTGATCTGCTCTCATTGGCCTCCCAAAGTGCTGGTATTACAGGTATGAGCCACCGCACCCAGCCCTCGTTCACTCCTCTTAACCCACATCATGGGTTAAAGAGAACATTGCCAGGAGTCCTTCACTCTTCTAAAAGAAAGGGCATCATTTGTTAGGTCCTTTTTCCATGGTTTAATGTAAAAGAAGCAATGATTAGAAATGGATCCCTTGGCTGGGCACAGTGGCTCACGCCTGTAATCCCAGCATTTTGGGAGGCTGAGGTGGGCAGATCACAAGGTCAGGAGTTCTAGACCAGCCTGTCCAACATGATGTAACCCCATCTCTACTAAAAATACAAAAATTAGCCGGGCGTGGTGGCATGTGCCTGTAATCCCAGCTACTTGGGAGGCTGAAGTAGGAGAATTGCTTGAACCTCGGAGGTGGAGGTTGCAGTGAGCAGAGATTGCACTACTGCACTCCAGCTCTGGAAGACAGAGCAAGACTCCATCTAGGGGAAAAAAAAAAAAGAAATGTTTCCCTCATGTTAAGTTCTATAGCAAATTCTACTGTAAAGGCCACAGTTACACAACAGACACTAAATTCTCTTATAAAAGTTATGATATAATTGGCTAAACAGAGAAGTATCTGTGCAGCTGCTGGCACTTGTGGCCTGTGGAGAAATACATCAAATGAAGATTATAGAGATTCAGTGGTAGGGGACTGATGAAGAAATTGCCTAGTCAAGTGAGTAAACTCTTTATCTAGTTCATTCTTTTATCTATTTGATTTTAGAAGGTTTGGTTTATGGGGACCTTGGATAAGGATCATACTCTGAACTCTTGGTACTACCCTCCTAATAGTAAACAAAATTCTGGCAGGTCATTGTTATGGACTGAGTGCATGCACTAGGCACCAAGAGACCAAACCAAACTAAAATGGAATCCCTCCTGCTAAGACTTTAAGGAAACACCGGGGTTCTAGAACAGATCAGGTTTTTTGTGTTTTTTTTTTTTTTTTTTTTTTGGAGACGGAGTCTCACTCTGTCGCCCAGGCTGGAGTGCAGTGGTGCGCTCCCCGCCCACTGCAACCTCCGCCTCCTGGGTTCAAGCGATTCTCCTGCCTCAGCCTCCCAAGTAGCTGGGACTACAGGTGCATGCCACCACACCTGGCTAATTTTTTTGTATTTTAATAGAGACGGGGTTTCACCGTGTTGCCCAGGCTGGTCTCGAACTCCAGAGCTCAGGCAATCCACCCGCCGCAGCCTCCCAAAAGTGCTAGGATTACAGGCATGAGCCACCGCACTGGCCCAGGTGTTTTTTTTTTTTTTTTTTTTTTTTACTGCAAATCTCTATAACAAACATTTCTGACAGCATAGATATCCACTCCTTGAAGTTTCCATTAAATCTTTTAATCAAATTCATTTCCTCTTGCCTAGAGACCATCGAGTTTCAGATGATCATGCAACAGAAGTTCCAGCCAGTTCCAGGTGAAGACACCACCCCTGGCCATAAAGAAGTTACCCTGCTGGACCGGGAGCGGTGGCTCATGCCTGTAATCCCAGCACTTTGGAAGGCTGAGGCAGGTGGATCACGAGGTCAGGAGTTCAAGACCAGCCTGACCAACATAGTGAAACCCCATCTCTACTAACAATAGAAAAATTAGCTGGGCATGGGGTCGCGTGCCTGTAATCCCAGCTACTTGGGAGGCTGAGACAGGAGAATCACTTGAACCCGGGAGGCAGAGGTTGTGGTGAGCAGAGATTGCACTACTGCACTCCAGCCTGGGCGACAGAGCGAGACTCCATCTCAAAAAAAAAAGAAGTTACCCTGCCTTCACTAGAAAGAACAGGGCAAAAGTTCTGTGATCCCAATAGGTAAGGACTATGCCCCAAGCCAGAATGAAGCAGTTAGAGGAAAACAAAGAAACAAACAAACAAAAAACCATTAATCCCTCTGCCTCCCATAAAGATTTATGGGGATCACATCTCTCAGCGGGGAGATGAGGCAGGAAAATAGGGTCTGGAGGCAGAGAACATAAGGCCGATTCACACTTCAGCTACAACAGGAAATATCCTCTCCATAGGGCCTATGCTGTACATGACTTTGTAACTTTACTTCATCCTCTCCATTTACACAGGGTGTACCCGAAGTAACCAATGGAATCCTCTAGGGGGTATTTAAACTCCCAAAAATTCTGTAGCAGAGCCTTTGAACCCCTATGCTCAGGCCCCCTCCCATACTGTAGATTGCATTTTCATTTTCCTTTTTTTTTTTTTTTTTTTTTTTTGAGAAAGAGTCTTCCTTTGTCATCCAGGCTGGAGTGCAGTGACATGATCTCGACTGACTGCAACCTCCACCTCCTGGGTTCAAGCCATTCTCCTGCATCAGCCTCCCGAGTAGCTGGGATTCAGGCACGCCCACCACGTCTGGCTAATTTTTGTACTTTTAGCAGAGATAGGGTTTCAGCCTGTTGGCCAGACTGGTCTTGAACTCCTGGCCTCAAGTGTTCCCCGGCCTTGGCCTCCTAAAGTGTTGGGATTACAGGCTCAAGTCACCTTGCCTAGCTACTTTCATTTTCAATAAATCCCTTCATTCTTTCCTTGCTTTGTTTGTGCGTTTTGTCCAATTCTTTGTTTGAGATGCCAAGAACCTGGACACCTTCTACTGGTAACATCCTGACCTCAGGTGATCTGCCCACCTTAGCCTCCCAATGTGCTAGGAATACAGGTGTGAGCCACTATGCCTGGCCTAGATGTTTCTTTCTTTTTTTTTTTTTTTTTTGAGATGGAATTTTGCTCTTGTTTTATGGGTGGTCTTTTTGGAGTGATGAAATGTTCTAAAATTGTGAATCTACTAAAAACCACTAAAAGGTGATTTTGTTATGTGAATTAAATGTCAATAAAACTGATTAAGAGTCAGGATATTTGCATAGGTATATTTATCAAGGCAGGGGAATTGGAGTAAAGTGTTTAATACATGTAGAGTTGGCTAAATGGGGGACCAGAGCTTTATTCTTAATCAAATCAGTCTCTGAAAATTCAGAGGCTAGGGGTTTTTGTTGTGTTGTGTTCTGTTTTGTTTTGTGACAGAATCTTGCTCTGTTGCCCAGGCTGGATTGCAGTTGCGCAATCCCGGCTCACTGCAACCTCTGCCTCCTGGGTTCAAGCCATCCTCAGCCTCCTGAGTAGATGGGACTACAGCCATGTGCCACCACGGCCTGGCTAATTTGTGTATTTTTAGTAGAGATGGGGTTTCACCATGTTGGCCGTGGCTGGTCTGGAACTCCAGGCCTCAAGCCTTCCACCCACCTCGGCCTCCCAAAGTGCTGGGATTACAGGCATGAGCCACTGTGCCTGGCCGAGGCTAGGGTTTTTAAAGGATAGTTTGGGAGGCAAGGGAATGGGTACTACTGATTGGTTGTGGATGCATTCATAGGGGTGTGGAAAACGGTCCTTGTGTGGTGAGTCAGCTTCTGGGTGGGGTCACAGGAGAAGTTAAGTTAAGAGTCACAGATCCGGGTGGGGCTATGGGTCCTCAGAAATGCAAAAGCCTAAAAGAAATATCTCAAAAGGCCAATCTTAGGTTCTGTAATAGTGATGTTATCTGCAAGAGTAATTGGGGAACTTGTAAATTTTGTGATCTCCAGAATAATGGCTGGTAATCACTTATCTGTACACCTTAGTAAAATTCATCTCATCCTCCTAACCTGGTGGGTTTTTTTGCTTTGTTTTTGAGATGGAGTCTCCCTCTGTTGCTCAGGCTGGAATGCAGTGGCACGATCTCGGCTCACTGCAACCTCCGCCTCCCAGGTTCAAGGGATTCTCCTGCGTCAGCCTTCCGAGCAGCTGGGATTACAGGCGCCCGCCACCATGCCTGGCTAATTTTTGTATTTTTAGTAGAGATGGTGTTTCACCATGTTGGCCAGGATGGTCTCCATCTCCTGACCTCATTATCTGCCCGGGGGAGGCACTGCACCTGGCCACATTTTGGACTTTATTTATTTATTTATTTGTGTTTTTAAGGAGCAGAGAATTTAATAGGCAAGATGAAGGGGGAAGAAAGAAGGAAGAAACTCCCCTGTACAGAGACAGAGGGAGGGGGCACTCCAAAGCCAAGAGAGAGAACCCCCAGTTTGGACTTTAGAGGCAAGATGGGGGTTGGTTAGTTCTTACCTCTTACAGGGTCATTATTTTCTTTCTTCCTTCCTTTCTTTTTTTTTTTTGAGACAGAGTCTGGCTCACACAGGCTGGCGTGCAGTGGCGTGATCTTGGCTCACTGCAACCTCTGCCTCCCAGGTTCAAGCAATTCTCCTGTCTCAGCCTCCCCAATAGCTGGGACTACAGACGCACACCACCACAGCTGGCTGATTTTTGTATTTTTAGTAGAGAAGGGGTTTCACCGTATTTGTCAGGCTGGTCTCGAACTCCTGACCTCAGGTGATCCACCCACCTCGGCCTCCAAAACTGCTGGGATTACTGGTGTGAGCCACCACGCCCAGCCCCGGTCATTTTCTCACTGTTATAATATTTGGAAAGGCAGTTTCAAGATCTGCGTGTCTATCTCTCCACCAATACTATACAGCATTAATTCATTTAGCTATCTAGTAAGTTTTGAAATTAGATAGACTGATTCTTCTCCCTTTATACTGCATCTTCAAAATTGTTTCAGCTATTCTCATTCTATTACTGAAACGGTTCCCAGTCCAGACCCCAAGAGATAGTTCTTGGACCTCTCACAAGAAAGAATTTGGGGTAAGGCAACAGAGAAAAGCAAAAGCAATTTTATTAGAAAGTATGAGGCTGGGAGTGGTGGTTCACTCCTGTAATCCCAGCATTTTGGGAGGCTGAGGCAAGCAGATCACCTGAGGTCAGGAGTTCGAGAACAACCTGGCCAACTTGGCAAAACCCCATCTCTACTAAAAATACAAAAATTAGCTGAGTGTGGTGGTGCGTGCTTGGAATCCCAGCTACTTGGGAGGCTGAGGCAGGAGAATCGCTTGATCCTGGGAGGTGGAGGTTTCAATGAGCCACGATTGTGTCACTGCACAAGAGATCCCATCTCAAAAAAAAAAAAAAAAAAAAAAAAAAGTATGGGACGGGCTGAGGGATAAAAGACTACAAATTGGGTTCGGCATATACTGCTCGGGTGATGGGTGCACCAAAATCTCACAAATCTCCACTAAAGAACTTACTCATGTAACCAACTTTTCCCCCAAAATCTATGGAAATAAATTTTTTTTTTTAAAAAAGGAGAAAAAAACGTTAGGGCAAGAGAATTAAAGCTCATCTTTCTTAGCACAAAATCAATTTGTAAAATCTTTTTTTTTTTTTTGAAATGGAGTTTTGCTCTTGTTGCCCAGGCTGGAGTGCAATGGTGCAAACTTGGCTCACTGCAACCTCTGCCTCCTGGGTTCAAGCAATTCTCCTGCCTCAGCATCCCTAGTAGCTGGGATTACAGGCGCCCGCCACCATTCCCCATTTATTTTTGTATTTTTAGTAGAAACAGGGTTTCACCATGTGGGCCAAGCTGGTCTCAAACTCGTGACTTTAGGTGATCCACCCACCTTGGCCTCCCAAAGTGTTGGGATTACAGGCGTGAGCCACTGTGTCCTTCCAATTTGTAATACCTTAAATGTGAAAATAAAAAATCTCATGTACCCTATAAATATATAATACACCTACCATGTGCCAACAAAAGTTAAAAATTAAAATATTACAAAGTGAAAAAAAAAAGTAAATAAAGAGTGGCTACTCCATAGGCGGAGCAATGTATAGGCTGCTCAACTGAGTATACTTATAGTTATTTCTGGATTATATGCTAAACAAGGTGTGGATTATTCATGAGTTTTCTGGAAAACAGGTGGAGATTTCCCAGAAATCACAACTGGGGATTCCTCCCCTTTTTAGACCATATAGGGTAATTTCTGGGTGTTTCCATGGCATTTGTAAACTGTCATGGTACTGGTGGGAGTGTTCTTTAGTATGCTAATGTGTTACAATTAGTATTTAATGAGCAGTGAGGACAACCAAAGGTCACTTTCTTTCTTTTTTTTTTTTTTTTTTTGGGATGGAGTTTTGCTCGTTTCCCAGGCTGGAGTGCAATGGCGCGATCTCGGCTCACTGCAACCTCCAACTCCCAGGTTCAAGCATTTCTCCTGCCTCAGCCTCCCAAGTAGCTGGGATTACAGGCGACTGCCACCAAGCCCAGCTAATTTTTGTACTTTTAGTAGAGACGAGGTTTCACCATTTTGGCCAGTCTGGCCTCGAACTCCTGACCTCAGGTAATCCGCCCACCTCGGCCTCCCAAAGTGCTGGGAGTACAGGCATGAGCCACCGCGCCCGGCCCCCAAAGGTTACTTTCATAGCCCTCTTGGTTTTGGCAGGTTTTGGCTGGCTTCTTTACCACATCTTGTTTTATCAGCAGACTTTTTGTGACCTGTATCTTGTGCCAACCTCCTATCTCATCCTGTGACTAAGAACACCTAAGCTCCTGGGAATGCAGTCCAGCAGGTCTCAGCCTTATTTATCCAGGCCCTATTCAAGATGGAGTCGCTCTTGTTCAAATGCCTCTGACAATTTCTTTGCTTTTCTTTTATTTATTTATTTATTTATTTATTTATTTTGAAACAGTCTTGTTTTGTCTCCCAGGCTGGAGTGCAGTGGTACGATCTCAGCTCACTTCAACCTCTGCCTCCTGGGTTCAAGATATTCTCCTGCCTCAGCCTCCTGAGTAGCTGAGACTACAGGCATCCACCACCATGCCCGGCTAATTTTTGTACTTTTAGTAGAGATGGGATTTCACCATGTTGGCCAGGCTGGTCTCAAATTCCTAACCGCAAGTGATCTGCTGGCCTTGGCTCCCCAAAGTGCTGGGATTACAGGCATGAGCCACTGTGCCCTGCCTTGCTTTTCTTTTAGAAAAAGTTTTCCTGTATCATCATATAAATCTTGCTGGTTTTTTAATTTTAATTTTAATTTAATTTTATTTTATTTTTCTTTTGAGACAGAGTCTTGCCCTGTCACCCAGGCTGGAGTGCAGTGGTACAACTTCGGCTCACCCCGACCTCCACCTCCCAGGTTCAAGCAATTCTCCTGCCTCAGACTCAAGTAGCTGGGAGTACAGGTACATGCCACCACCCCAGGCTAATTTTTATATTTTTAGTAGAGACAGGGTTTTACCATGTTGGCCAGCCTGGTCTCAAAATTCTGACCACGCAGGTGGATCACTTAAGGCCAGGAGTTCAAGATCAGCCTGACCAACATGGAGAAACCCCGTCTCTACAAAAAAATTAGCCAGGCATGGTGGCACATGCCTGTAATTCCAGCTACTCAGGAAGCCGAAGCAGGAGAATCGCTTGAACCTGGAAGGCGGAGGTTGCAGTGAGCTGAGATCTTGCCATTGCACGCCAGCCTGGGAAACAAGAGTGAAACTTCATCTCAAAAATAAATAAATAAATAAATAAATAATAAAAAATAGACTAGGCATGGTGGCTCACGCCTGTAATCCCAGCACTTTGGGAGGCCGAGTTGGGTCGATCACCTGAGGTCAGGAGTTCGAGACCAGCCTGGCCAACATGGTGAAACCCCATCTCTACTAAAAATACAAAAACTAGCCAGGTGTAGTGGCAAGCGCCTGTAGTCCTAGCTACTCAGGAGGCTGAGGCACAAGAATCAATTGAAACCAGGAAGCGGAAGTTGCAGTGAGCTAAGATTGAGCCACTGCACTCCAGCCTGGGCAACAGAGTGATACACAGTCTCAAAAAATAAAAATATTAAAAAAATAAATTAAATATATGTAGCAGTTTGGGGAGAATTAACAGCTATACTATGTTGCATCTTATAGTCCATAATCATGGGATATCTCTCTCTTAGAACTTCTTTGATTTTCTTCACCAATATTTTATGGTTTTAAGCAAATAACTCCTATGTGCTAGATTTATATATGTGTTTTTTAAACAATTTAAATGGTATAGGCTGGGCGAGTTTGCTCACGCTTGTAATCCCAGCACTTTGGGAGGCCGAGGTGGGCAGATCACCTGAGGAAAGGAGTTCAAGACCTGCCTGGCCAAACCCCATCTCTACTAAAAATACAAAAATTACCTGGGCATGGTGGCATACACCTGTAGTGTCACAAAGCCAATTGATCAGTTAGGGTGGGGCAGGAACAGATCACAATGGTGGAATGTCATCAGTTAAGGCAGGAACTGGCTATTTTCACTTCTTTTGTGGATCTTCTGTTGCTTCGGGCCATCTGGATGTATACGTGCAGGTCACAGGGGATATGATGGCTTAGCTTGGGCTCAGAGGCCTGACATTCCTGTCTTCTTATATTAATAAGAAAAATAAAATAAAATAGTGGTGAAGTGTTGGGGTGGTGAAAATTTTTGGGGGTGATATGGAGAGATAATGGGCGATGTTTCTCAGGGCTGCTTCGAGTGATATTAGGGGTGGCGTGGGAACCTAGAGTGGGAGAGATTAAACTGAGGAAAGCTTTTGGGGTAGGGAGTGATATTGTGGGGTTGTTAGAAGGAGCATTTGTCGTATAGAATGATTGATGATGGCCTGGATGCGGTTTTGTATGAATTGAGAAACTAAGTGGAAGACACAAGGTCCAAATAAGAGAGGAGAAAAACAGGTATTAAAGGGCTAAGAATTGGGAGGACCCAAGACATTCAATTAGAGAGTGCCCAAGGGGATTCAGTGTAATTACTTGTTTGGTTGGCAAGTTTTTGGGCTCTATCCTTGAGTTTTTTTTTTTTTTTTTTTTTTTTATGTTGTCATATACCAGGCCAGATTGATTTAGGTAAAACAACACTCCTCATTTAAAAATATACAGAGTCCTCCTTTTTCAGCAGTCAGTAAGTCAAGGCCTATTCCTGTGTTTTTTTGTGAATAAGAAAAATAAAACAAAACAGTGGTGAAGTGTTGGTGTCATGAGGGGAAGAGGAAGCTGTTCGGTCCTATTTGCAAATGGAATTTTGGGAGGAAGGAAAACTAGTGTGCATGTGCCTGTCCAGCTAGCAGGTAAACACAGGTAGGTGGAGGAGCCACAGGGGAAGAAGAGACCTTTTTAAGGCAAAACTGGAAATGTAAAGGGAAAAGATGAGAAGGAGAAAAACTGGCCGTGAGGGACAGAAGTTGGAAGGCTAGCTACTTCTTTAGTTACCGTATTACCATAAGCATTGCCTTGAGCGATGGGATCTGATGCCTTTTGATGGCCCGTGCAGTGAATGACCCTAGCTTCTTTGGAAGTTGAGCAGCTTTAATGCCTCCTTTTTATTAAGGAGGTATTAATGATGGAGGACCCTTGTGTAGTGAGGAAATTTCTTTCTGCCTATGTAACAGCATGGTGCTGCAGGATATGGAAGGCATATTTACAGTCAGTATAAATATTGATGCATAGTCCCTTTGCAAGAGTGAGAGACTAAGTTAAGGCAATGAGTTCGGCTTGCTGAGAGGTAGTGGAGGGGGCAGAGCGGTAGCCTCAAGGATAGATGTGGAAGCTACTATAGCATAGCCTGCCTTTGCTGGTGAGTGGCAATTAGGCCTGGTGGAACTGCCATCAATAAACCAAGTGTGATTGGGGTGAGGAACAGAAAAGAAGGGTGGGGAAATGGAGTGAATGTCAGGTGGATCAGAGAGATACAGTCATGGGGGTCAGGTGTGGTATCAGGAATAATGTGGGAGGCCAGATTGAAGTCTGGGCCAGGAACAATGGTAATTGTGGGAGACTCAACAAAGAGTGAGTATAGCTGAAGGAGCTGGGGGACAGAAAGTATATGTGTCAGGTGTGAGGAAGAAAATAGATTTTAGAAGTTATGAGAACTGTAGCGTGAGTTGAACATAGTTTGTGATTTTCAGGGCCTCTAAATATTAAACCAGTGGCAGCTGCTGCATGCAGACATGAGGGCTAGGCTAAAACAGTAAGGTAAAGTTGTTTGAACAGAAAGGCTACAGGGCGTGGTCCCGGCTCTTGTGTAAGAATTCTGACTGCACAGCCCTGTACTTCGGCTGTGTGTAATGAAAAGTGTTGGGATGAGTTAGGGAGAGCTAGTGTGGGAGCAGCTTCTAGGGCTGTTTTAAGGAATGGAATCCTAAGCGGCGAAAGGATTTAGGATCTATGGGGTCAGCTAGGTTTGCTTTTGTGAGTACATATGATGGTTTAGTCAGGATGGCAAAACCAGGTATCCAAAGACAAAAGTACCCAATCATGGCTAGGAAGGAAAGGAGTTGTTGCTTTGTAGAAGGGGTTGGAATTTGGGAGATTAGCCGGACATGATCAGCAGGGAAAGCACGTGTGTTTTTCGTTGTTGTTTTGTTTGTTTTGACACAGAGTCTCGCTCTGTTGCTCAGGCTGGAGTGCAGTGGCATGATCTCAGCTCACTGCAAGCTCCGCCTCCTGGGTTCAAGGGACTCTCCTGCCTCAGCCTCCCGAGTAGCTGGGACTACAGGTGCATGCCACCATGCCTGGTTAATTTTTTGTTGTTGTTGTATTTTTAGTAGAGATGAGGTTTCACCGTGTTAGCCAGGATGGTCTTGATCTCCTGACCTCATGATCCACCTGCCTCAGCCTCCCAAAGTGCTGGAATTACAGGTGTGAGCCACCACACCTGGCCCAAGAGCATGTGTGTTTTTATGAAGAATTGTGCCGAGATAGGTAACGGATGAGGAAGAAATTTGGGCTTTGGAGGGGGATACGTGATATCCCTTTCAGAATAGATGTTGCAGGAGCAGGAGGGTGTCCTGTTGAGAAGATTTGTAAGGGGGGTTGTAAAGTAGAAGGTCATCAAAATATTGAATAAGGTGAGAAGCATATGGATGGAAAGAAAGTAAATCATGAGAAAGGGCTTGACTGAAGTAATGGGGCCTGTCCCTGAAGCCTTGCAGCAGTACAGCCCAGGTAAGCTGCTGAGACTGATGGGTGTCAGGGTCAGTCCAAGTGAAAGCGAAGAGAGGCTGGAATGAAGGGTGTAAAGGAGTAGTAAAGAAAGCATTTTTGAGATCCAGAACAGAATAATGGGTTGTGGAGGGAGGTATTGAGGATAGGAGAGTATATGGGTTTGGCTGGACAGACAAGACAATTTGGTTGATAAGGTGAAGATCTTAGATCAGCCTGTAAGACTTGTCCAGTTTTTGGACAGGTAGGATAGGAGAGTTGTAAGGAGAGTTTGTAGGCTTTAAGAGGCCATGTTGTAACAGGCGGGTGATAACAGGCTTTAACCTTTTTAAAGCCTGCTGTGGGATGGGATATTGGCGTTGAAGGGGGTAAGGGTGATTAGGTTTTAATGGGATGATAAGGGGTGCATGATCAGTCGCTGAGGAGGGAGTAGAGGTGTCCCATACTTGTGGATGAAGGTAGGGAGACACAAGGGAAGGATTCAAAGGAGGCTTTGAACTGGGGAAAAGGGCAGGAATGAGGTGTGACTGTAGTCTAGGAATAGTTAGGGTAGCGGATAATTTTGTTAAAATGTCTTGACCTAATAAGGGAACTGGGCAGGTGGGGATAACTAAAAAGGAATGCATAAAAGAATATTGTCCAAGTTGGCAGCAAAGTTTGGGAGTTTTAAGAGGTTTAGAAGACTGGCCGTCAATAACCACAACAGTTATGGGGGCAAGGGAAACAGGCCCTTGAAAAGAAGGTAATGCGGAGTGGGTAGCCCCAGTATTGATTAAAAAGAGGATGGACTTACCATCCATTGTGAGAGTTACCTGAAACTCGGCGTCTGTGATGGTCCAGGGGGCCTCTGAGGGGATCGGGCAGCATCAGTCTTCAGCCGCTAAGCCGAGCAGATCTAGGAAGGAGTCAGTCAGAGAGCCTTGGGCCAGTGCTCTGGGGGCTCTGGGAGTGGCTGCCAGGCAAGTTGGACAGTCCAATTTCCAGTGGGGTCCTGCACAGATGGGACACAGCTTAGGAGGAATCCCGGGCTGTGGGCATTCCTTGGCCCATTGGCCAGATTTCTGGCACTTGAAACAAGATCCTGGGGGAGGAGGCCCTGGAGGAATGCCTGGCTGCTGCAGTTTAGGCGTTTTGAAGTTCTTGTGTGCTGGAGATGTGGCTGGGGTTTCTCTCACAGTGGAGGCAACTAATCGCAACTCAGAAATACGTTGCCGCTTGGCTGCCTCTTCTCTATTATCGTACACCTTGAAGGCAAAGTTAATTAAGTCTTGTTGTGGGGTTTGAGGGCCGGAGTCTAGCTTTTGGAGTTTCTTTCAAATGGGTGGACTGAGTGATAAAACGCATATTGAGAACAAGACGGCCTTCTGGCCCCTCTGGGTCCAAGGCTGTAAAGCGTCTCAGGATTGCTGCTAAGTGAGCCATGAACTGGCTGCGTTTTCAACCTTTCCTTGGGTGGTTTCTTCAGGTTCGTCATAATTAACAGATTTCTATGCTGCCTTTTAAAGCCCTTCAACTAGGCAAGAAATCGTGTAATCTCACTGAGCTATACCTGGGGAATCTGCCTGATAGTTCCACTGGGGATCCTCTCAGGGAACTGCTCTAATGCCTTCCTGGAGGCCTGGCTCATGAAGCCGGTAGTTGTCCACATGAGATTGGGCTAGAGAAAAAACTCTTTCCCGTTCATCTGGGGAGAGGGTAGAAGTTAGGATGACATTTAAGTCTCTCCAGGTTAAATTGTAGGACAGAGTTAGATATTGGAACTCCTGTATATATTCAGTGGGGTCTGACGAGAAAGAGCCTAAACTCTGGCTGATTTGGGAAAGGTCTAATAGAGAAAAAGGCACATGTACCCTGACTATGCCTTCAGCTCCAGCCACCTCTCTTAGAGGAAATTGTTGGGCAAGTGGGGGAGAGCTAGTTGTGGAACAAAACTGTAAGCCAGACCGGGTGTGAGGAGGGGAGGTAACAGGAGGGTTATAGGGTTGGGGAGTGGAGGCTGAAGATGAGTTGGAGCCTGATTCAGCCTGGTGGGGAGCGACCTGAGGAGGAGTAGTCTGGGGAGGAGGGGAGAGGTCAGATGGATCAGTTGAAAAGGAAGATTCAAAAGACTCAGAGACGCTTGGGGTTGGGACTGAAGGGACAGGCGGGAGGGAAAGAAGGAGGATTTGGGACGAGTCTCATTGGGAACAGAGACTAGGGAGGGAACGAAATGTGAAAAATGCCTGGATGTAAGGCACCTCAGATCATTTGCCCACTTTTCGACAAAAATTATCTAGGTCTTGTAGGATGGAGAAATTGAAAGTGCCATTTTCTGGCCATTTAGAGCTGTTATCAAGTTTGTACTGGGGCCAAGTGGTGTTGCAGAAGAAAATAAGATGCTTAGGTTTTAGGTCAGGCGAGAGTTGAAGAGGCTTTAAGTTCTTGAGAACACAGGCTAAAGGAGAAGAAGGAGGAATGGAGGGTGGAAGGTTGCCCATAGTGAAGGAGGCAAGCCCAGAGGAAAGAGAGGGTAGGGACACCAGGGGCAGGGGGTGGTACTTGCCACCCAGGGGAGGTGGGGCTTGCCACCCAGGGGAGGTGGGGCTTGCCACCCAGGGGAGGTGGGGCTTGCCACCAAGGTGAAGGATCAAGGCAGGTGTCCTGTGGTGATCAGAAACTTCTGAAATGTAGGTTAATAATCAGGCAGGCGTCCCTGCAGTGATTAAATACCAAGGGAAGACTATCTTCCTGAGTCTGTAACTGGCACCAGAGTTTTGAGTTCATGGATAAAATGCGTCTCTTCTGTCTCTACCAGAAAGGGAAAGGAACCGAAATTAAGGAAGGGAGAGATTGAAGGGTGAAGGGATAGTGAGAGAGGTTGGAGAAGAGACCGAAAAGACTGCTTACCTGATTTGAAATTGGTGAGATGTTAAATGTTCCTTGGGCTGGTTGGTCTGAGGACCCGAGATCATAGGTGGAGCTCCTCATGGAGTGAGGGCGAGGACAGGGGACCAGTCTCCTGAAGGACTCCCCCTGTCCCGGGTCTTCGGCACCAAATGTCACATGAGTCCGTGTGAAGAGACGACCAAACAGGCTTTGTGTGAGGAACAAAGCTGTTTAATCAAATGAGTGCAGGTGGGCTGAGTCTGAAAAGAGAGTCAGCAAAGGGGGGTGGGATTATCATTAGTCCTTATAGGTTTGGGATAGGCGGTGGAGGTTGGAGCAATTTTTTGTGGGCAGGGGGTGGATCTTACAAAGTACATTCTCAAGGGCGGGGAGAATATTACAAAGTACCTTCTTAAGGGTGGGGAGAATGTATCATACAAAGTACATTCACAAGGGCAGGGGAATATCACAAAGTACATTATCGCAAGGGCAGGGAGGGTATATTGTCACAAAGTCAACTGATCAGTTAGGGTGGGGCAGGAACAAATCACAATGTTGGAATATCATCAGTTAAGGCAGGAACTGGCTATTTTCTCTTCTTTTGTGGATCTTCAGTTGCTTCAGGCCATCTGGATGTATACGTGCAGGTCACAGGGGATACGATAGCTTAGCTTGGGCTCAGAGGCCTGACAACTGCAACCTCCGTCCCCCAGGTTCAAGCAATTCTCCTGCCTCACCCTCCTGAGTAGCTGTAGTTACAGGTGTGCACCACCATGCCCAGCTAATTTTTGTATATTTAGTAGAGATTGGGTTTTACCACGTTGGCCAGGCTTGTCTCAAACTCCTGACCTCACGTTATCCACCCACCTCGGCCTGCCAAAGTGCTGGGATTTTGTTTTGTTTTGTTTCGTGAGGGAGTCTCACTCAGTTGCCCAGGCTGGAGTGCAATGGTGTAATCTCAGCTCACTGCAACCTCCGCCTCCCGGGTTCAAGGAATTCTTCCGCCTCAGCCTCCCAAGTAGCTGAGATTACAGGTGCCTGCCACCATGCCCAGCTAATTTTTGTATTTTTAGTAGAGACGGGGTTTCACCATGTTGGCCAGGTTGGTCTTGAACTTCTGACCTCAGGTGATTCACCTGTCTCAGCCTCCCAAAGTGCTGGGATTACTGGCATAAGCCACAGTGCCTGGCCTGTTCTTTCAAGATAGGTTTGATGACTATGAACTCTCTTCATCAGACAGTGTGTTCCTTCATCTGACAATATCTTGATTTTCCATTTACCCTTGAAGGACATTTTCACTGGGTATAAGATTCTGAGTTGTCAGTTCTTCCATGACTAGAAAAATATTTTGCTACTTTTCTCTGACTTCCATGGTTTCTGATAAGAAATTCACTGTCATTTGAATTGTTTTTCTTCTATAAGTAATGCATTATATCTGTCTTCTTGGTGTTGACTTCTAGTGATTGTCTTTTTTCAATTTAGTTTAAGATTTTCCTGGTTCTTGGTGATTCTGCATGGAAACTTGAACATTTTCACATTATATCTTAAAATAAGACTCTAGTCTTATTTAAATTTTTTTTTTTTTTTTGAGATGGAGTCTCGCTCTGTCACCCAGGCTGGAGTGCAGTGGCATGATCTTGGCTCACTGCAACCTCCACCTCCTGGGTTCTAGAGATTCTTCTGCCTCAGCCTCCCGAGTAGCTGGGACTATAGGTGCCCACCACCACGCTGGGCTAATTTTGGTATTTTTTAGTAGAGATGGGGTTTCACCATATTGACCAGGCTGGTCTTGAACTCCTGACCTCTTAATCCGCCTGCGTCGGCCTC
This sequence comes from Homo sapiens, assembly GCF_000001405.40. Taxonomy (NCBI): domain Eukaryota; kingdom Metazoa; phylum Chordata; class Mammalia; order Primates; family Hominidae; genus Homo; species Homo sapiens. The sequence continues at coordinate 41,130,160 of NC_000015.10, read as the reverse complement.
CCAAAGTGCTGGGATTACAGGCGTAAGCCACCGTGCCCATCCTAAATCTATTTTAGTTGACTTTCTCTGACACTATTCCAGCCAGGGAAGGGGAGGATACAATCTCATTACTGCCATGTAGAGGGAGAAGTCCAGATCCCTCACTTGCTCTACATTGACATGAGGGTTGGAGTTCCAGATAACCACATGGTCTTCACTGATGCTATGGGGTAGGGGCCCTTGTTATACCCAGATGTTAATGAAAGTCCTGGCTCCCTCGGCCTTTCCCTGCTTAGGAGGGGTGTTGGACACCTTGGTATAGTCTTCAATAGTAGAAGTCTAGGCTCCTCACTCAGCCCTTGATGACAAGAATATTGGCTGGGCCACTTTTTACTGTGGTATTTAGAGTAAAGTAGTTACTGTGTAAAAATGTTCTTTCTTACTAGGCTGCACCTTTCCTGGTTGTTTGGCAAGACAGCCGACTTTCATTGGGGCCTTCTTGTTATATGCATTGGTTTCAGTGGGCTAATTTTTGTATTTTTAGTAGAGATGGGGTTTCACCATGTTAGCTAGGCTGGTCTCGAACTCCTGACCTCAGGTGATCCGCCACCCTCAGCCTCCCAAAGTGCTGGGATTACAGGTGTGAGCCATGGCGCCTGGCCCATAGTTGCTACCTTCTTTAGATCCGAGTCTGAGATATGAAACAAAAAGAAAACACAGGGAAGTCCAGGCGCGGTGACTCACGCCTGTAATCCCAGCACTTTGGGACGCCGAGGTGGGTGGATCACCTGAGGTCCAGAGATCGAGACCAGCCTGACCAACATGGAGAAAACCCGTCTCTACAAAAAATTCAAAAATTAGCTGGGCATGGTGGTGGGCGTCTGTAATCCCAGCTACTCGGGAGGCTGAGGCAGGAGAATCGCTTGAACCCGGGAGGCAGAGGTTGCAGTGAGCCAAGATTGCACCATTGTACTCCAGCCTGGGCAACAAGAGTGAAACTCTGTCTCAGAAAAAAAAAAGGAAACACAAGGAGATCACCACAGTGTTGTTCCTTGAGCCCTGAGGGTCCTTGCTGGTCTCTTTGTTTTCTACTTTTCAGAGTCTTATGTTGAATTTAAATATAATGTCTAGGAGTTTTAGTTGTATTTAGTGGGAGGACTAGGGAAAAGTTTGTCTACTGTGTCTTCCTCAAAACCCTGTTATTTTGCAAGTTAATGAATCTCAATTTGTTTCTCTGATATTCCCTCGTGATTAGATTTGGTTTAGATTAATTTAGCAGTAATTCCGCAGAAGTGATGCTGAGTTCTTTTCAGTGCATCATATCAGAAAGCACATGTTATCAATTAATATCATTATCAGTGATGTTAACTTTGTTAGCTTTGATCACTTGGTAAAGGTGATGTTTGCCAGGCTTCTCCACTGTGAAGTTACTATTTTACCTTTTATAGTTAATAAGTATCTTGTAGGGAGATAGTTGAGATTGTGTAAACATCCTCTTACTCCTTAAACTTTTACTCACTAGTTTTAGCATTGTACAGTGTACAGTGATGCATTGATAACTGAATCAATTATTATGATGGTTATCAAATGGTGATTTTCCAATTCCATTATTCCTTCTTCACTTACTATTTTGCATTATCCTGAAAGAACTTTCTGACCAGGAGCAGTGGCTCATGCCTTTAATCCCAGCACTTTGGGAGGCCGAGGCAGGCCAATCACTTGAGGTCAGGAGTTCAAGACCAGACTGATCAACAAGGAGAAACCTTGTCTCTACTAAAAATACAAAAAAAATAGCTAGGCGTGGTGTTGCATGCCTGTAATCCCAGCTACACGGGAGGCTGAGTCAGGAGAATCGCTTGAACCTGTGGAGGTTGCAGCGAGCTGAGATTGCTCCACTGCCCTCCAGCCTGGATGACAGAGCTAGATTCTGTCTCAAAAAAAAAAAAAAAAAAAAGGAATTTATCTTCTCCATCATTCATTCATTCATTATTCATTAATTTGTTTTTTTTTTTTTTTTTGAGATGGGGTTTTGCTCTTGTTGCTCAGGCTGGAGTGCAATGGCAGAATCTTGGCTCACAGCATCCTCTGCCACCTGGGTTCAAGCGATTCTCCTGCCTCAGCCTCCCAAGTAGCTGGGATTACAGGCACGTGCCACCATGCATGGCTAATTTTGTATTTTTAGTAGAGACTGGGTTTCTTTATGTTGGTCAGGCTGGTCTCGAACTCCTGACCTCAGGTGATCTGCCCGCCTTGGCCTCCGAAAGTGCTGGGATTACAGGCATGAGCCACCGCGCCCGGCTATTTTTTTTTTTTTAAGACGGAGTCTTGCTCTGTGGCCAGGCTGGAGTGCGGTGGCACGATCTCGGCTTGCTGCAATCTCCACCTCCCAGGTTCAAGTCATCCTCCTGCCTCAGCCTCCTGTGTAGCTGGGACTACAGGCGCCCGCCACCACGCCCAGCTAATTTTTTGTATTTTTAGTAGAGATGGATTTCACCATGTTGGCTGGGATGGTCTTGATCTCTTGATCTAGTGATCCGCCCACCTCGGCCTCCCAAAGTGCTGGGATTACAGCCATGAGCCACCGTGCCTGGCCTGTGCCATACAGTTTTAAACAACCAGATCTCATATGAACTCAGAGGGGGAACTCACTTACCACCGAGGGGATGGTGCTATGCCATGTGTGAGGGATCCACCCCCATGATCCAATCACCTCTCATCAGGCCCTACCTCCAACATTGGGACTCAAATTTCTTTTTTTCTTTTTTCTTTTTTTTTGAGATGGAATCTTGCTCTGTTGCCAGGCTGGAGTGCAGTGGCGTGATCTTGGCTCACTGCAACCTCCGACTAACCTCTGACTCCCGGGTTCAAACAATTCTCCTGCCTCAGCTTTCCAAGTAGCTGGGATTACAGGTGCCTGCCACCACACCCAGCTAATTTTTGTATTTTTAGTAGAGATGGGGTTTCACCATCTTGGCCAAGCTGGTCTCGAACTCCTGACCTCGTGATCCGTCTTCCTTGGCCTCCCAAGGCGCTGGGATTACAGGCATGAGCCACCGTGCCCGGCCCCGGGAGTCACATTTCAACATGAGATTTGGTAGGGAAAAACATCCAAACCAAAGTATTTCATGGCTTTTTTGTTATTATAAATTGTATTTTCAATATTTTAACTTTCAATTGTTTGTTTCTATTATATGAAAATATAATTAATTTTTGTATACAGTTGAGACCAACACGGGTTTGATCTGCACAGATCCACATATCTACGAATTTTCTTCAAGTCTGCCACCCCTGAGACAGTTAAGACCCTTCTCTTCCTCCTCCTCCTCAGCCTACTCAGTATGAAGGCAATGAGGATGAAGACCTTTATGATGCTCCACTTCCACTTAATGAACAGTGTGGTGTTTGAACCAGGATTCATTTCCCTCCTCTCCCCTTCCAGTTCAGCCAAGTGGAGACCACTACAGGGTGGTGCAGCCAAGAGCACAGGGCTTCCTCTCTCCCCAGCTTCCAGTTGGAGAGCCAGCTTCCTGGTAAGGGCAGGATGTCAGCAATTCTCATCCAGCTCCCAGCTACCTGTTGCTGACACCAAATTCTGGGCAAATGTGCAGGGATCCTTTCTTCTGCCTAGCTCCTGCTGTGGGACAGAAGCTGTACCTTGGGTGTGGCTGTGCTGAGAACACTGAGCCATTCATTGCTCTAGCAGTGGCTCTGAAGGTGGTGGTTCCACACCGAGGCAAACCAACACCTGTGGCTTCTACACCGCATCCGCTGAGCTCTCAGCTCCTAGGCAGAAAGACCATTTGGAGGGAATGATGTCATTGTCTCTCCTACACTCCAGACTTGGCCTAGAGATTTTGCCTGGCAGGAGAAGCGGGTTTTTAAAGCAAGTAGCTCCTAAAAGAAATGAAAAAAAAAAAAAAAAAGCAAGTAGCTCCTAATCTCTTCCCAGAAGAACTGACTTAATTTGCAACAGAGTGTGGGAGAATTTGAGCCTAAGGGTTCTCTCAAAAATAGTGGAGGTTGTGATGAGGCAATTGGGAGGAGTCATTGGATATACAGACTAAAATGTAGGTTAGCTAATGTGCCCAAGAGAACCAGGAAGGTAGACATTTGTGAGAAACCTGCCTTGGGACTGAACAAATCTCAAATCTTAAAAATTGACTTTGACAACCATCTCCTTAAAGGAGCCTGAATTTGATTGGATTATTCTGTGAAGCAATTTGTGACCAAGGGCATTATTGAAAGGAATAGAGCAATCAGTAGTGAATGGAATTTAATAACTAGGTGCGTTCAGGGAAGAGACACTGTCAAAGAGATCCCTGCCAAAATCTGTCATCCCAGATTGTGGGATGGTCCTGAGCGGCCAACATCAGAGGCTTAGAACTGTTGGGAGTAGGAAGCCAGGTGCAGTGGCTCATGCCTATAATCCCAGCACTTTGGGAGGCTCAGGCGGGCAGATCACCTGAGGTCAGAAGTTCAAGTCCAGCCTGGCCAACATGGCGAACCCCGTCTCTACTAAAAATACAAAAATTAGCTGGGCATGGTTGTGTGTGCCTGTAATCCCAGCAACTTGGGAGGCCCAGGCAGGAGAATTGCTTGAACCAGGAGGCAGAGGTTGCAGGGAGGCAAGATGGCAGCACTGCACCCCAGCCTGGGCAACAGAGTGAGACTGTCTCAAAAAAAAAAAAAAAGAACTGTTGGGAGTAGGGAATAGGTTGCACTAAAGCATTCCACCTACTCACTAAACAAACAAGCAAATAGCAGGACCAGCCCTTTAATAGCAGATCAGTACCCAGAGTTACTAGATTACTTATTTATTATTTATTTATTTTGACAAGGTCTCACTCTGTGGACCAGGCTGGAGTGCAAAGGCATGATCATGGCTCACTGTATCCTTGATCTCCTGGGCTCAAGCAATCCTCCCGCCTCAGCCTCCCAATAAGCTGAGACTACAGGCATGCACCACCATGCCTGGCTAATTTTTATATTTTTTGTAGAGATGGGGTTTCACCATGTTGCCCAAACTGGTCTTGAACTCCAGAGCTCAAGCAATTTACTTGCCTCAGCCTCCCAAAGTTCTGGGATTACAAGTGTGTGCCACTGTACCTGGCCTAATATATTATTTTAAATATGCTAGTTTCCCATAAACAAATTATAAGACTTATGAAAAAACAGGGAACCATGATCCATACACTGGAAAAAAGCAGGAAACATACACTGCCTGCAATTGCAAACAGTGTTTGCAATTTTAAATGTTCCATTTAAAAGGCTTCATAGTACCCATTATAATACTTTCAAAGAACTAAAGGAAAACATGGTTTATGAAGGAAGGTATGATAACAATGCCTTATGAAATAGAGATTATTATCAATGAAGACATAAAAATTCTTTTTTTTTTTTTTGAGACAGTCTTGCTCTGTTGCCCAGGCTGAAGTGTAGTGGCTTGATCTCCGATCACTGCAACCTCTGCCTCCTGGGTTCAAGTGATTCTCCTGCTTCAGCTTCCTGAGTAGCTGGTATTATAGGCGTCTGCCACCATGCCCGGCTAAGTTTAGTATTTTTGGTGGAGACGGGATTTCGCCATGTTGGCCAGGCTGGTCTCGAACTCCTGACCTCAGGTGATACGCCTGCCTCAGCCTCCCAAAGTGCTGGGATTACAGGCGTGAGCCACCGCACCAGGTCGAAGACACAGAAATTCTAAAAAAGAACTACATAGAAATTCTGATGTTGGCTGGGCTCCGTGGGTCACACCTATAATCCCAGCACTTGGGAGGCTGAGGTGGGCGGATGTCTTGAGCCCAGGAGTTTGAGACCAGCCTGGACAACATGGTAAAACATAAATACAAAAACTAGCTGGGCATGGTGGTGTATGTCCCTTGTCCCAGCTACTTGGGAGGCTGAGGTGGGAGGATCGCTTGAGTCCAGAAGGTCAAGGATGCAGTGAGCTGTGATTGCACCACTGTATTCCAGCTTGGATGACAGAGTTAGACCCTGTTTCAAAAACAAACAAAAAACAGAAAAAAGGAATTCTAATGTTGAAAAATACAGTAACCGAAATGAAAAAGTCACTAGTAGGACTCAATTTTTGATCTGAATTATCAGAAGAACAAATTAGCGGACATGAAAATAGATTGACAGGTTTTACGCAATCCGGGGAACAGACAGAAAAGTGAATGCAGAAAAATGAACAGAGCCTCAGAGACTCATTGGACACCATTGAGCATACAAAAAAATACATAATGGGAGTACTCAAAAGAAGGAAAAGTACTCAAAGGAGGGAAAAAAATCATGTGTCTACGTTTGACTGATTTTTTTTTTTTTTTTTTTGAGACGGAGTCTCACTCTGTCGCCCAGGCTGGAGTGCAGTGGCCCAATCTCGGCTCACTGCAAGCTCCACCTCCTGGGTTCATGCCATTCTCCTGCCTCAGCCTCCCAAGTAGCTGGGACTACAGGTGCCCGCCATCACGCCCAGCTAATTTTTGTATTTTTAGTACAGACAGATTTTCACTGTGTTAGCCAGGATGGTCTCTATCTCCTGACCTCGTGATCCGCCTGCCTTGGCCTCCCAAAGTGCTGGGATTACAGGTGTGAGCCATCTTGCCCGGCCTGTTTGGCTGATTTTTAATAAGGGTGGCAAGACCATTTAATGTGGTTGTAAATGTCTTCTATAAAAGAACCATTTTTTAAACAAATGGTGCTGGATATTCACATGCAAAAGAATGAAGTTGGAGTCTTACCTCACTCCATATACAGAGATTAACTAAAAATTGGGCATAGACATAGATGTAAGAGCAAAATCCACAAAATTCTTAGAAAAAGACAAGTAAATCTTTATGATCATAGATTTGGCAATAAATTATTTTTTTTCTTTGAGACGGGTTTTCACTCAGTCACCGAGTCTGGAGTGCAGGGGTGTGGTCAAGGCTCACTGCAGCCTTGACCTCCCAGGCTCACATATTTATTTTTATTTTTACTTGTAAAAAAAAATTGTATTTTTAGTTCCGGCCTCCCAAGGAGCTGAGACTACAGGTGCATGCTACCATGCCCAACTAATATTTCTATTTTTTTGTAGAGAAGGGATCTCACTATGTTGCCCAGGTTGCTCTCAAATTCCTGGGCTCAAGTGATCCTCTTGTGTTGGCCTCCCAAAGTGGTGGGATTACAGGCATGAGCCACTGCACCTGGACGGCCATTAATTCTTATATATGACATCAAAAGCATCAGTGATCAAAGGTAAAGTAGACAAAGTAAACATCAAAATTAACTTTTCTGGCCAGGCACTGTGGCTCATGCCTGTAATCCCAGCAGCTACTTGGGAGGCTGAGACAGGAGAATCGCTTGAACCCAGGAGGCGGAGGTTGCAGTGAGCCAAGATTGCGCCATTACATTCCAGCCTGGGTGCCGAGGACGAAAATCCATCTTAAAAATGACAAAAAAATTTACCTTTTCTACTTCAGAGGACCCCATCAAGAAAGTAAAAAAACAACCTATAGATGAGAGAAAATATTTAGCAATCAGAGATCTGAAAAAGAACTTGTATCTTGAACATGTAGAGAACAATTACAACTTAAAAAGAAAAATCCATTGTAAAAATGGGCAAAAGATTTGAATAAAACTTTCTTTTTTCCTTCCCTTCCCTGCCCCTCCCTCCCTCCTTTCTTTTTTTTTTTTTTTTTGAGATGGAGTCTCACTCTTACCCAGGCTGGAATGCAGTGGTACAATCTTGACTCACTGCAACCTCTGCTGCCCACGTTCAAGTGATTCTCCTGCCTCAGATGTCCGAGTAGCTGGGACTACAGGTGTGCACCACCACGCCCGGCTAATTTTTGTATTTTTAGTACAGACCAGGTTTCGCCATGTTGGCCAGGCTGGTCTCGAACTCTGGACCTCAGGTGATCTGCCTGCCTCAGCCTCCCAAAGTGGTGGGATTACAGGCATGAGCCATTGTGCCTGCCGCTTTCTTTTTTTTTTTTTTTTATTTTTTGAGTAGGGTCTTGCTGTGTTGCCCAGGCTGGAGAGCAGTGGTGCAATCTCAGCTCATTGGAGCCTCCGTCTCCTGGGCTCAAGTAATGCTCCTACCTCAGCTTCTTGAATAGTTGGAACTACAGGTATGTGTTACACTCCTGGCTAATTTTTGTTTTTTTTGTAGAGGTGAGGTTTTGCCATGTTGCCCTTACTGCTCTCAAACTTCTGAACAGAAGCCATTTGCCCACGTTACCCTGCCAAATTGCTAGGATTATAGGCGTGAGCCACTGCACCCGGCCTAAACCAATTCTTTTTTTTTTTTTGAGACAGAGTCTCACCCTATTGCCCAGGCTGGATTGCAATGGCACGATCTTGGCTCACCACAATCTCCGCCTCTTGGTTCAAGCAATTCTTCTGCCTCACCCTCCCAAGTAATTGGGATTAGGCATGCGCCACCATGCTCGACTAATTTTGTATTTTTAGTAGAGATGGGGTTTCTCCATGTTGGTCAGGCTGGTCTTGAACTCCCGACTTCAGGTGATCCGCCCGCCTTGGCCTCCAAAAGGGCTGGGATTACAGGCGTGAGCCACTGTGCCCGGCCCAAAATGAACCTTTTATTGTAGTAACTGCAAACTGAAATTCTGCAGAAGTTTGAAACAGTATCAGTGGATTGGGTTTAAGTAACTGGTAGTGACAGGGACTCAGGTGAGCAGGAAAGAAGTGGGCAGGTATACTGTGCCTAAAGGGTGAAGCTGTGGTTCACTTCCATTTCGCTGTTGCATAAGCGTTGCTAGATTGTCCTAGTTTTCAAGAAAAAAAAACTCAAAACAAAATCACACACCTGAAGGCTGGTTATGGACAGAGACCAGTTTCTGTCCCTTGCTTTAATGCTTAAAATGCATGTGCATCCCGTTTATCCCCAGCTGAATGCACTTGTTCTTTACCTGCCTGTTTTCCCTGGAATCTCAGATAACAATGAGGGTGGTGGTAACTATTTCCTCAGTGGAATTGGTGGTTGGTGGGCACAGCCTTATGGTTATTATTATTCATATTGTTGCCATCTCTGCTACATCTGAGAAACTTTTTTTTTTTTTTTTGAAATGGAGTCTCCCTCTGTCACCCAGGCCGGAGCGCAATGGCGTGGTCTCAGCTCATTATAACCTCCGCCTCCTGGGTTCAAGGGATTCTCCTGCTTCAGCCTCCCGAGCAGCTGGGATTACAGGTGCCAGCCATCGCGCCCAGCTAATTTTTGTATTTTTAGTAGAGATGGGGTTTCACCATCTTGGCTAGGCTGGTCTTGAACTCCTGACCTCAGGTGATCCACCCACCTCGGCCTCCCAAAGTGCTGGAATTACTGACAGGTGTGAGCCACCACGCCTGGCCCTGGCCCTTTTTTTTTTTTTTTGAGACCCTCATTGTTAATATTCACTGTATGCTTGAAAAATGATTGAAATTCTCAGTTTAATAGTTTAAGCTTTTTCTTTCTTTCTTTCTTTTTTTTTTTTTTGAGACAGAGTCTTGCTCTGCCACCCAGGTTGGTGTGCACTGGTGCGATCTCAGCTCACTGCAACCTCCACCTCCTGGGTTCAAGTGATTCTCCTGCCTCAGCCTCCCGAGTATCTGGGATTACAGGCATGTGCCACCACGCCTGGCTCATTTTTTGTATTTTTAGTAGAGACGGGATTTCATCATGTTGGCCAGGCTGGTCTTGAACTCCTGATCTCAGGTGATCCACCGACCATGGCCACCCAAAGTGCTAGGATTATAAGCATGAGCCACCGTGCCTGGCCACAACAGTACAATTTCTTTCTTTCTTTTCTTTTTTTTTTTTTGACATGGAGTTTCACTCTTTATGCCCAGGCTGGAACGCAGTGGCACGATCTCAGCTCACTGCAACCTCTGCCTCCCGGGTTCAAGCGATTCTCCTGCCTCAGCCTCTCGAGTAGCTGGGATTACAGGCATGCGCCACCATGCCCAGCTAATTTTGTATTTTTAGTAGAGACAGGGTTTCTCCATGTTGGTCAGGCTGGTCTTGAACTCCCAACCTCAGGTGATCTGCCCACCTCGGCCTCCCAAAGTGCTAGGATTACAGGTGTGAGCCACTGCGCCTGGCCAATAGTACAATTTCTAAGACGAGGAAGTCAGCATTGATACAATACTACGAACTACATTAAAAAACTTATACAAGTGTCGTAAGTTTTTCCACTGATGTCCAGTTTCTGTTCCAGGTTCCCTCCTAGGACTCCACATTGCATTTACTTGTTATTTCTCCTTGGTGTGTAGGTCTGTAAGGGTCCTTGGGTCTTTCCTTGTCTTTCATGACCTTGATGGTTTTGAAGAGTATTGATCAATTATTTTGTGGTAAGTCCCTGAATTTGAAATAGTGTGGTGTTTTTTCATGAATGGAATGTGGTTATGAATTTTGGTAAGAATACCACAGAAATTATGTTGGGTCTTTCTCAATGCAAAATATCAAGGGGTTCAGGACGTAAACATGTCTTATTGTTTACCTTAATTGGTTGGTTAAGGTGGTTTCTGCTGAGTTTCACCACTATAAAGTTACTGTCTTTCCCTTTGTGCTAAAATGTATCTTGGGTGAGACACTTTGAATCTGTGCAAATTCTGTTTCATAGCAAATTTTTAACCACTAATTTAGCATTCCTTAGTGGATCTTGTCTGCAGCAGTGATTGCTGAAGTGTTTGTCTAATGGTGAGTTTTGTTATCCCTCATTCCTTCCACATTTACTAAAATCCTACTCTAAGAAAGCATTCTTTTCTTCTTTCTTCTCTTCTCATTTATTTATATTAGTATTTATATCAGATATTTACTTATATCGGCATGAATATTAAAATTAATATATATGGGTCATCTGTGGTTCATGATCCAATGCTATTATGATTTACTTTGTTGCCTTGGCCATTAGGAGTTCTTTCAGGTTGCCTTCTGTGGTTTCTGTTTTTTTTTTTTTGAAACAGAGTTTGCAGTTGTCACCCATGCTGGAAACTTTGCCATTTCTGCCTCAATCCTGCTACATAATTCCCATTCCTTCCCTTCTTCCATTCTCCTCATGTAAGAAATCAATCACATTAGTTCCTGGTTAAAACTTTTTAAAAAAATTTTGTTTGAGATGGAGTCTCGCTCTGTCGCCCAGGCTGGAGTTCAGTGGCGTGATCTCGGCTCACTGCAAGCTCTGCCTCCCAGGTTCACGCCATTCTCCTGCCTCAGCCTCCTGAGTAGCTGGGACTACAGGCGCCTGCCACCACGCCTGGCTAATTTTTTTGTATTTTTTTAGTAGAGACGGGGTTTCACCGCGATAGACAGGATGGTCTCGATCTCCTGACCTCGTGATCTGCCAGCCTCGGCCTCCCAAAGTGCTGGGATTACAGGCGTGTGTGACAAAATTGTGTAGCATTTGCATATCACCTACACATCCTCCCATATACTTTAAATCATCTCTAGATTACTTATAATACCCAATACAATGCAAATGTTATGCAAATAATTATAGTGTATTTTGAAATGAGTTATTATTTATTTTTTGAACATTTGGTAGAAATGGGGTCTTCTTTTGTTGCCCAAGCCAATCTGTAACTCCTGGCTTCAAGTGACACTTTGGCTCAGCCTCTCAAAGTGCTGGGGATTACAGGTGTATGCCACTGAGCCCAGCCTATTTTTTGAGTATTTTTGATTTGCTGTTGGTTGAATCCACGGATATTGAACCCGCAGATATAAGGGCCAATTATATATCATACTTTTGCCTTTAAGCATTTTTTTTTTTTAAAGACAGTCTTACTCTGTTGCCCAGGCTGGAGTGCAATGGCTAGATCTCCGCTCACGGCAACCTCCGCCTCCGGGGTTCAAGCGATTCCCCTGCCTCAGCCTCCTGAGTAGCTGGGGGGATTACAGGCGCGCGCCATCATGCCCAGCTAATTTTTGTATTTTTAGTAGAGACAGGGTTTCAAGGTTGGTCAGGCTGGTCTCAAACTCCTGACCTCGTGATCTGCCTGCCTAGGCCTCCCAAAGTACTGGGATTACAGGCGTGAGCCACCGTGCCTGGCCATGCATTCAAGCAAATTTAACTCTTGGTTTTTTTTCTTGAGGCAGAGTCTCGCTCTGTCCCAGGTTGGAGTACAGTGGCTCAGTCTCGGCTCACTGCAACCCCTGCCTCCCAGGTTCAAGAGATTCTCCTGCCTCAGACTCCCGAGTAGCTGGGATTACAGGTGCCCGCCACCACGCCCGGCTAATCTTTTTTTTTTTTTTTTTTTTTTTTTTTCAGTAGAGACGAGGTTTCACCATGTTGGCCAGGCTGGTCTCAAAATCCCGACCTCAAGTGATCCACCCGCCTCAGCCTCCCAAAGTGCCGGGATTACACGCGTGAGCTACCGCGCTTGGCTTGCAAATGTAACTTTTTTTTTTTCTTTTTGAGATGGATTTTTTTTTTTTTCTTTTTGATACGGAATTTCGCTCTTGCTGCCCAGGCTGGAGTGCAATGGTGCGATCTCGGTTCACTGTAACCTCCGCCTCCCAGGTTCAAGCGATTCTCCTGCCTCAGGCTCCCAAGTAGCTGGACTACAGGCACCCGCCACCACGCCCGGCTAATTTTTGTATTTTTAGTAGAGATGGGGTTTCACCATATTGGTCAGGCTGGTCTCGAGCTCCTGACCTCAGGTGATTCGACCACCTGACCTCCCAAAGTGCTGGGATTACAGGCGTGTGGCACTGCACCCTGACACAAATTTAACTTTTTAAAGGTCAGTTAACTCAGCACAAGAAGGCTACTTGATGACCTTAATAAAGTACTTTTTAGTTAAATGCTAAGGGCCAGGTTAAAATGGATTAAAGAATGAGACCCAAAGGAACTGAATTAACAGCATATTTAACTTTCAGTAAGTTCTAATTCTTATCTACACCTAGGCCTTACCCTAGGCAATTCTCACCACACATCCTGGTAGTTGGGTCGATTACATTTATTATGTTGTCTTTTTTGTAGAGACGGGGTCTCGCTATGTTGACCAGTCTAATGGACTGCTCTGAGACGTTTGGCCTGAGGTGATCCTTCCAGGCAGGAGGATCACTTCAGGCCAGGAGACTGGGAACCAGCCCAGTAGACTGGGCAACATAGCGAGACCCCAAGTTTAGTAAATGTGGGTGGCAGTGGACTCAAATTGTAGAATTGGCACAGGTAAAAGCAATTATTCGCTTTTCAGAGGCACACTGTGTGGATGTGAGAACAGGCTGGCATTTCCGATAACAGGTCTGCGTGTTCCCAAGTCCTTGTATCCCACAACCTTCACGTAGACATCTTATCTAACTATGCTGTCCTACCCAACCTATAGCGTTCTTGCTCCCAGAGTCTAAATGGGAGCCCCAAACTAATTACTGTATAGTAGTCGAACTACACACCAGGCACTTCCCCGACAATCTACAACCCCATCCAAAGGGGTCAGAAACTAGTAACAAAATACCAGCTGCGAGCCTCTCCTTCCCCTAAAGAGATCTTATCAACTTGGCTGCACCTTCCCACCTCTAGCCTGCGGGAACAAATATCCCAGGATCCCGGGCGGTTTCGATTGACGTTACTTCCGGGAAAAGTAACCTTGCATCGGCGGTTGCGGGCCTGGAAAGCTCTCGCGACATTTTCTCCTGCGAGATCTGCTTGCTCACTGTAGCGATGACATCCTCCTCCTCCTCCCCGCCGCCTTTCGGCAATCTTCGCCAGTCCCAGTCCCGACTAATCTGTACTCAGATGGCATGGATCAGGGTCTCCCCTCGAACCCCGGTTCGCACGGGGCGTCAGGTGGCAGCGGCGGGGTGCGAGCTGCGCGAGGCCGACGGCAGCGGCACTACGGGTGGCCACGGGCAGGCGACGAGCAGTGAGTGTGGGCGGGGTGGGGGTAAGCCACCCGTGTAGCGGCTCGATTGTTCTGGCCTGGCTATGGCGCCTCTCCTCCCCCCCGCCATGGCTCCCCGTGTCCCTGCTCCGCTCCTCTCAGTGAGTGAAAGTGGCCGCCGCCGCCGCCGGCCCAGCGCCCGCAGCCGCCTCAGCGCCGCCGCCATCTTGGGGTCCCAGGAGCCGCGGAGGGAGCGAGCTAGGAGCGTCCACGCCCAACGCAGTCACCGTCCCACGGCCTCAGAGAGCGAACCGCGGCTCCACCGTCGGCGGGGCGACCCCCCCCTCCGGACCCCGCCCGCACCCCGCCCCCCCTCCGCCGCCGTCGCGGCGGCGGGGCCAGGCGGCCCGAGGTGAGGCAACTAGACGTGGGCGGGCGAACGGAGTGGGGGTTGTGTAGGTCTTGTTGCGCCCCTCTCTGCGGGCGACAACTGGGCCGCGTCTTAAAGGGGCCGTCGCCCCCGGCCCTTGGATTTGTTGGGGTTAGTATGGAGGATGGGTGTGGACACTCCCCGCAGGGTTGGGACCTCAGGGACTAGGGCCTTGTCCTTCCCGTTTCATATCTCTGGAGACCCGGGGTCATGCGGTGACCTCAGCCACCTGAGGAAGCCCGTGGGGCGCCCACACGTGGGGAGTGTGTTAGACCAGGTGCACGTGGGACCCGGTGGGGCGGTGTCGGGCTAACACGTGTGTAGGTTTGGGGGTGGGCAGGGGCAGGGCGGAGGCTGGAAGGCCTTGAGTGGGAACCCCGTGAAGGTTGTGTATCTGTCATTTTAAACAAATGAGATCTAAGGGCTTGTTAGTGTGTCATTTTGTAAGGGGCAAGTTGAGATACGGTTGAATGGTGCACGCTGCTGGCTGGTGTTGGGTGGGGGCAGGCTGACACCTGCATAGACTTGGGAGTGTCTAGATGACACCTCTTCTGGTTTTTTAGGTTTTTACATAGCGACTAGGAAAGTGTCATCCTATTTTGACATTCCTTCTTGAGCTCGCTAATGGAAAGTACTACTTCCGTAATCTCCGAGGCTAGAAGCCCCCTACAGTTTAGGAATGACAGAACCTAGGCAGCCACTTACTATTCTAGTTAACAGCCAACTGTGCCTGGAATTCTTTGATTCACACACTGTCTCTAGTTTGATGTACTTGTTAGAAATGGGGGAAGGAATTTGGAGGTTGACCTGGCTAACGTCACAGGTTACTTTTCCAGTCAGTGACTTTCATTATTTCCTCCACAACAAAATTATTGTGGCTTTTCAGTGGCAACTTAAATTAAATAATAGCTTTATTGAAATATGATTCAAATACCAAAAAATTCCGCTTTCTAAAGCGTATAATTAAGTAATTTTCTGAAACTATATTTATTAAATTCTGTAGCCATCAACCACTATTTAATTCATCACCCTAAAAGAGAATCTCTAGAAGCCATTTAGCAGTCACTCCCCATTCCCCCTCCCTCCAGTCTTAGGTAACTATTAATATATTTTTTGCCTAAATTTACCTAAAAAAGAAACATATGTATCTTTCTTTGCCTAGTTTGTTTCACTTAACATGGTGTTTTCAAGGTTCATCCGTGTTGTAGCAGGTATCAGTACTTAATTCCTTTTTTTTTTTTTTTTTGAGACTGAGTCTCGCTCTGTCGTCCAGGCTGGAGTGCAGTGGCGGGGTCCCGACTCACTGCGACCTCCGCCTCCCAGGTTCAAGCACTTCTCGTGCCTCAGCCTCCCCAGTAGCTGGGATTACAGGCGGCTGCCACCACACCCGGCTAATTTTTGTATTTTTAGTAGAAACGGGGTTTCACCATGTTGGCTAGGCCGGTCTCGAACTCCTGACCTCAAGTGATCCGCCTGCCTTGGCCTCCCAGAGTGCTGGGATTATAGGCATGAGCCACCGCACATGGCCTCATTTGCTTTTAATGCCAAATAATATTCTGTTCTAGTTGCATTTTATGTTTGAAATTTCCAAGCTCCTCCTCCTATAAAACAATTTGAGATCATTATGTGTGGTAAAAGTTGCATACCTTCTAGACTTTAAAATGAATGTTTTTTTTTTTTTGTTTTTTGAGACGGAGTCTGGCTCTGTCGCCCAGGCTGGAGTATAGTGGCGTGATCTCGGCTCACTGCAGCTTCCGCCTCCCGGGTTCAAGCAATTCTCCTGCCTCAGCCTCCTGAGTAGCTGGTATTACAGGCGCCCGCCACCACACCCAGCTAATTTTTGTATTTTTAGTAGAGACGGGGTTTCACCATGTTGGTCAGGCTGGTCTCGAGCCCCTGACCTCGTGATCCACCTACCTTGGCCTCCCAAAGTGCTGAGATTACAGGCGTGAGCCACCGTGCCCGGCTGAATTTTGTTTTTAAGGGATTGAATTCCATCATTTTAGCTTACTGTGTTCTTTTCCTCTACGTTTTATTTCAGTAGAAACCAAATCAATTTTTGAAAGTCTGTAAATTGTGATAGGAAATAATTGTAGTGAGCACAAATGTGATTAGAAAAGTTTATGACTAATAAAAACATTTTGAGTACATCAAGGTGGAAATGTGATTAAGCCAAAGCAACAAATCGAGAGCTATTCTGCTGGGCATGGTGTCTCAAGCCTGTAGTCCCAGTTACTCAGGAGGCAAGAGGATCACTTGAGTCCCTAGTGAGCTATGATTGTGCCAGCGCACTCAAGCCTGGGTGGAGAGCGAGACCCTGTCTCTAAAAACAAAACAAAACTAATTATAAGCTGTGGTGTTAGAGGTTCACTTAATGAAAGTTTGTTGGCCGGGTGCGGTGGCTCACGCCTGTAATCCCTGCACTTTGGGAGACTGAGGCAGGTGGATCACCTGAGGTCAGGAGTTCGAAACCAGCCTGGCCAACATGGTTAAACTCTGACTCTACCAAAAATACAAAAAATTAGCTGGGCGTGGTGGCGCGCACCTGTAATCCCAGCTACTCAGGAGGCTGAGGCAGGAGAATCGCTTGAACCCGGGAGGCGGAGGTTGCAGTGAGCCGAGATTGAGCCACTGCACTCCAGTGGAGTGCAACAAGAGCAAAACTCTGTCTCAAAAAAACAAAACAAAACAAAACTGGCTAGGGGATTTTATATGCCAACATACAAATTCACATTAAATAGGTTAGGCTTGGTGGCTCACACCTGTAATCCCGGCACTTTGGGAGGCTGAGCAGGCGGATCGTTTGAGCTCAGGAGTTTGAAATCAGCATGGGCAACATGGCAAAACCCTGTCTCTACAGAAAATACAAAAATTAGCTAAGCATGGTGATGTGCACCTGTAGTCCCAGCTACTTGGGATGCTGAGGTGAGAGGATGGCTTGAGCCCAGGAGGCAGAGATTGCAGTGAGCCGAGATCGAGCCACTGCACTCCAGCCTGGGCGACAGAGCCCGAGCTGGCTCAACAACAACAACAACAAAATACACATGAAATATAAACGCTAGGATGCAGTGGATTTTAGAGTGGACAAAGTGGGTTGGGGTTAATAGGAGACTAAGTTTTTGTAGGAAAACAGTTGAAAAGTTTTTTTTTTTTTTTTTTTTTTTTTTTGAGATGGAGTCTTGCCCTGTCGCCAGGCTGGAATGCAGTGGCACGATCTAGGCTCACTGCACCCTCTGCCTCCCGGGTTCAAGAAATTCTCCTGCTTCATTCTCCCAAGTAGCTGGGACTACAGGCGCATGCCACCACGCCTGGCTAATTTTTGTATTTTTAGTAGAGATGGGGTTTCACCATGTTTGGCCAGGATGGTCTCGATCTCTTGACCTTGTGATCTGCCTGCCTTGGCATCCCAAAGTGCTGGGATTACAGGCGTGAGCCACTGTGTCCAGCTAACAGTTGAAAAGTTTTAAAGTTGGATCTAACGTATCAAAATCTTGATATGATAGGCTATAGCATATAGAGAATGAGAAGGGCATAGGCACTAATATCAGACAACTCTTGTGAGTCAGTGAGTATGGTAGATACTTTATATATTATCATTTTAATTTTCTTGAAACTTCTTGGTAGTAATTCTCATTTTACAGATGAGAAAATTGAAACCAAGTTAAATCATATAGCCAGTAAATGACAGAACCACTATTCTATTTTTGTTATAGTCCTTCTGCCTTCCCCAAAAATATTTTGAAGAGTATTTTTGGCCAGGCGTAGTGGTTTCCACCTGTAATCCCAGCACTTTGGGAGGCAGAGGAGGGAGGATCACGTGAGCTTGAGGAGCTTGAGACCAGCCTGGTCAATATAGGGAGACCTCATCTCTACAGAAAATAAAATTTTTGGACTAGGGTGGCGTGTGCCTATAGTTCAGCTACTTGGAAAGCTGAGATGGGAGGTTTGGTTGAGCCTGGAAGGTTGAGGCTACAGTGAACCCTGATTGTGCCACTGCACTCCAGCCTGGGCAACAGAGCTATTCCCTCCAGAGCAAGGTTCTTAACATTTTTTAATGTATCTTGGACGGCTTTGTAGTCTGAAGACACCTATTCTGTTGGGTAAGAGGTTTTTTTTTTCCTCCTCCCCGCAAAAACGTTTTTTTTTTTCTTGAGACAGAGTTTTGCTCTTGTAGCCCAGGCTGGAGTACAGTGGCGTGATCTCAGCTCACTGCAACCTCCGCCTCCCGAGTTCAAGTGATTCTCCTGCCTCAGCCTCCCGAGTAGCTAGGATTACAGGCGTGCACCACCACGCCCGGCTAATTTTTGTATTTTTGGTAGAGACAGGATTTCACCATGTTAGCTAGGCTGGTTTCAAACTCCTGACCTCATGATCCGCCCACCTTAGCCTCCCAAAGTGCTGGGATTACAGGTGTGAGCCACTGTGTGGCCTGTTTTTGAAACTTCTTAGTGAATAAGATGGTTAAGGCTTAAGAACAGACCAGACCATTAAAAAAAAAATTCTTTTTTTTGAGACGGAGTCTCGCTCTCTCGCCAGGCTGGAGTGCAGTGGCGCCATCTTGGCTCACTGCAACCTCTGCCTCCTGGGTTCAAGCAATTCTCCTGCCTCAGCCTCCTGAGTAACCGGGACTACAGGCATGTGCCACCACACCCAGCTAATTTTTGTATCTTTAGTAGAGATGGGGTTTCACCATGTTGACCAGGCTGATCTGGAACTCCTGACCTCAGGTGATTTGCCTGCCTCTACCTCCCAAAGTGCTAGGATTATAGGCGTGAACCACCACGGCTGGCCTATTTTATTTTTTAAGCGTTAACTATTCTTTATTTGATATTACACATAAACCACACCCTAAAGTGCTTTTCAGTAAGTAAAAGGAACCATTTTAGTTACAAGGAATTCTAATTAGCTTGGCATAGTTAAGGCCAAAAATGTAGACATTGCTGCCTTATCTTCAGCCCTTGCCTTTAAGAGGCAAATAAACACAAAACACAGGTGAATTATGCTTGGTTCTGAGACAATGAAGGAATTTTGCCAGTATTTAAATATGCTCACATAACCAGTTATATAAATCTAAATATAAAATCAATCTCCAGTAGATTTTAAGATGGCATTCACCATCTTGATGAAAAGTTGAACATTACTAATGAAGTTCAATCATGTTTTTAGAAGGGGAAAACAGTGATATCATTTACTTAATTGGAATTACTGTTAAAATAAAAAACCAAGACCTTCATGGTAGCTCACACCTGTAATCTCAGCACTTTGGGAGACCAAGGCAGGCAAATCACTTGAGTCTAGGAGTTTGAGACCAGCCTGGGCAATATGCCAAAACCCCATCTCTACAAAAAATTAGCCGGGTGTGGTGGTGCATGCCTGTAGTCCCAGCTACTCTGGAGGCCGAAATGGGAGGATCACCTGAGCTCAGCAGGTCAAGGCTATAGTGCGCTGTGATCCTGCCACTGCACTCCAGCCTGGGTGACAAGCGAGACCCTGTCTAAAAAATAAAAGAGGCCGGGTGCTGTGGCTTCTTAAATCTGTAATCCCAGCACTTTGGGAGGCTGAGGCGGGTGGATCATGACGTCAAGAGATCGAGACCATCCTGACCAACATGGTGAAACCCCGTCTCTACTAAAAACACAAAAATTGGGTGAGTGTGCTGGCACGTGCCTGTAGTCCCAGCTACTTGGGAGGCTGAGGCAGTAGAATAGCTTGAACCCTGGAGGTAGAGGTTGCAGTGAGCCGAGATCATGCCACTGCACTCCAGCCTGGCGACAGAGGGGAACTCCATCTCAAAATAAAAATAAAATCCAGAAAGCCAAATATATTCATTTAACCACAGCCAGTTTTCTTTTTTTTTTTTTGAGACGGAGTTTCGCTTGTTGCCCAGGTTGGTGTGCAGTAGCACGATCTCAGCTCACTGCAACCTCTGCCTCCCGGGCTCAAGCAATTCTCCTGCCTCAGCCTCCCCAGCAGCTGGGATTACAGCCACCCATCACCACGCCTGGACAGTTTTTTTTTTTTTTGAGGTGGAGTCTCGCTCTGTCGTCCAGGCTGGAGTGCAGTGGTACTATCTCGGTTCACTGCAACCTCCATCTCCCAGGTTCAAGTGATTCTCCTGCCTCAGCCTCCTGAGTAGCTAGGACTACAGGTGTGTGCCACCATGCCTGGCTAATTTTCATATTTTTAGTAGAGATGGGGTTTCACCATGTTGACCAGGCTGGTCTCAAACTCCTGACCTCAGGTGATCCATCTGCCTCGGCCTCCCAAAGTGCTGGGATTACAGGTGTGAGCCACCGCACCTGGCATAATTTTTGTATTTTTAGTAAGATAGGGTTTCACCATGTTAGCCAGGCTGATCTCGAACTCCTGACCTCAGGTGATCCACCCGCCTCAGCCTCCCAACCTCCCAAAGTGCCGGGGTTACAGCCATGAGCCACTGTGCCTGGCCAGACATTTCTATTTTGTAATAAATACGGCAGTGGCCAATTACTCATTAGTACTTTTTTTGAAGTGCCTTACTCTGTCGCCCAGGCTGTAGTGCAGTGGGGCAATCTCAGCTCAGTGCAACCTCCGCCTCCCGGGTTCAGGCAGTTCTGCCTCAGCCTCCCCAGTAGCTGGAATTACAGGTGCCCGCCACCATGCCTGGCTAATTTTTGTATTTTTAGTAGAGATGGGGTTTCACCATGTTGGCCAGGCTGGTCTCGAGCTCTTGACCTCAAGTGATCCGCCTGCCTCAGCCTCCCAAAGTGCTGGGATTACAGGCATGAGCCACTGTGCCTAGCCATTAGTAGCTTTTTTGAGGTAAGCTATCAAATCTGCCCTTTCTACCTTATTAATGCTGGCAAAGATAATTTTTGTTCCAGGAATAGACTTCTTGGGATTCTCCAAATACTGTATCAGTGTATCCTCTCCCCAGGCAATGCTTTTTTTCTTATTGGCGTCTGTGTAAGTGAATCCAACAGCCTGACCTGTCTTCTTTCCAAAGAGACCGTGGAGATTTGGCCCAGTCTTTTGCTGGCCTCCCTCTTCCATGATGTGGCACTGGGCGTGCTTCTGAGCACACATATTCTTGTTTTTCAACATCACCCTTATTTAATTATCTGTTTTGTACAAAGGTTCCGGTTCTGAGGATGGACGTCCTGCTCTATCAGTGTCTACTTTATAGTGTTGTTAGATATAAATGAGGCAATCCATGTGACGTACTTAGTACCATTCCTGATACATAATGTTTAATAAATGCTATATATGATTAGTCGAATTGAACCCCCATTTTACAGTGGAACTAGTGAGACCCAGAGTGAGTAGCTGCCTGTCCTAGTCTATTTGTGGCTTTTCTTTTTTTCCTTTTTTTTTTTTTTTTTTTGAGACGGAGTCTCGCTGTGTCCCCCAGGCTGGAATGCAGTGGCGAGATCTCGGCTCACTGCAAGCTCCGCCTCCCGAGTTCATGCCATTCTCCTGCCTCAGCCTCCCAAGTAGCTGGGACTACAAGCGCCCACCACCACGCCCGGCTAATTTTTTGTATTTTTTAGTAGAGACAGGGTTTCTACTGGTGTTAGCCAGAATGGTCTAGATCTCCTGACCTTGTGATCCGCCTGCCTCGGCCTCCCAAAGTGCTGGGATTACAGGTGTGAGCCACCACGCCCGGCCTATCTGTGGCTTTTCAATGGATTCAGCTCACAGCTCTTGACTTCATCTTCTTTCTTACCATGCTGTTTCCACTGAAAGTTGTATCATTTAATTCAGTTAAAGTTACTGCTTGATAAAAGTATTCTGTTTGATACTGTAATGGTGGACACATGACATGTCAAAACCCATAGAACTTTACAGCACGAAGAGTAAAGTTTGTTTATTTTTTGAGACATAGTATTGCTCTGTTGCCAAGGCTGGAGTGCAGTGGTGTGATCTCGGCCCACCACAACCTCTGCCTCCCGAGTTCAAGCGATTCTCCTGCCTCAGTCTCCCTAGTAGCTGGGATTACAGGCATGCACCACCATGCCCGGCTAATTTTTGTATTTTTAGTAGAGATGGGGTTTCACTGTGTTGGTCAGGCTGGTCTCAAACTTCTGACCTCGTGATCCACCCTCCTTGGCCTCCCAAAGTGCTGGCATTACAGGCGTGAGCCACCATGCCCGGCCTATTTATTTATTTATTTATTGAGACATAGTCTCGCTCTGTTGCCCAGGCTGAAGTGCAGTGGCATGGTCTCAGCTCACTGCCACCTCTGTTTCCCAGGCTCAAGCAATTCTCCTGTCTTAGCCTCCTGAGTAGCTGGGATTACAGGTGCCCACCAGGACACCCAGCTAATTTTTATATTTTTAGTAGAGACAGGGTTTCACCATGTTGGCCAGGCTGGCCTCGAACTCCTGACCTCAAATGATCCACCCTCCTTGGCCTCCCAAAGTGCTGGGATTATAGGCATGAGCCATCACACCTGGCCTAGTTAGTTATTTTTTAATGACAGAGTCTTGTTCTGTCACCTGGGCTGGAGTGCAGTGGCACCATCATGGCTCACTGCAACCTTCATCTCCTGGGTTCAAGCAATTCTCCTGCCTCAGCCTCCGAAGTAGCCGGGATTGCAGGTGTGTGCCACAATGCCTGGCTAATTTTTGTATTTTTAGTAGAGATGGGGTTTCACCTTGTTGACCAGGCTGGTCTCGAACTCCTGGTCTTGAACTCCTGGCCTCAAATGATCGCCTGCCTTGGCCTCCTGAAGTTCTGGGTGTGATCTGCTGTTCTGGGCCTAAGAGTAAACTTTAATGTATGCAAATTAAAAAAAATTTTTTTAGAGGTCAAGGCCTTTCAGGCATGCAAATCTTGACAGGAGAAACTAACTGTATCACAAATGTGTGAAACAACCTTGCTAAACGGGAGGAAGGTGCTGATTTAAGTAACTTTGGAAATGAGTGGAATCTGTAAGACAAAAGGGACTGTACATAAGCGTTATACTTTAATTGATAAAGTTACATTCCGAAGGGGCAGAGGTTAACAATTCTGATACTGGTTTAAAGGAATCAGTACTGATTACATAGGTAACTACAATTGAACAGTTAAGTAAATGGATGGCAGGAGGCAGGCTTTTCACTGTTGGAGTGGAATTTACAGATAAGCGAGGCAGGAGGCTAGAATAATCTTTGTGGTAATGGATTCAGGTTGGAGATACCAGTACAAAATAGTTCCATGTTTATATGTAGAAATATTTATAGATATATGTACATACTTGAGTTAATATACACAAATATATTTCCATTCATTGTCAGCTGAGAGTTGAAAGAAACAACACCTAGGAGTGCACCTAGTGCCCAGATCTTGGTTTCTTTTTTTTTGTTGAGACAGGGGTCTTGCCCTGTCACCCAGGCTGGAGTGCAATGGCATGCTCACTGCAGCCATGACCTTCCAGACTCAAGCTATCCTCCCACCTCAGCCTCCCAAATAGCTGGGGCTGGGACTACAGGTATGCCACTATATGAGTTTACTGTATGCTCACTGTATGAGTTTACAGAGTTTAACTGTGTGCCACTATGCACAGCTAATCTAATTTTTTTCTTTCTTTCTCTTTTTTTTTTTTTTTTTTGAGACAGGGTCTGGCCCTGTCACCCAGGCTGGAGTGTGGTGGCATGATCTCAGCCCGCAGCAACCTCTGTCTCTTGGGCTTAAGCCATCCTCACACCCCAGCCTCCCAGGTAGCTGGGACTATAGGTGCTCGCCACCACGTGTGGCTAATTTTTGTATTTTTCATGCAGACAGGATTTCGCTATGTTGCCCAGGCTGGTCTCAAACTCCAGAGCTCAAGTGATTAGCTTCCCAAAGTGCTGGCATTACAGGCATGAGTCACTGCGGTTGGCCAAAGTTTTCTATTTTTATAGAGAGGTGGGTCTCCCTATGTTACCCAGGCTGGTGTTGAACTCCTGGGCTCAAGCAGTCCTCCTGCCTCAGCCTCCCAAAGTGTTGGGATTACAGGTGTGAGCCAACACACCTGGCCCCGGATCTTAGTTTCTAATATTATTCTCCAATAAAAGAAACTAGTGCTCCTTGGAGAAATGGTTGATTCTGTGATTGGGGCAGGAAATATACATAAGATGAACCTTGAGTATCTTGTTGTGCCAAAAAATAAGGAAGTGCTCTAAAAACAACAACATTTCACGTTAATGGGTTATGTCGAAGGAGCAAAGGAACCAACTGAAAGTTTCCAGTGGCCAAAGCTGGAACAATTTGAGTAGCAAAATTAAAGCAGAATTGGATTATGACCCATAGTATAAAATAAAGTTTTATATTGATATAAACAAATGATTGAATAAATTAAAATTCTCCTTGAAGTACTCCAGTGGCATAGTTTTATGTCGTAGGAGCCTCTAATTTGCTGGAAGTACTTCATGCTTGGAGTACTTAATCTTGTGGGGCTTTGAAGTCACACTTCTTGGATTCCAATCTTGGCGCACTTCTGTTTGTATGATCTTGGGCGAGTTAGTTAAGCTCAGTTTCTTTGTATGTAAAATGGTGGTTGTAATAGTATCTGCATCATATAAGGTTTAAATGAAAATGCAAACACATATGAAACATTTGGCATATAAATCTCAGTAGAATGGGTGAGCATGTAGCCTCCTTACTAAGTATTTGAGAAAATAGGGACATTTGGATCCCCACTTGGAATTCTTTATAATGGAGGTGCCCCCCCAACCCCCAAGCTTTTTGCATAAAGGATAATGTTTAACATTTAAAGAAGTGTTTATCAACCACCTGGTTTGATGTAAACATATCTCCTTGTTGATTGTTAGACCACATAGTTAATAGAGTGAAAGTAGTTACATTTGCTCTTTATGTAATTATCACAGATATGACTGACTTAAATATCTACAGTTTGAAAAGCAGGATCCAGTTAGTGTACAGTTCAACTCATGCTTATTTGCAGATGGTTTGTCTTTGGGATGAATTACCTGAACTTTGATTTTCAGACTTCTTTGAGGAGCACAGTTCTACATAACTTGTCTGTTACTACCCACACTGGTTAAGTGTATCCACTCCCATAATGAAAACTGACTTTTAGTATAGTAAAATTAAATATAAAAGTGAATTTTGTACAGAATACATAATTCTGTACAATATAAATACTGATAAGTTGGCCGGGTGTGGTGGCTCACACCTGTAATTCCAGCACTTTGGGAGGCCAAGGCAGACAAATCATTTGAGGTCAGGAGTTTGAGACCAGCCTGGCCAACATGGTGAAACCTCGTCTCTACTAAAATACAAAAAAAATTAGCCAGGTGTGGTGGCTCATGCTTGTAATCCCAGCTACTCGGAAGACTGAGGCAGGAGAATCCCTTGAATCTGGGAGGCGGAGGTTGCAGTGAGCCAAGATTGGACCACTGCACTCCAGCCTGGGAGAAAGAGCAAGACTCCCCTTTAAAAAAAAGAAAAGAAAAGAAATAAGGGCCTGGCAGTAACTAGAGAGTACAAAGCAATCAGCCCAGGATTACTCATGAACACAGCTCAGGAAGTCTGATATATGTGGGTATGATTCTGAAGCATACATTTACCATTAACATGAAGCTGTTGGCAGGGCAGCTGAAATATGATCAGAGTTCGGATTCAGGATAATGAGCCAGAGTTCAGGGTGTGGAACAGGCTATTCAATGAAGAATTGTTCCAAAAACATATTGAATAGTTCTTTCATCCTTAGCAATACAGTATGAGCCTCTGGTCAGATGAATTTTATTTTATTTTATTACTTTTTTTTTTTTTTTTTTTTTTTTTGAGATGGAGTTTTGCTCTCATTGCCCAGGCTGGAGTGCAGTGACCGCAACCTCTGCCTCCTGGGTTCAAGTGATGCTGCTGCCTCAGCCTCCCAAGTAGCTGGGATTACAGGCATGCACCACCACACCTGACTAACTTTGTTGTATTTTTAGTAGAGACGAGGTTTCTCCATGTTGGTCAGATGGCTGGTCTCGAACTCCTGACCTCAGGTGATCAGCCTTCCTTGGCCTCCCAAGGTGCTGGGATTACAGGCGTGAGCCACTGCGCCTGGCAGTCAGATGAATTTTAAAGAGCCTCTTTGCGCGAAGTGAGACAGGTCTGATAGGAAGTTAAGAGACATTTTAAAGGAACTCTTAATTTGCCTGGAATGTGGGGAAGTAGTAAAAGATTAAATTGTAAAAAGTAACTCAAAACCAGATGATAAAGGTCTTTAAATTTCAGGCTGAAGAATTTAGATTTTATTGAGTTTTGGAAAACTATTGAGGAACTAATGGCATAATCAGAATGATGAATTTGGGCTGGGCACAGTGGCTCACACCTGTAATCCCAGCGCTTTGGGAGGCCGAGGCAGGTGGATCACTTGAGTTCAGGAGTTTGAGACTAGCCTGGCCAACATGATAAAATCCCGTCTCTACTGAAAATAGGAAAAATTAGCCGGGCGTGGTGGCGGGCGCCTCTAATCCCAGCTACCTGGGAGGCTGAGGCAGGAAAATTGCTTGAGCCAGGGAGGCGGAGGTTGCAGTGAGCTGAGATCGCGCCACTGGACTCCACCCTGGGTGACAAAGCGAGACTCTGTCTCAAAAAAATATAAAACAAGAACGATGATTTGGGAATACTGATCTGGAAGTATCTGCATAGATGAATTAGAGTGAGAAGAACCTGGAGGTGGGAAAGTCAATTAGGAAGCAGTAGTCTAGGTGTGAGGCTAAGAAGCTAAATGAAAACACTGATAATAGGAAGAAACTGACATATTCCAGACATTATTCCCAAAGAAGAATTAACTACACATTGGGACTCACTGCATGCCAGGAGAGAAGTAGAAGGGGGTGTAAAAAATGATTCATAGATTTTGAGTCTGAATAATTGTTATATAAATAGGAAAGACAGATGAACTAGCTGCTGTGGAGGCATATGAGAAGTTTGGGTTTGTAGGGGCTAGAAAACATCTAGAAAGCCTTTCTAGAAGCATCTAGAAATGTGGATTGTATGCTGTGCAAGTTGAGAGCCAGAGGGTCAGTCATACAGCAGTGTTAATTGAATTCCTGGTAGAAGATGAGATTTTCTAAGGCGTAGGAATAGATGACAGAACTTTGGTGTACTCCGCATTTAGAATAAAGTTTCAGTCAAGGAGTTAAGGAATAGTCCAAGTTTTCAAAGATTATTAAATAGAGTATCCAAAAGCAAGAGTCACTCAACAATATCAACTTCATTCATTCTGATAAACAGTGGTTATCAGAGAGCATGGTTCTCAACTGTATCAGACCCAACTCTCCTTTTTTATTACAAATATTTTATAATACACCCTTTTTTTTTCCTTTGAGACAGTCTTGCTCTGTTGCCCAGGGTGTAGTGCAGTGTGCACGATACTGGCTCACTGTAACCTCCGCCTCCCAGGTTCAAGCGATTCTCCTGCCTCAGGCTCCCAAGTTGCTGGGACTACAGGCAAACCCGCCACCACACCTGGCTAATTTTTGTATTTTTTAGTAGAGATGGGGTTTCACCATATTGGTCAGGCTGGTCTCGAACTCCTGATCTCAGGTGATTGCCCGCCTCGGCCTCCCAAAGTGCTAGGATTACAGGCATGAGCCACTGCGCCTGGCCTAATATGCCCTTTTTAAAATCCTGAAATGAAATCTATAGGTAATATATAATTTTAAAAAGCAGTATGATGCCCTAATTGTAATATATTGGGGAAACATAAATAAAGTAACTTACACAGTATGTACTTTAAAATGCAAATGCATGGGCATGAACCCATAATAAGTGACATAAGACATAGTCGTATCTTCTTTTTTTGAGATGGAGTCTTGCTTTGTTGCCCAGGCTGGAGTTCAGTGGCACAGTCTTGGCTCACTGCAACCTCCACCTCCCAGGTTCAAGCGATTCTCCTGCCTCAGCCTCCTGAGTAGCTGGGACTACAGGTGCGTGCCACCAAGCCCAGCTACTTTTTTGTATTTTTAGTAAAGGCGGGATTTCACTGTGTTAGCCAGGTTGGTCTCGAATTCCTGACCTTGTAATCTGCTCGTCTCAGCCTCCCAAAGTGCTGGGATTACAGGCATGAGCCACCATGCCCGCCAAGAAATAGTCATATCTTTTGTACTAGTATGGAGAATCACCTTGACTAAGAGTTACAAATAGGCCGGGTGCGGTGGCTCACGCCTGTAATCCCAGCACTTTGGGAGGCCGAGGTGGGTGGATCACGAGGTCAGGAGATCGAGATCATCCTGGCTAACACAGTGAAACCCCGTCTCTACTAAAATACAAAAAAACTTAGCCAGGCGTTGTGGCGGGCGCCTGCAGTCCCAGCTACTCGGGAGGCTGAGGCAGGAGAATGGCTTGAACCTGGGAGGCGGAGCTTGCAGTGAGCAGAGATCTCGCCACTGCACTCCAGCCTGGGTGACAGAGCAAGACTCTGTCTCAAAAAAAAAAAAAAAAGTTACAAATAAAGTCTGTTTGTGTTGGTGACTCAAATATCACAGCAAGTAAGAGGAAACTATTGAGCTAAGGTGAAATAAAAGAGGATGGAATGATTTGCTCTTCAGGCTCTTCCAAGATGAGCGGGGAATGACTTCAGCATTTTGAGGAAGAGGGAAAAAAGATTTGAAGTAATCTTGGTAGAGAATGAGAAACAATTGGTAGAAGGTGGGTAAAAGGGTTATTGAGAATTATCAAGTGTTTTGCTGAAGTTGGACGATAACAGATGGGTCAGGTTGATGGCCATGCAGTTTCCTTGTAGGGAATAAGAGACAAATGAGGAGATGAAAGTGGTTATTGCAGCAGCAGCTTTTAACATGCTAATCAAGACTAGGCTGAATTGAGAGGCCAGCAATCTTAAAAGGTGATTAAGAAATGATTGTCAGCCGGGTGGGTGGCTCATGCCTATAATCCCACTACTTTGGGAGGCTGAGGTGGGTGGATCACTTGATGCCAGGCGTTTGAGACCAGCCTGGCCAACATGGTAAAACTCCATCTCTACTAAAAATACAAAAATTAGCTGTGTGTGGTGGGGTGCGCCTGTAGTCCCAGCTACTTGGGAGGCTGGAGGTGAGAGAATCACTTGAACCCAGGAGGCGGAGATTGTAGTGAGCGGAGATCACCCCATTGTGCTCCAGCCTGGGCGACAGAGGGAGCCTCTGTCTCAAAAAAAAAAAAAAAAGAAAAAATTGTGAATGGTAGTAATGGTTGCACAACAATGTGAATGTATATAATGCCACTGAAGTGTACACTTAAAAATGGTTAAAATGGTAAGTTTTATGTCTTTTGCCACCATAAAGAAAAAAATTGAACACTTAAAAAATATAACTTGGTTCTCCAGATGTCATCATAGGACTTCTTGTGGAGAATTTTGTGCTTACAGCACCTTTTTTTGGTGGTATTGTGGACATAAGGGAATTCATTGCAGCTGTCATTTCAGCCATCAGTGGTGATATGCTGCAAAGATGATTTCTGGGATGAATCAGTTGACAGGACTGATGTATACTGGGTGTCAAAAGGGAGCATATATTGAGGATTGTAAGACTAGAAGTTAACTGTGATCTTTCTTCAACAAATTGTTTTTGATTTCATACTCACATAGGTACTGAGGAATAAGTTTTGAAAATATTCCATTCATTGGCCGGGCACAGTGGCTCACACCTGTAATCCCAGCACTTTGGGAGGCCGAGGCGGGCGAATCACGAGGTCAGGAGATCGAGACCATCCTGGCTAACACAGTGAAACCCCGTCTGTACTAAAAATACAAAAAGTTAGCCTGGCGTGGTGGCAGGCGCCTGTAGTCCCAGCTACTCGGGAGGCTGAGGCAGGAGAATGGCGTGAACCTGGGAGGCAGAGCTTGCAGTGAGCCGAGATTGGGCCACAGCATTCCAGCCTCGGCTACAAGACTTTGTCTCAAAAAAAAAAGAAAAGAAAATATTCCATTCATTTCGAATCACTCCGTATTACTTGGTAGTCATACCTCCTTAATTAGTGTCATTTTCCTTATCAGGTAAAATAACTAGAGCATGGATTAATTGTTCTGTAATAAAAGCTTGGGATGGAGCCAAGCAGAGTAGTTTTACATTTATACATGTATCAAGATGAATTATTTGCTGTTCTCTTAAGGGAGTTTTGTTGTATTTTAAAAACCAATTTCTTTGAAATCTTCTGGAGTGGGTGGGTACACGTTAGGTCTCATTTTGAAAAGGTGAAATTTAAAGTTTTTTTTTTTTTGGATAGTCTCACTCTGTTATGCAGGCTGGAGTACAGTGGTGCGTTCATGACTTACTGAGGTCTCAACCTCCTGGGCTCAAACCATCCTCCCTCCTCAGCCTCCCAAGTGGCTGGGTTTACAGGTGCATGCCACTACACTCAGCTAATTTTTAAATTTTTTTGTAGAGACAAGGTCTCGCCATGTTACTCAGGCTGGTCTTGAACTCTTGGGCTCAAGCTCTCCTCCTGCCTCACCTCCCAAAGTGCTGGGATTACAAGCTTCAGCCACTGCTCCTGGCCAAAAGTATTTTTTAGCATTCTTTTTTCTTTATATTACCAAGACTGACAATTTACAAACTATGAAATTCACATAATTTAAATAAAATATACAGTTCAGTATATTTTGAATATATTTTTGGTAGATTTACAGAATTGTGGAACTATCGCCACAATGGGAGTTTGGAACATTTTTTTTTTCCCTTTTTCTTTCCCTCTCTCTCACTCTCTTGTTGTGTGTGTGTGTGTGTGTTTGTTTTTTTTTTTTTTTTTTTTTTTTTTTTTTGAGACAGGGTCTTACTCCAGGCTGGAGCACAGTGGCACAATGATAGCTCACTGCAGCCTTGACTTCCTGGGCTTAAGCAATCCTCTCACCTCAGCCTCTTGAGTAGCTGGCACTACAGGCACGCATCACCATACTTGGCTAATTTTTAAATTTTTTGTAGGGACACGGTCCTGCTATGTTGCCCAGGCTGGTCTCAAACTCCTGGGCTCAAGGGATCCACCCACTTCAGCCTCCTAAATGTTGAGATTATAGGTGAGAGCCACTGTGTCTAGCCTGTCTTTTTTATTATTCTAGTGGGTATGAAGTAGTATGGTGCTTTAATTTTAATTTATTAATATTTAGCATTTTTTCATGTGTCTATTAGCTAGTCATACATCTTTGTTGGTAAAATGTTCAAAATCTTTTGCTCATTTTTAAATTGGGTTATTTATCTTATAGAGTTGTAGGTTTTATGTGTACACACTGACAAACAACTGTGTAAAAAAAAAGTTGTATATGTGGATACAAGACCTTTATCAGATAGATGATTTGCAAGTATCTTCTAGTCTGTGGCTTGTCTTCATTTTCTTTTTCTTTTTTTTGTCACCCAGGCTGGAGTACAGTTGCAAGATCATGGCTCACTGTAGCCTCAACCTCCTGGGCTGTAAGTGATCCTCCCACTTCAGCCTCCCGAATAGTTTGTCCAGAGGCCTGTGCCACCATGCCCAGCTAATTTTAAATTCTTTTGAAGAGATGAGATCTCACTGTGTTGCCCAGGTTGATCTTGTTTTCCTGGGCTGAAGTGATCCTCCCACTTCAGTCTCCCAGAGTGCTGGGATTACAGGCATGAGCCACTGTGCCTAGTTTGTCTTCATTTTCTTAATGATATATTTTAAAGTGTAAACATTTTTAATTCGCATGGGCTAATTTTTGATCTTTTGTGCTTTTGATTGCATATCTAGAATTTTTTATGGTCAGTCATGAAGATTTTCTCCTGGTTTTTCTAGAAGTTACACTGTTTTAGATAGGAAAGTTATATTAGAAAATTGTAAAAAAAAGAGAAGACAACTCAAAGATGTATGATTGCCTTTAAAGCTTATCACTTAGTTGGCCGGGCGTGGTGGCTCACGCCTGTAATCCCTGCACTTTGGGAGGCTGAGACAGGCGGATCACAAGGTCAGGAGATCAAGACCATTCTGGCCAACACGGTGAAACCCTGTCTCTACTAAAAATACAAAAAAACCGCCACAAATAAACAAAAAAACTTATCATTTCATTTAGTTGTTGTTGTTGTTGTTGTTTTTTGAGATGGGGTTTTGCTCTCGTTGCCCAGCCTGGAGTGCAGTGGCACAGTCTCGGCTCACTGCAACTTCTGCCTCCCAGGTTCAAGTGATTCTCCTGCCTCAGTCTCCTGAGTAGGTGGGATTACAGACGCCTGCCACCATGCCCAGCTAATTTTTGTATTTTTAGTATTTTTGTATTTTAGGCTGGGTACAGTGGCTCATGCCTGTAATCGTAGCACTTTGGGAGGTTGGGACTGGTGGATCACCTGAGGTCAGGAGTTCCAGACCAGCCTGACCAACATGGTGAAACCCCATCTCTACTAAAAATACAACAAATTAGCTAGGTGTGGTGGTGGACGCCTGTAATCCCAGCTACTTGGGAGCCTGAGGCAGGAGAATCACTTGAACCTGTGAGGCAGAGGTTGCAGTGAGCTGAGATCACCCTAC
This sequence comes from Homo sapiens, assembly GCF_000001405.40. Lineage (NCBI taxonomy): Eukaryota > Metazoa > Chordata > Mammalia > Primates > Hominidae > Homo > Homo sapiens. The sequence continues at coordinate 41,097,528 of NC_000015.10, read as the reverse complement.
TGCAAGAGCGAAACTCCGTCTGAAAAAAATCATAACAATAATTTATGGTTTATTGAGTATTTATGTCATTTGGTGGGCTTATTAGTCTAAATTATGTCATTATTTAGTCTTCGTGTAACCCTTTAAGTATTTAGAGATAACCAGGTATAAGGCAGATGCTACTGTTTGAAAGTGGTGGGAGAAGGCTGGGCGCGGTGGCTCAAGCCTGTAATCCCAGCACTTTGGGAGGCCAAGGTGGGTGGATTGCTTGAGGTCAGGAGTTCAAGACCAGCCTGACCAACATGGTGAAACCCCGTCTCCACTAAAAATACAAAAATCAGCTGGGCGTGGTGGTGGGCGCCTGTAATCCCAGCTACTCAGGAGGCTGAGGCAGGAGAATTGCTTGAACTCCAGCCTGGGTGACAGAGCGAGACTCCGTCTCAAAAAACAAAAACAAACAAGAAAGTGGTGGGAGAAGCGTTGTTATACTGATTGTGTGATTGTGTGATTGTGTCTCTAGTGAAGATGTTCTGACCCTAATGTTGTCTTTAACAATGTAAGGTAGCAAAGAGAATGCTTAGGCTATACCTGTGTTTCTCACCCTCACTTTTACTCTTTTAGCTCCAATTTTCTAAATTTAAATTTTACTCATTATGGCATTTTTACAAAGGATAGTAAAATACTCTGCCAATACATCTATTCCCTTGTAAATAAGATACCTTACATATATGTATGAATATGAATTCAAAATGAAGAGGGCAGCACCTATTTTGAAGGTGATGCTGAGAACGAGTGCTCCTCTAGTACTTTCCTTTCTGAGGTGCACAACAGTGAGCTTGGGGTGTAGATTTGGATAGTTGTTTATTCATAGTTTTGGGTAATTTTTTATTGAAAGGGATAAAGGAAGTGGGTATACATTTTAAGATACTGTTTTGAAAAAGTATAGTATGAATTTTCATTGTGAAATGTAACTGTGTTGCTGTATTTTTATATTCTTTATATCCTTTTAACTTCTGCCTTTGCTTTAGGAGGCAGTGTCTAACAAGAGCTTTATCATGATCTTTCTGCAGACTCCTGTCTTTTCAGTGTCTTGTGTTCTAGAAGGTCTGATTTCTCTTCACATTGGGAACAAGCAGGCAAGAGAAAGGGAGAATGGATAGTAATTTCATCTTTCACTTCTTATCTCTGTTCTGCAGCCGTGCAGTCGGAGGTCCTTGTGCATGAAGACAGATTTGTTCTATGGCCTCGGAGTTGGGTGCCAGGGATGATGGAGGCTGCACTGAGCTGGCAAAGCCCCTCTATCTTCAGTACTTGGAGAGGGCCCTCCGGTTGGACCATTTTCTGCGACAAACGTCAGCTATCTTCAATAGGAATATTTCTAGGTATGTTATTGTATCTTTGCAATATGTTTTACCAAATTCCTGATTTCCATCATCCTTACAGATTTTACAGGATTAAAGTATCTTATGATTTTTATGTTTGATATTTTCTTTTGCCTCTTTCAAATAAAAAAGTCAATTTATTTCAGAGGAACAGTTTCTTCTGTAAAGTGTCCAGTTCTAACTTTAAATTATATTTTATTGGGTCAGCTGTAATTGTGGACTCATTCTTCAATTTATAGTGATGACAGTGAAGATGGACTGGATGACAGTAATCCATTATTGCCCCAGTCTGGGGATCCCTTAATACAAGTTAAGGAAGAACCTCCAAATTCATTGCTTGGTGAAACTTCTGGAGCAGGCAGTTCTGGAATGTTAAACACATATTCTCTGAATGGAGTTCTACAGTCAGGTCAGTGTGGTGTGACATCCCCCTTTGGACTATCGTTATCTTGGGGCAGTCATCCTTTAATTTTTTTATTCTTTGTGTTTCTTTATACAGAATCAAAATGTGATAAGGGGAATTTATATAATTTCTCTAAGCTGAAGAAAAGCAGAAAGTGGCTAAAGGTAAGAGATAAAGCAGGGTGTTTACAGTGCAGATAGTCTACTAAAGTTACTAATAGATGGGAAAGTTATCAACTCATTTTGGCAGATTGACAGAGTTTTTCAAATATGATTCTCTTATACTGGATGTGGTTTTTTTGAAGAGATTATTGAGAAAATCTGGAGGATTCAATGAAGTCATTTAGCAAACATGAATTGAGTACAGGTTGAGTATTGCTAATCTGAAATGCTTGAGACCAGACGTGTTTCAGATTTTGTTTTTGAGACAACATTTTGCTCTTGTTGCCCAAGCTGGAGTGCAATGGCATGATCTCAGCTCACTGCAACCTCCGCCTCCTAGGTTCAAGCAATTCTCCTGCCTCAGCCTCCTGAGTAGCTGGGATTACAGGCATGCGCCACCACGCCCAGCTAATTTTTTTGTATTTTTAGTAGAAATGGGGTTTCACCATGTTAGCTAGGTTGGTCTCGAACTCCTGACCTCAGGTGATCTGCCTGCCTCAGCCTCCCAAAGTGCTGGGATTATAGGCGTGAGCCACCGCACCCAGCCTCAGATTTTTTTTTTTTTTTTGAATATTTGCAATACAAAATGAGATATCTTGGAGATGGGACCCAAGTTAATAAACACCAAATTCATTTATCTTTTATATACACCTTATACACATAGTCTGAAGGTAATTATATTTTTCCCTTGGGGATGTTGAATAAACTCTGTTTTGTATACCTGTGTTTTGACTGTGACCTGTCGCGTGAGGTCAGGTGTGGAATTTTCCACTTGTGGCATCTTATTGGTGCTCAAAACCTTTGAGATTTTGGAGTATTTTGGGTTTTTAGAATAGGGATGCTCAACCTGTTATAACGTACTGAGGGGAAACAGGAAGTACAAAAATTTATCAGATGAAGTCCTTGCACTCATTGGGTCACATAATCAGGAATATTAATTCCATAAGTTCCATAATTTATATTAATTCCATAACTTCCATAAGTTCCTGAGTAGTTTATTCATTTAACAGATGTTGATTTAGTGCATCCATGTGCATGTGCCAGGTACGATTATGGTTGGGCAAGTTTCCTGCCCAGTGGTGCTTACATTCTAAAGGAGGCAGGCAGTTAGTAAGCCTGTAAACAAGTAAATAAACATGGCTTCTTTAAAGACGTAACATTTCAACTGATTCTGAATGATCACAGAGAACCATCTTATATCCAGGGTAACGGCATTTCGGTCAGAAGGAACAACTGCAAAAGTCCTGAGAAAAGAAACAACTTAGTATGTTTGGTGGAAAAAGAAGTCTAATATGGCTAGAGCACAGTGAATGAGGAGGATGGTGGAAGATGAAGTTACAAGACTGTGATCACACAGGCTTTGTCTATGTTAAGGAGTTCGTGTTTTACTGTCGTAGGCATAAGCCGTTGGAGTGTTTACAAGCAGAGAGGTTGTTAATCTCATTTACACTCTTACAAGATTACTGTCAGTGGCCAAACTGAATTAAGGATAGTATTTCTTTTATTGAAACTAATTATTTCTCTTTTATACTTTTGCTATGAAGTACTCAAAAGCAATTAAAACCCTTCATTATTATCACTAGGTCCTTCAAAAGGCTCATGTGTAAAAGGTCCGATTTGGTTAATATCAGTTGCACTTTAGGCTGTTGGAAATGCAGAAATTGTTATGCTTAGCCGTCATATTTTGAAAAATTGAGTTATAATTCATTGTCATAAAATTCACCTTTTCATTTTATTTTATTTTTATTTATTTATTTTTGAGACAGGGTCTCACTTTTTCACCCTGGCTGGAGTGCGGTGGCACAATCTCAGCTTAGTGCAGCTTCGACCTCCTGGGTTCTAGTGATCCTCCAGCCTCACCCCTGTGAAGTAGGACTACAGGCCCGCACCACCACGTTCAACTAATTTTTGGGGGTTTCACCATGTTGCCCAGGCTGGTGTCGAACTCCTGAGCTCAAGCAATCTGCCTGCCTCAGCCTCTCAAAGTGCTGGGATTACAGGTGTGAGCCACCGTGCCTGGCCAAATTCACCCTTTTACAGGTTAAAATTTAGTAGTTTTTCGTGTATTTACAAAGTTGTATACCCATGATTACAATGTAATCTCAGAAAATTTTTAACATTCTGAAATGAACCCCGTACCCGTTAGCAGTCACTCTCCATTTTCTTTTTTCTTTTTTTTGAGACGGAGTCTTGCTCTGTCGCCCAGGCTGTAGTGCAGTGGCGTGATCTCAGCTCACTGCAACCTCTCCCTCCTGGGTTCAAGCGATTCTCCTGTCTCAGCCTCCTGAGTAGCTGAAACTACAGGCGCTTGCCACCACGCCTGGCTAATTTTTGTATTTTTAGTAGAGACAGGGTTTCACCATGTTAGCCAGGCTGTTCTCAAACTCCTGACCTTGTGATCCCCCCGCCTCAGCCTCCCGAAGTGCTGGGATTACAGACATGAGCCACTGAGCCCGGCCGGTAGTCACTCTCCATTTTCTATTTCCTCTGTCCTTTGGCAGCGACTAATCTGCTTTTTGTCTGTATTGATGTGCCTCTTCTGGAATTTTTGTTTTTGTTTTCTTTTTAGGAGACAGGCTCTTGCTCTGTTTCCTAGGTTGGAGTGCAGTGGTGCAGCCATAGCTCACTGCACCCTTGAACTCCTGGGGTCAAGCAATCCTTCCTCCTCTGTCTCCCAAGTAGCTGGGACTATAGGCACATGTCTTTTTCTGTAGAGAAGAGATCTTATTAGGTTGCCCAAGCTAGTCTCGAACTCCCGGCCTCAAGCAATCCTCATGCCTGGGCCTGCCAAAGTGTTGGGATTACAGGTGTGAGCCACCACTCCCAGCCTAGACATTTCGTATAAATTGAATCCTATCATAATGTGACCTTTTATGATTGACTTCTTTAATTGAGCATAATATTTTCAAGATTCTTCATATTGTAGCCCCTACTCATGTGTTATTCCTTTTCATGGCTGAATTACATCTCATTATCTGGATATTCCACATTTTATTTATCCATTTATCAATAAATGGATATTTGGGATATTTCTCCTTTTGGGCCATTACAGCTTGCTTTCTATATTTTTTTATACCCTATAGGTAGTTGTTTTTTTTGCCTTCCTGTTTGGCATGTATGTATAGTTTGTATGTATATGATATTTATGTATTATTTATACTTTTGTAAGTATTCAGAGGAATTTTTAGCCTTGTTGCTGATAACATGTCCCATGTTTTATTGCATTTTAGTTTGTATTCCCTAAGTTTAATTAGTATTCTTAATGTTTTTCAGTTGAATTTATAAAGCATGTCATAAGGGGAACTGGAGTGACTATCTTTCTGCTGTTTTTGTCATTGTTTTGGATCTAGGAAAAAATGCTTGGATTATAAATGGGATTGCTTCACAGCAAAAGATACATTTCTATTTTCACCCTTTTCAGAGCATTCTGCTAAGTGATGAATCCAGCGAGGCTGATTCTCAGAGTGAAGACGATGATGAAGAAGAACTCAATCTCAGCAGAGAAGAACTTCACAACATGCTTCGACTACACAAATATAAGAAACTTCACCAAAATAAGTATAGTAAAGACAAGGAGGTAAGAGTTTCAGGAGAAACACTTCAAACTGAATATTCACCCTCTGCTTTATAGTCATTAAAGATACATCATTTTGGCTGGGCGTGGTGGCTCACACCTATAATCCCAGCACTTTGGGAGGACGAGGCGGGCGGATCATGAGGTCAAGAAATTGAAACCATCCCGGCCAACATGGTGAAACCCCCTGTCTACTAAAAATACAAAATTTAGCTGGGTGTGGTGGCGTGCGCCTGTAGTCCCAGCTACTCAGGAGGCTGAGGCAGGAGAATTGCTCGAACCCAGAGGCGGAGGTTGCAGTGAGCCGAGATCACAGCACTGCACTCCAGCCTGGCGACAGAGCGAGACTCTGTCTCAAAAAAAAAAAAAAAAAAAAAAAGAGATACATCATTTTATGGAGCTGGAAATCATTATCCTCAGTAGTGAGTGTAAGTGGGAGCTGAACAATGAGAACACATGGACACAGGAAGGGGAACAAGACACACTGGGCCTGGGCAGGTGGGTGCAGGAGGAGGGAGAGCATCAGGAAAAACAGCTAATGCTTGCTGGGCTTAATACTTAGGTGATGGGTTGATAGGTGCAGCAAACCACATGGCACATGTTTACCCGTGTAGCAAACCTGCACATCTTGCACATGTACCCTGGTACTTAAAAAAAAGAGAAAATTCCTGACTGGGTGCGGTGGCTCACGCCTGTAATCCCAGCACTTTGGGAGGCTGAAGTGGGCAGATCAGTTGAGGTCAGGAGTTCGAGCCCAGCCCAGCCAACTTGGTGAAACTCCATCTCTACTAAAAATACAAAAAGTTGGCTGGGCGCAGTGACTCACGCCTGTAATCCCAGCACTTTGGGAGGCCCAGGCGGGTGAATCACCTGAGGTCAGGAGTTCGAGACCAGCCTGACCAACATAAGGAAACTGTGTCTCTACTAAAAATACAAAATTAGCTGGGCGTGGTGGTGCATGCCTGTAATCCCAGGTACTCAGGAGGCTGAGGCAGGAGAATCGCTTGAACCCGGGAGGTGGAGGTTGCAGTGAGCCGAGATTGAGCCACTGCACTCTTGCCTGGGTGACAGAGCAAGACTTCATCTCAAAAAAAAAAAAAAAAAGAATTTCTAAAATTCTCTGGAATCAATGAAATTAAACTACTAATACTTCGGATGTACTAGACTAAAAGATATGTTCTTAAAAAAAAAAAGATACATCATTTTAACTTTAGGTAGCAGTGGAGCAGCTTTATTGAGATGTAATTCACATAACAAAACTTCAGCCTTATATAGTGTGCAATTCAGTGTTTTTTTAATATATTCATAGTTGTGTTACTATCATTACTGCCTAATTCCAGAACATTTGCATCACCTCATAAAGAAACCGCATGCCTCTTAGCTGTTGCCCCTCATTCTTTCTGTCCCTCAGTCCAGACAACCACCAATCCACTCTGTTCCTTTTTTCTTTTTTTTGGACAGAGTCTCGCTCTGTTGCCCAGGCTGGAGTGCAGTGGCGCGATCTTGGCTCACTGCAGCCTCTGCTTCCCAGGGTCAAGCGATTCTCCTGCTCAGCCTGCTGAGTAGCTGAGATTACAGGCGTGTGCCACCACGCCCGGCTTTTTTTTTGCGTTTTTAGTAAAGACGGGTTTTCACCATGTTGGCCAGGTTGGTCTCGAACTCCTGACCTCAGGTGATCCTCCCGCCTTAGCCTACCAAAGTGCTGGGATTACAGGCGTGAGCCACCATCCCCAGCCCAATCTGCTCTGTTTCTATAAATGTGCCCATTCTAGACATTTCATACAAATGCAATCATGCAACATGTGCCTGTGTCCAGCTTCTCTCACTTAATGTCATATTTTCAAGATTGATTAATGTTGTAGCATGTATCAGCATTTCATTTCTTCTTATTGCAAATATTCGTTGTATTTATACCTTATCTTATATATGCATTGTCCAGTTCATGAACTATGATTAGCATATTTCTACTTTTTGGCTATTTTGAATAATGATGGTATGAAGATTTGTGTACAGGTTTTGTGTTGATGTGTTTTCGTTTCTCTTCATTATATACTTAACAGTGAAATTGCTGGGTCATATGGAAACACCTTGCTTAGCCTTTTGAGGAATTGCCAGAATGCTTACATTCTAGTGTTGCTTATTCATGCAGTTGCTCTTTGGGTGTAGTGTTTCTCTCTTAGAAAGCTCTTCATACACTAACATTAAAATGATGATAGTTTTGAGTGACAACTATTTGAATGCCGTTACCAAAGCCTTCTGACTCTTTCTTTCTTTTTTTTTTTTTTTGAGATTGAGTTTCACTTTTGTTGCCCAGGCTCGAGTGCAATGGCGTGATCTCGGCTCACTGCCACCTCCGCCTTCTGAGTTCAAGCAGTACTCCTGCCTCAGTCTCCCGAGTAGCTGGGATTACAGGCATGCGCCACTGCGCCTGGCTATTTTTGTATTTTTAGTAGAGATACGGTTTTTCAATGTTCGTCAGGCTTGTCTCAGACTCAGGTGATCCACCCGCCTCGGCCTCCCAAAGTGCTGGGATTACAGGGGTGAGCCACCCCGCCCAGCCGCCTTCTGACTATTTCTACAAGTGTGGAACGTTGTACATAATGAGCAATAGTATATTTGAAGACCTAAGAATTTTCTAGCAATTAGTTAAGGTCCAAAGTTAGTTCAGAGAGATTGGAATAATATTCTGAACCTTATAAACCTGTAGAAGTGGTTAACAGAGTATCTGACCCTTTTGATGTAAAAAGTTCCTTCCTTCTTAAACTCCAGCAGTAAGGTACTTGGCGCTCCAAGTATTTGCTTGTTTTTTATGTTTATTTTTTATTTATTTTTGTTTTATTTTTTGAGATGGAGGCTCTGTTACCCAGACTGAAATGCAGTGGCATGATCTTGGCTCACTGCAACCTCTGCCTCCTGGGTTCAGGCAGTTCTCCTGTCTTAGTCTCCCAAGTAGCTGGGACTACAGAAGCCTGCCACCATGCCTGGCTAATTTTTTTTATTTTTAGTAGAGATGTGGTTTCATCATGTTGGCCAGGCTGGTCTCGACTTCCTGACCTCAAATAATTTGCCCACCTTGGCCTTCCAAAGTGCTGGTATTACAGGCATGAGCCATGGCGCCCAGCTGAGCCACCATGCCTGGCCTGCTTGTTTTTTAAATTCAGATAAAACATACATATAGGAAAGTTATCAGACTTTAAGTGTACAGCTCAGTGCATGCTAATTTAATTTTGATTTTTAACAGAGGACATTGTAATAGTTCCCCATGTTAATCTTTCAGTCTTATTTCAGTCCTCAGACAATTTATTTGGCTATAATCCAGGAAAGAGATTTAATAGTGGGCTACCTAATTTTAATTTATATTTATGCATTAGTAATATGTGAAACAAAATTAATATGAGATTTGGGGAGTAAGTGAAATATTTGGAAGCATTTACTTACCACTTCCTGGATGGAAAGAGTTACGTTATTCATATGTTAGAATTCTGGCAATGTAGGCACTATTTATAATAATAGCAGACTGTCTTAGTGGGAGATGAAGAGAGGAAAGACTTGAAAGATTCAAGAATTGGGATGACTGGTGACTATTTGAAGCAGACATATGACTAATAGAAAAGCAAGCATGAAGGGCCAGTTGAAGTGGCTCACACTTGTTAATCCCAGCACTTTGGGAGGCTGAGGTGGGCTGACACTGAGATGGGCTGACCACGAGGTCAGGAGATCAAGACCATCCTGGCCAACGTGGTGAAACCTCGTGTCTACTAAAAATACAAAAATCAGCTGGGTGTGGTGGCGTGTGCTTGTAATCCCAGCTACTTGGGAGGCTGAGACACGAGAATCGCTTGAACCAAGGGGCGGAGGTTGCAGTGAGCCCAGATCATGCCGCTGCACTCCAGCCTGGCGACAGAGCAAGACTCTGTCTCAAAAAAAAAAAAAAAAAAAAAAGAAAAGCAAGCATGAGGAACCTTAGTAAATCTGAGGAACTGTTGGTAATAGAAGTATGGCTTATTTCTTGGTGGTGAATTTCCAAGGGGAGACATTTCTGCAAGGAATTAATTTCATGTCTTAGTATATGTCAGGTTTAAGTAAGTATGTAGAAATTCAGAAGCATGAAGAGTTTTGCTTTCTTAAATTATTTTCAGTGACTTGTTACGTGTATAGGAGTTGAACTCATTTTGTTTGAAGTTAAGTAAGTGATTCCCTTAGATATACTAGATGTTACTGATCTCTTTGTGGGAAGAATACTGTATTTAGGAGCTATGATTTCCTCTGGCTTAGTTTTCTGTAGTAAAGGTAATTTGAAAGCTGTACTATAGAAAACAGGCCCATCATGGTCTTTGCCTGCTTCAGTTGCAGCAATATCAGTACTACAGTGCAGGCCTGCTCTCCACATATGACCCTTTCTATGAGCAACAACGGCACCTACTTGGACCCAAGAAAAAGAAATTTAAGGAGGAAAAGAAACTTAAAGGTGAGCATGTTGAACTGCCTTCCACGTATATTCATTCTTAGTTTCAGAATTGCATGTGGCCTACTGGTGCATTTGGACTTTATATATAAGTCCATATGGTAGAAATTTGCTTTATCTGAAAAACTCTCCTTTCTAATTAGTAGCAAGTACAGTTTTCCCTTTGGTATCCATGGGTGATTGGATTCTGGACCCCTGGCAGGTACCAAAATCCAGAGATGCTCAAATTCATTATGTAAAATGGTATAGTATTTGCATATGAGCTGTGCACATCCTCTCGTATACTTTAAGTCATCTCTGGATTACTTATAATACCTCATATGATGTAAATGCTATGTAAATACTTGTTATCCTATATTGTTTAGAGAATAATGACCAAAAAAAGTTTGTACATATTCAGTACAGCTGCTGCAACCATTCTTTTTTTTTTTTCCTGAATATTTTTGATCCTCGGTTGAATCTATGATGTGGAACCCACAGATAGGAAGGGTAGACTATATTATTAACCTTAATTCATATTTGGCTTATAGTCTTTAGTTCTAGAATTGGAAAGACAGATTCCTAGCTAAAGGTTTAGGCAAAATTAGTTTATTCCATTTTTCTTATACACACTCTGCAAATATTGCAAATGTTCTGGGATAGGAAGTTGGTTATGCACAGAGAAGTAAGAAAAGTAACCTGAAGTGTTTGGAATAAGTTATCATTGTTGCTGTCCGAGGTGATTTAAAATAGATCACCTCCTGATGATCTTCTGTAGTGTTTGTTTGCATGTTTGCCAGGAAATGTCCTTTCCTCTCTTACTGAGCTCTCAGCAGCTGGATATCAGGAAGGAAACTGAAAGAGAAAGTTTTAAACTATCTTTGTGAGGCAAATTTTATTCCCCTGAAAGTATTAATTTCTTTTTTTTTTTTTTTGAGATGGAGTCTCGCTCTGTCACCCAGGCTGGAGTGCAGTGGCGTGATCTCAGCTCACTGCAACCTCTACCTCCTGAGTTCACGCAATTCTCATGCCTCAGCCTCCCGAGTAGTTGGGATTAAAGGTGCACGCCACTATACCTGGCTAATTTTTGTATTTTTAGTAGAGATGGGGTTTCACCATGTTGGCCAGGCTGGTCTTGAACTCCTGACCTCAGGTGATCCGCCTGCCTTGGCCTCTCAAAGTGCTGGGATTACCGGCGTGAGCCATCGCACCTGGCTTAAAGGTATGAATTGTACTCAAAAAGGCTCCTTTTAGCCTTCCCTTCTTTCTCTATTATCTTTATTAGTGTTTTCTCACCCTCCACACACTTTCTCCAACCTGAATTAAGGTTTTGTTTCATGTATTTTTGTCTTGCAAGTCTTAGTGACATATCAATATGTCTTTTTCTTCTCTTTTATTTTTCTTTATCCACCTTATAGGTATACTTTTTTCTTATTTTCCCCACACTGCATAGATGTATAGCCACCTTATATTGCCACCAAGTAGAAATAAGTTTCCTTCCTTTGACTATTACTTGAGTCTGTGATACCTCAGACACATCCTTACCTATTAGGTTCAAAAGAAATTTGGTTCTTGCCACGCGCCTGTAGTCCCAGCTACTCGGGAGGCTGAAGCGGGAGAATCGCTTGAACCTGGGAGGTGGAGGTTGCAGTGAGCCGAGATTGCACCATTGCACTCCAACCTGGGCGACAGGGCGAGGCTCCGTCTCGGAAAAAAAATAAAAGAAATTTGGTTCTCGGGTTTTATTCTGTATTTCACTTTCATATAAACAGAGTGAGTATCCAGTGTTCTTTTCCAGGTTAGTGAGGTATCAATCAGTATGTTTCTTCTTCTCTGTTACTTTTCTTCCTCAAGGAATATTCATGGGTCTGAGTAGATAAAGGGATATGTGTTGTCAGTGTCAGGTGGAATAAGGAAAGAACCTTGCATGTTTTAAGTCATGAGGTTGCTTTGTGACTATCTCCTGTGGAAGTGCAACCTGTTGCATCTGTTTCTTTTGCAGCTAAGTTGAAAAAAGTGAAGAAAAAAAGACGAAGAGATGAAGAACTTTCCTCTGAAGAATCCCCTCGTCGCCATCACCACCAGACCAAAGTCTTTGCCAAGTTTTCTCACGATGCACCTCCCCCTGGCACTAAGAAAAAGCACTTATCCATTGAGCAGCTGAATGCTCGTCGCAGGAAAGTATGGCTCAGCATTGTGAAAAAGGAACTACCAAAGGTAAGTGAATGCCTCCAGGAGATGGAAATTAGGAGAATGTTTTCTCTCCCCACCCACTAAAGAGGAACTCTGAGAGCTAGATACTTTCACAGATAGGAATTCTGCAAAGAAACTAATCTGTTGGAATCAAGAAAATGCTGAGTAGTACTCTTTCAGTTAACAGTTTCTTCTAGAATGTGGTCAGAATTCACAAGACAATTAGTTATTGTGTGATGCTCCGTGGTCAAAAAATTGGAGGACAACTTCTTCAAGAAAAGAATGCAGTTTTCCTAAATATAGCAATAGATACTTGACAGCCAATTTATAGGTGATATTAGAAAAAATTAAAAAGAGGCCAGGCATGGCAGGTCACACCTGTAATCCCAGCACTTTGGGAGGCTGAGGTGGGTAGATCGCTTGAGCCCAGGAGTTTGAGACCAGTCTGGACAGCATGGTGAAACCCCATCTCTCCAAAAACTACAAAAATGAACTGGGCGTAGCGGCACATGTTTGTAGCCCTCCCTATGCAAGTGGCTGAGGCAGGATAGATAGAGCCCAGGAGGTTGAGGCTGCAGCGAGCTGAGATCGCACCACTGCACTCTAGCTTGTGTAACAGAATGTGTAACATAATAAATATTTATTTATTTTATCTCAAAAATTAAATAAAATAAAAAGGAGTTGATATGTTTCTTAGAGAATTTACAAATGTTTGAATGTTGCTGGATAATCACAGGCACTAGAATAAAATGTGAACGAGTTAAACATGTATAAGCATTTTTCCTCTTAATTCATTTGGTTTTGATAACATTTTATTTTATTATTATTATTTTTGAGATGGAGTCTTGCTCTGTCGCCTGGGCTGGATTGCAGTGTCATCATCTCGGCTCACTGCAACCTCCGCTTCCCAGGTTCAAACAATTCTCCTTCCTTAGCCTTCCAAGTACCTGGGGCTACAGGCAGATGCCACCATGCCCAGCTAATTTTTGTATTTTGGTAGAGATGGGGTTTCACCATGTTGGCCAGGCTGGTCTCGAACTCTTGACCCCAGGTGATCTGCCTGGCTCCGCCTCATAAAGTGTTGGGATTACAGGTGTGCGCCACCACGCCCAGCCAATAACATGTTATTTTGATATAATTTCAAAATTAATAGTTGCAAACCAGATGCCATATGTAGCGTTTTTTTTTTTTTTTTAAAGAAGTTGCAATTATAGTCCAAGGAATGTCTGTTTACCCTTAAGTGAGATTCACCAGTTGTTTACATATTACTCTTAAGGATGAATTGAGTGCAATCCTGATAGGAACAGGATATTTCATTATAAATTGGATTTTTTTTAGAAACGGGATATTTTATGAATTGAGAAAAGTTGATACTAAAGTCCATGTGATGAAGTCAGAATGTAGGAGTAGCTGGGGAAGAATTGGAAAAATCCCCACTAAACGTTAGAACACGCTACAAAACCTCTACAGTTAAAAAAGTATGGTACTGGCACATGAATAGGCAAATAGATGAGTAGAATAAGCTGGTGGACTTACAAATTAGTAGTGCCGAGACAACTGGGTAGCAATTTAGATAAAACTAGATCTGCATCTTACACATATACTTCATATAGGTTAGTATGACACTTTTTAAACTATGGAGGTTATAGTGTGTTTTAATTTTTTTTTTTTTTTTTTTTTGAGACGGAGTCTCGTCTCTTGCCCTGGCTGGAGTACAGGTGTGTGATCTTGGCTCACTGCAACCTCTGCCTCCTGGGTTTCAGCGATTCTCCCACTTCTGCCTCCCAAGTAGCTGAGTAGCTGGGACTACAGGTGCGCGCCGTCACACCCAGCTAATTTTTGTATTTTTGGAAGAGACGAGGTTTCGCCATGTTGGTCAGGCTGGTCTTGAACTCCCGACCTCAAGTGAGCTGCTCACCTCAGCTTTCCAAAGTGCTGGAATTATAGGTGTGAGCCACCATGCCCAACCTGTTTTAATGTTTTGAGGATATTACCTTTGATCCCTTGGTATGGTGGTGTTTTGCTACTGTAAAATTAAAATTTTTTTTCCATAGCAGTTAATAAGTATTTCTGGAGACATAGTTGATGCTTGAGCATTCTTTTTTTTTTTTTTTTTGAGACGGAGTCTGGCTTTGTCGCCCAGGCTGGAGTGCGATCTCGGCTCACTGCAAGCTCCGCCTCCCGGGTTCACGCCATTCTCCTCCTTCAGCCTCCGGAGTAGCTGGGACTACAGGCACCCGCCACGACACCTGGCTAATTTTTTTTTGTATTTTTAGTAGAGACAAGGTTTCACCCTATTAGCCAGGCTGGTCTCGATCTTCTGACCTCATGATCTGTGCGCCTCGGCCTCCCATAGTGCCGGGATTGCAGACGTGAGCCACTGCACCCGGCCTGTGCTTGAGCATTCTTGATGGGAAAGTTATGGGAAACTTTCCCATGACTTAGTACCTGATGAAGAGGCCTCAGATGGTGTCCTTTCAATGAAAGAAATGAGTTTTCATTTCTTTTTGAGATAGGGTCTTGTTCTGTTGCCCAGGCTGGAGTGCAGTGGACTCATCTTGGTTCACTTCAGCGTTGATCTCCCAGGCTCAAGCAGTCCTCGCACCTCAGCCTCCTTAGTACCTGGGGCTATAAGTGTGTGCCACCACACTGAGCTAATTCTGTTTATTTAATTTTTTTTTGTTTTTTGAGACGGAGTTTCGCTCTTGTCACCCAGGTTGGAGTACAATGGCATGATCTCGACTCACTGCAACCTCCACCTCCCGGGTTCAAGCAATTCTCCTGAGGTAGCTCCCTCCTGGGTAGCTGGGATTACAGGCGCCTGCCACCACACTCAGCTAATTTTTGTATTTTTAGTAGAGACGGGGATTCACCATGTTGACCAGGCTGGTGTTGAAGTCCTGACCTCAGGTGATCCAACCACCTCGGCCTCCCAAAGTGCTGGGATTACAGGCGTGAGCCACCACGCCCGGCCCAATTCTGTTTATTTTTTATAGAGACGAGGTCTCACTATCTTGCCCAGGCTAGTCTCGAACTCCTGGACTCAAGTGATCCTCCTGCCTCAACCTCCCAAAGTGCCGGGGTTGCAGGTGTAAGCCACTGCGCCTGGCCAAGAAATGACTTTTTTTTTTTTTTTTTTTTTGAGACGGAGTTTTGCTCTTGTCACCCAGGCTGGAGTGCAGTGGTACGATCTCGGCTCACTGCAGCCTCCGCCTCCTGAGTTCAAGTGATTCTCCTGCTTCAGCCTCCCGAGTAGCTAGGATTACAGGCATGTGCCACCATGCCTGGCTAAGTTTTCTATTTTTAGTAGAAATGGGGCTTCACCACATTGGCCAGTCTGGTCTCAAACTCATTACCTCAAGTGATCCACCCGCCTCGGCCTCCCAAAGTGCTGGGATTACAGGCGTGAACCACCATTCCTGGCCAGGAAATGACTTTTTAGTGGGAATATTTGAGGTTCCTGGCTTCAGAGTGACAATAGCTCTTTAATTAGTAAGAGTTTTTTTTTTATAAAAGGCTCATATATTCCCTTAAATTTGCTGTCTTACGTGCAAACATTAAAGAAATGGCTTTCAGACCTTCTTTGTCACTTTGAACCCATTGTTTCTTTAACATCAAGGAGAGTACTCTTCAGTACTGAAAGAGCCACCCAGCTCTGCCTCTTCAGCATCTTCTTCCATGTCAAATAGACATCATGGGGAGTCAGGTTTCTGTACTGACTTTTGTTTTTCCCCTTAGCTAGAGTGGAAAACACAAATAGCTGGGTTGTGGGCTGCTGGGTCATTTTGTGTTAGGTCTTCCTTGGAGTTTAGTTTTAGAGAAGATTAGGCTTATGTGGTGGCAGAAACTGAGTAATAGTGACATCAGGTTTGCCTAGGCTGGAGGTGGGGCTAGAATCACACTTAGGAGACTAGTTTATCTTTCTCCTAATGATTCCTGTATCTGGATGCCCTGCTCTCTCAGCCTTGCAGATTGGCCCTGGTAAGCAACATGTTTTTAATCAGGATAGTGCTAAGGTTTAGGTATTGTAACATTTTTCTAGTCCACTTCAAGCCTTACATGTAACTTAACATCTTCCCAAAAGTATACAGAAGACTATTTAAGGCATCCACAATGCTGACTTATTCTTCTTGAATGCTTCTTTAATCGTTTTATGTATGGCGTTGAGACAATACATCTGGATGACTTATAGAAGTAATATATCTTGCTTGGCTTGACATTTTCTAACCCTCTAGGAATTGAGTAAAAGACTGTTCATTCTACATAGTCTTAGTTCAAAAATGAATCCTAAATGAAATATTGTTTTTTAAATATTTTAGGCAAATAAGCAGAAAGCTTCAGCTCGTAACCTGTTTCTCACCAATAGCCGAAAGGTAAAATTGTAGTTTTGTATTTTCCATTTCATGTTTTGCTGGAATATATTCTTCTTCTTTGGGGTCCATCTTGCTGCTCTTGTCCGTCGTAACCTGTTGATCATGAATCTAATAGTTCGTAAGAGAGTTTCTGAATGTTCTCAAGCTGTTTATTTTTTATTTTTATTTTTTGAGACAGAGTCTCAGCCACCCAGGCTGGAGTGCAGTGGCAGTGATCTTGGCTCACTGCAACCACCGTCTCCCAGGTTCAAGCGATTCTCCCATCTCAGCCTCCCGAGTAGCTGGGATTATAGGCACCTGCCATCATGCCCTATAATTTTTGTATTTTAGTAGAGACAGTTTCACCATGTTGGCCAGGCTGGTCTTGAACTCCTGACCTCAGGTGATCTGCCTGCCTCAGCCTCCCAAAGTGCTAGGATTACAGGCATGAGCCACCGCGCCCGGCCTCAATCTGTTTATTAAATAAAATTGTTCTTCCTCACATTTCTGGTATTTGAACCTTTTTGGATAAGACCATAGCCCACCCTGATTTCTTGAGCAGATCATGGAATCTTCCTGTCTTCAGTCTCGTCTAAGAAATAATGATGTGAATACCTTCCCTTAGAGGAGACTAAAACAACTTCCTTTAAGAATTGTGAGGATCAGATTAGGCCATGTTATTAGTTGTGTTTCTCTGGGGTAGTCATTCAACTGTGTTTCCTCATTTATAAATGAGGGTGATGGTAATGCCAATTTCATAGGGTTTTTGTGAAGAGTAAATTGGTTTAATATATTTTTCAGTGGTGCTAAAGATGTAATAAGCAGTGATAGCTGTTATTAATGTGTGCAATAACATTTTGTAACTTCCAAGCACATCCCAGGTCCTTCTTCATCATTATAATTTTTCATCTTCTAAGGTGATAGAAATTGGATAGATTTCTTATCCCTGATAATACCACAGGGTCTGGGCCTATGTCACAGTACTGTACAAGGACATTAATCAAGTTGCAGGAGAAAGATGTGGTCAAGGATGACAGTTTGGCTGAACAGATTGAGGAATGATGTGGTTTAGAGTCCAGGAAGAACCAGCTTCTGGTATGGGGTCCTTTCCGCTGTAATGCTGTTGTTGTTTTCAGCTTGCTCACCAGTGCATGAAGGAGGTGCGTCGAGCTGCCTTGCAGGCCCAGAAGAACTGTAAGGAAACCTTGCCTCGTGCCCGCCGCCTCACCAAGGAGATGCTTCTGTACTGGAAGAAATATGAGAAAGTAGAGAAGGAGCACCGCAAGAGAGCAGAGAAGGAAGCTTTGGAGCAGCGGAAGTTGGATGAGGAAATGCGGGAGGTAGGGCAAAAGCATAACATTTTGAAAACCCTAATTACTACAGCCATTTGAAGAGATTCGTTTGCATTTTGAAAATTGTACATCTAACCAATGACACTGTCAATTTTTTGTTTTTTTTTTTTTTTTGGTAGAGATGCGGTTTCTCCACATTGCCCAGGCTGGTCTCAAACTCCTGAGCTTCGAGTGATCCGCCTGCCTTGATCTCCTACCGTCAGAAATTTTTTTAAAGACTTAATTTTGAGGATGGTGATTTTAGACTAGTAAACCAATTCTGCTTTTAGTCTTTTGGTAAGGCCCTCCTCAGGCCTTTTTCTCTTTTCTTCTAAGCTGTCTTCCTCTATTCTGGGCTCTTATTCCTCAAGAAAAAGGAATGAGCAAAAGAGAAAGAAAGTAGCTTTTAATTCATCTTGGTTTGTTTGTAGGTGCTGACTGCAGTTTTGCTTTTTTTGGACAGTAAGAAATAGATGCCAAATTCAGGGCCAGATAGGGACAGTGGACAATGAGCCCAGTTTTCTAAGACTTACCCTTCACCTACTGTACTGTTTTATTTATTTTTTTGTTTTGAGATGAAGTTTCACTCTTGTCGCCCAGGCTGGAGTGCAGTGGCGTAATCTCGGCTCTGCAACCTTTGCCTCCCACATTCAAGCAATTCTGCCTCAGCTTCCTGAGTAGCTGGGACTATAGGCACCCACCACCATGCCTGGCTAATTTTTTGTATTTTTAGTAGAGACAGGGTTTCACTATGTTGGCCAGGCTGGTTTTGAATTCCTGAGCTCAGATGATACGCCTGCCTCGGCCTCCCAAAGTGCTGAGATTACAGGCGTGAGCCACCATGCCCAGCCTACTTTACTGTTTTAACTTGCAGCCAGTACTGTTGGTAAACCTGATGCCAGCTGATGTAGGCTGTGTATATTGCTGAGGGAAGCAAGAGGAGAGAGTAAGAAGGCAAATCATTGTATTGCCATTGATAAACCAGCTGAGATGAATGGAAGGAGAGTTGAGATTTGAAGAAAGAAGGGAATTAGTGGTTTGGATGATGTTTTCTTTCAGGTATATGTAGTAACTCATGTCAAAGTGGAGCTTTGGAGCCTTTTCTGAGCTCTTGATCTTCCCTTATTTTATCATGACTTCGAGAATGAAGATGGATTTTGCTCAGTTCTCTTAAGTCTCCTGGTTAATTCGTATATTTGCATGCAAGGTAATCATAATTATCAAGTTAGTAAACATTTGATGCTTTTGGGAATTCTTAACTCAGAGAATTTAAAGTCATTTCAGAGTTAGCCACAGATCTTGAAGTTTTGCAGGCAACTTGGCCTATATTCTAGATTTCTGAGACCTAGATTCTTAGTTATGTTGATAGCTAACTGATGGTTATGCTGACTTATGCATTTTTCTTTGAACTTCTGAAATAAAATTTTGACATATCCTTTCTGTTTTCTTAATCTACTTCGTTCATTTAATCATATGGTAGTTAACTTCTTTAGGGTTAAAGATATTATTCTTGGCCGGGCGCGGTGGCTCACGTCTGTAATCTCAGCACTTTGGGAGGCCGAGGTGGGTGGATCACAAGGTCAGGAGTTCAAGACCAGCTTGGCCAACATGGTGAAACCCTGTCTCTACTAAAAATACAAAAATTAGCCGGGCATGGTGGCGGCCGCCTGTAATCTCAGCTGCTTGGGAGGCTGAGGCAGAGAATTGCTTGAACCCGGGAGGTGGAGGTTGCAGTGAGCTGAGATCGTGCCACTACACTCCAGCCTGGGTGACAGAGGAAGAATCCATCTCAAAAAAAAAAAAAAAGATGTTATTCTTTTTCTTAATTGTTTTACTTTAGAAAGTTTTCCTTAGGCTGAGTGTATTGGCTCATGCCCATAATCCTAGCAGAAAGGCAGAGACGGGAGGATCGCTGGAATCTAGGAGTTCAAGACCAGTGTGGGCAACATAGTGATACTTCATATCTATAAACAGTAGAAAAATTAGACAGGTGTAGTGGCACATGCCTATAGTCCCAGTTACTTTGGAGGCTGAGGTGGGAGTATTGCTTGAGCCTGGGATGTTGAGGCTGCAGTGAGCTGTGTTCTTGTTACTGCCTCCAGCCTGGGTGACAGAGTAAGATACCATCTCTTCAGAAAAAAACAAAGATTTTCTTGATAGCACTTTAGGTTTGAAACATGAACATTCATGAAGACAAAAACTTAATTTTCTCTCACTCTCTTTCTCAAGTTTTCTTCTATTTTGGATCTGGCTCAAGTGCTATAAAGCTTTAAAGAGACAGGATAGTTTTACGTAGGTTACTGCTTTATAAAATATACTTTCAGCCTTTTGGGTTTTTTTTTTTTTTTTTGCTGTATTCCCTATTGTATTGTTTTTCTTTTGGGAGAGTGGATCAAGGATAAATCAAGTATATTTTATGAATTTTGTTATGAAATAATTCAAAATAATGACTCTTGGACCAATAATGCTCTTTTTTGGAAAAAAAAAAAAATAAAGCAAACAAGGCTGGGCGCGGTGGCTCACGCTTGTAATCCCAGCACTTTGGGAGGCCGAGGTGGGCGGATCAAGAGATCGGGAGATCGAGACCATCCTGGCTAACACGGTGAAACCCCGTCTTTACTAAAAATACAAAAAATTAGCTGGGTGTGGTGGCATACACCTGTAGTCCTAGCTACTCGGGAGGCTGAGACAGCAGAATCGCTTGAACCGGGGAGATGGAGGTTGCAGTGAGCCGAGATTGCACCACTGCACTCCAGCCAGGGTGAGAGAGCGAGACTCCATCTCAAAAAAAGAAAAAGAAAACAAAATAATGACTCTTTAATATGCTACTTATACTGTGTTCTGTGTTCCATATAATTTGGTATTTTGGATTATGTTTTCATTTTATTGTTTATCTTAGGAATGATTTTATTTATCGACACAATGATTATTTTTCTTAGGTTATTTTAGAGTAGAGGCACTTAGAAAAAAAGTGATATCTTACTCTGTCACCCAGGCTGGAGTGCAGTGGCATAATCTTGGCTCAGTGCAGCATCAATCTCTTGGGCTCAAGCAGTCCTCCCGCCTCAGCCTCCAGTGTAGCTGGGACTGCAGGTACATGCTACCATGCCTGGCAAATTTTTTTATTTTTTGTAGAAACAAGGTTTTGCCATGTTGCCCAGTCTGGTCTCAAACTCCTGAGATCAAGCAGTCCACCTGAAAGGCACTTTTAATTTAGCCTTCTGACATTAAAAAAAAAAAAAAGAAAGTTTGCACATGTATGTGTATTCAGTCTATATTCGTTTTTTGTAGCTATTATTATCACAGATGAAATATAGGTTGTTGGGTTTTGTTTTGTTTTGTTTTGTTTTGAGACAGAGTCTTGCTCTGTTACCCAGTCTGAAGTGCAGTGGCGTGACCTCGGCTCACTGCAACCTTTCCTCCTGGGTTCAAGCGATTCTCCTGCTTCAGCCTCCTAAGTAGCTGGGATTACAGGCGCCTGCCACCATGCCTGGCTAATTTTTGTATTTTTATCAGAGACGAGGTTTCTCCATGTTGACCAGGCTGATCTCGAACTCCTGACCTCAGGTGATCTGCCAGCCTTGGTCTCCCAAAGTGCCGGGATTATAGGCATGAGCTACCATGCCTGGCCAAAAAATACAGATTGTGTTGGGGAGTATTTTGTTCCTTCCTGTAGATTGTTTTGGGGAGTATTTTCTTTCTTCCATTAACTTGTTAATTTCATATACCTATTGTATTGGCTTTCAGAATAATTTATAGCTCTTTGTCAGCTATTTTGACTTTTGGTGGTAAGAGTTTTAGGGCCGGTGTGGTGGCTGGCCAGGTGCAGTGGCTCACACCTATAATCCCAGCACTTTGTGAGGCTGAATGTGGGCCGATCACATGAGGTCAGGAGTTCGAGACCAGCCTGGTCAATATGGTGAAACCCGTCTCTACTAAAAAAATACAACAATACGGGCTGGGCATGGTGGCTCACACCTTTAATCCCAGCACTTTGGGAGGCTGAGACGGGCAGATCATGAGGTCGGGAGATTGAGACCATCCTGGCTAACGCAGTGAAACCGCGTCTCTACTAAAAATACAAAAAATTAGCCGGGCATGTTGGCAGGCGCCTGTAGTCCCAGCTACTCAGGAGGCTGAGACAGGAGAATGGCATGAACCCAGGAGGCAGTGCTTGCAGTTAGCCAAGATCACGCCACTGCACTCCAGCCTGGGCGACAGAGGGAGACTCTGCCCCCCGCCTCCCCCGCCGCCAAAAAAAAATAGAAAAATTAGCCAGGCATTGTGGTGGACGCCTATAGTCCCAGCTACTTGGGAGAGCAAGGCAGGAGAATCACTTGAACCTGGGAGGCAGAGGTTACGGTGAGGCTCAGATTGTGCCATTGCACTCCAGCCTGGCCCACACAGTTAGACTTGTCTCAAAAAAAAAAAAAAGAAAAGTTTCTGACATGTGTACATTTTCAAAAATAATAAAGCTACATAGACATGTATCCACCATCCAGGTTATAAAATGGAATATACTGTTTGAATTTAGTTGTTGTCTCTGTGCCACCATAGAAAAGTAATGTAAGAAAGAAACATTTTAGTCAGAAGCCTAATAGAGAAAAGATTCACAGTATAAAGGAGAGCAAAACACTTGTTACTAGCAGATTATGAATGAAAGTTATTCATTGTGCCAGGTGTGGTGGCTCATGCCTGTAATCCCAGCACTTTGGGATGCTGAAGCCAGTGGATCACCTCAGTTCGAGACCAGCCTGGCCAACATGGTGAAACCCTGTCTTTACTAGTAATATACAAATTAGCCGAGTTTAGTGGTGCTCACTTGTAATCCCAGCTACTCTGGAGGCTGAGGTACGAGACTAGCTTGAACCCGGGAGGCGGAGGTCGCAGTGAGCCGAGATCGTGCCACTATACTCCAGCCCATGCGACCAGCTGAGACTCTGTCTGAAAAAGGAAAAGAAATTTATTCATTGCTTTTAGTGCCACTGACTTGGCTAAATTAAAATTGTTTATCAGTGATGTTTACATTTTTAAAAGTAAACAGTTGGTAAAGGAATTGTATGCAAATATAAGTGGTGAATTCTGGACTACTTCTTGGATATCATTGATAATTTGGCTCTGTTTTCACTTTTTTCCCTCTTTAGGCCAAGAGGCAACAGCGAAAACTCAACTTCTTAATTACCCAGACAGAGTTGTATGCCCATTTCATGAGTCGCAAACGAGATATGGGTCATGATGGTATCCAGGAAGAAATCCTAAGGAAACTGGAAGACAGTTCTACCCAGAGACAAATCGATATAGGTGGAGGAGTGGTAGTTAACATCACACAGGAGGATTATGGTGAGTCCTCAGTCAGGACTTAGAGGAAGGCTACCTCTTATTTTTTATATCTAAAGGTTATATACATTAATTTTTGCGAATTTTTTATTGATTCATAGGTAATTTACCAGAAAAGAGAGATTTATTGTACTGGAGTAGGGAAAGTGTGTTTCTATAACAGAAGTATAAGACCATTTATTAAAGAATTTGAATAGGAAGCGTTGTGGTTATATGATCTTGCAAGTTTGGGAATATTTTTGTTGTGATTTGTTAGTAGAAATAACAGGTATTGTAATCACAGTTCAGTAGAACTGAACTGTGTTTCAGCAGAGGAAAACATCTCTCACATAATACGATTCTTGTTTATTTAAGCACAAGAAAGCAGCTGTTCAGTTGTCTTTATGTGATCACAAGGAGAGGGAGGAATTGGGATGAAGTTTGAGAGGAATTTCATGGAGAATGCTGATTAAGATTGTGTTGAGCTAGAAATAGTAGAGATTGTAACTGCTTTATAGTATCTTGGGGTTTAAATATGTCTGTATTTCTCCTGTTAAAATAGTTTCACCTATCATAAATATATTAAAATTTTGAATCCTGATTGTCTTGATTGTTGTAGCTTGGTATTATTTGGTAGAAGAAACCCCAGTACTGAGAGGCAGTGCCGTGATGTTTTTTGTGAGCTTGCTTTGGCTACTGGAGACCATGGCAGTCCTCCACCTCCATTGCATTTCCAGCTTCTTACCTCTGAGAATTTAGCCTTTCTCTTCCCCCACCCTCCGTGAACCCAGGGATAAGTAGAATGAGGGAATCAGGGATCCACATACATTGGTGTTAATTGTATCTTAGAACAAAATCAGTTGATAAAGTGTGATAATCCATAAATTTTGCTTTTCAGATAGTAACCATTTTAAAGCCCAGGCCCTGAAGAATGCTGAAAATGCTTACCATATTCACCAAGCTCGGGTGAGTCTTCAGATAGAAAGGTTTACTGTAATTGGCCCTGGAAATACCCCACAAGCCTTTACTTAGGTGGTCTTCCTTTAGTCTTAATCACATTTGCAATTAAAAGCATAGACTAGCTTGTGTATATGTGTGTGAGTAGCTGTGTGTAGGGGGTGGAGCTGGGTCTCTTTCACTTTAGATTAGTAGGGATACTAGAAGAAAGGCAGAAAAACGAATATTCAGTTTTCTAGCTTTAGCAATGTGTTAATTTCAAGTTAGAACAGTTTGTATTTTTTTTTCTTTCTCTTGAGTAATCATGGGCAATACAGTATGAAATGTATCATAGATGTTTAATGAAAAAGACCATACTCACCGGGCGTGGTGGCTCACTCCTGTAATCCTAGCACTTTGGGAGGCTGAGGTGGGTGGATCACGAGGTCAGGAGATCGAGACCATCCAGGCTAACACGGTGAAACCCCATCTCTACTAAAATACAAAAAATTAGCCGGGGGTGGCGGAGGGCGCTTGTAGTCCCAGCTACTCGGGAGGCTGAGGCAGGAGAATGACGTGAACCCGGTAGGCGGAGCTTGCTGTGAGCCGAGATTGTGCCACTGCACTCCAGCCTGGGCGACAGATTGAGACTGCATCTCAAAAAAAAAAAGAAAAAGACCACACTCTTGGCTTGTTAAGAGAGCCATATCATGGTTTCAAAAAACTGCTACGTTATTTAATGCCTTCTTTCACTTAAGTAATAACTTGCTCTTTGTTATTTATTTATTTATTTATTCTTTTTTTTTTTTTTTTTTTGAGGCGGGAGTCTTGCTTTGTCACCCTCCTGAGTAGCTGGGACTACAGGTGCGCACCACCACACCCAGCTAATTTTTTTTATTTTAGTAGAGACGGGGTTTCACCATGTTGGCCAGGATGGTCTCGATCTCCTGACCTCGTGATCCGCCCGCCTTGGCCTCCCAAAGTGCTGGGATTACAGGCGTGAGCCACTGCGCCTGGCCCAAGCTCTTTGTTATGTATGATATAGTGATGTTTAACAAAATCAGAAAGAAACTACAATCAGGTTGAATTAAGTAAAAAATTTGCTGTTTTTAATATACTGCATAGGAGCCCCTATTTAACATTGACAGAGTGTAAGTCAAAGATAGACGAATGTGACCTTCCCCAATTTCTAATATAATTGTTACATTAAATAATATTAGTAATATGTTTTATAGAAATGATGTCATATGATACTACGTTATATTATCAGATTATGAGAAATTTTGTTCCAATTATTTTTCTTAGCACAGGGTAGATATATTGTTATCTTGAGTCTTATTTTCATGTAATATTTTTCCTCTTTTTTTTTTTTCTAATTTTTTTTTTTTTTACTTTCCAGACAAGGTCATTTGATGAAGATGCAAAAGAAAGTCGAGCAGCTGCCCTACGGGCAGCAAACAAGTCTGGCACTGGGTTTGGGGAGAGTTATAGCCTGGCTAACCCATCTATCCGGGCTGGTGAGGATATTCCACAGCCCACAATTTTTAATGGCAAATTGAAAGGTTATCAACTGAAAGGCATGAATTGGTTGGCCAATCTATATGAACAGGTGAATTTTAGAACCGTGTCATTCTCTTCTATTATCTCTTTTCCTAAAGTCATTTGTTCAATGTGATTGTGAAATGAGTACAAGATCTGGCTGAGCGCGGTGGCTCATGCCTGCAATTCCAGCACTTTGGGAGGCCAAGGCAGGCGGATCACCTGAGGTTGGGAGTTCGAGACCAGCCTGACCAACATGGTGAAACCCCATCTCTACTAAAAAAAAAAAATACAAAATTAGCCTGGCATGGTGGTGCATGCCTGTGATCCCAGCTACTTGGGAGGCTGAGGCAGGAGAATCATTTGAATCTGGGAGGCGGAGATTGCGGTGAGCTAAGATGGCGCCATTGCACTGTAGCCTGGGCAACAAGAGCAAAACTCTATCTCAAAAAAAAAAAAAAAAAAAAAAAGGAAATGAGTACAAGATCATGTTTTAGATTTCACCCTTTTAAAAAGCTGTATCCTGGGGAGGGATAGCAGTAGGAGAAATACCTAATGTAAATGACGAGTTAATGGGTGCAGCACACCAACATGGCACATGTATACATATGTAACAAACCTGCACGTTGTGCACATGTACCCTAGAACTTAAAGTATAATTAAAAATAAATTAATGTAGATTTATTAAAAAATAAAAAGCTATATCCTTTGACAAGAGGCAGAAGGATGTCTCTGTTTCTCTTTCTTTTTGAGACAGGATCTTACTCTGTCACCCAGGCTGAAGTGGAGTGGTGCGTTTATGGCTCACTGTAGCCTTAAACTCCTGGGCTCAAGTGACCCTCCTGCCTCAGCCCCCAGAATAGCTGGGACTGCAGACACATGCCACCACGCCTGACTAATTTTTGTATTTTTTGTAGAAACGGGCTGTCTCCATGTTGCCCAGACTGGTCTCAAACTCCTGGGCTCATGCGATATGCCTGCCTCGGCCTCCCAAAGTGCCGGGACGGGCATGAGCCACTGCACCCAGCTGATGTCTTTTTGTTTTTTTGTAACCTGGAGATCCTACTGGAGAATATTTGTGTATTTCTTATGGTTTGTCTTATATGGACTTGGTAAATCTAATTGCTTTTGTGTCTGGGTTGTATTAGCTAACAGATTGGCCTTGCCCTGTCTCATGTATCATGGTTCATAGTTGTAGCTGTAGCATTGGCAAAAGCAATTACTATAGCAGTGGGTAAAAGTGCTGAGGCTGAGTATCTCTGGTCACTTCTCTTTAAACAAGCCTGTTATCTTGGTCGTTCTTTTTGGTAACAGGTTGAACTTTATTTGATGAAATGCATGAGGTGTTGACCATGTATTTTTTTTCCCCAGGGTATTAATGGCATTCTTGCTGATGAAATGGGCCTTGGTAAAACAGTACAGAGCATTGCCCTTCTGGCCCATCTGGCTGAGGTGGGTAGATGCAATCTTTCTATCTTCATTTCTCTAGAATTTAGGGTAATTTCTGTTGAAAATCAGCCACTTAAAAGCACTATGTTAAGCTGTGTAGCATTCCAAGATAGTGGGACTGGGTTCTTGCCTCAGAGCTTTATAAGGGGACAGTGTTTTATAACTTTTTGGTTTTTAAGAGGGCTAGGACAATTTTTGAGCATGTGATTTTGAGACACTCCTTTCCGCTCTGCATTAATTACCACCAGTGTAGTGGCAAGGGCCATATAGTTAGATCAGAACACCTTGCCTAACATTTCAGCTCTACTCTTATTACCAGTGTAAACTTGGGCAATTTAGCCTCTTTTTCAACTTAACTCTCTGAGGCTTAGTTTCCTCTTCCTCTTCCTCTTCTATGGAGACGTTATCTACTTTATAGGAATTTTATAAGAATTAAATTTTAAAAATGCGTAAAACTGAAAAAAAAGCAAAAGCTCTATACCTATTAAATAACTACAAGATTGTCGGATAACTAGTATAGTAGAAAACAATACATACAAGTCAGTGTGTCATGAATGCTTTGTGGATAAGACCTATAAGAGGTCAGAAGAGGGAATAGTTGCTTGCCATTTTTTTCTCAGGTGTGTCTTTATGTTCTTATTATTAACATAGGATATTACTATTGAATGTGCAGATTTGGGATTTACTCACTGTTTCTCTTGTTATTTGTTTCCTATTCTTAGATTGTTCTTGTCATTAATTATAATTTTGAATTAAATACCTTCCCTTTTCCTGTAGTTGGCTGACTGGGTTTTTCTGTTGCAGAGAGAGAACATTTGGGGACCTTTCTTAATAATTTCACCTGCGTCTACACTTAACAATTGGCACCAGGAGTTTACTAGATTTGTTCCTAAATTTAAGGTAAATATCAGTCCAACCAAAACATCTATTGCTCTTTAAAATAAACTTTTTGACTCTCCTTTTCTTGCCCTACTAATTACTCATAACAGTTTTAAATTTTGGCCGGACTTGGGGGCTCACACTTGTAATCTCAGCACTTTGGGAGGTTGAGGTGGGTGGATCACGAGGTCAGGAAGTCGAGATCATCCTGGCTAACATGGTGAAACCCCGTCTCTACTAAAAATACAAAAAAAAAATTAGCCGGGCATGGTGCCATGTGTCTGTAGTCCCAGCTGCTCAGGAGGCTGAGGCAGGAGAATCGCTTGAACGGGGCAGGGCCAGGGGGGTGAGGGGGCGAGGGGAGGTTGCAGTGAAGGGAGGTTGTAGCAAGCCGAGAATGTGCCGCTGCACTCCATCCAGGGCGACAGAGCAAGACTCCTTCCGTCACAAAAACAAAAATATACATTGTTCCAAAATAACTTGCATATAATCACTATAAAACTTACTGCTGGGAACAATGAGTGCATATTGCATTTAGCCTGATAAATGGATACTCGTGGTCAAACTGCCACGGTAGAAAACATCTACCTTATTTGGTTTAACATAGATTTTTGACAAATCATACCATCAGTACACATCCTATCATTTACGGCATTTCTCTTTTCATTTAAATCTATTGTAAATAATTCATTTCTTTTTTTTAATACATGTCTTGTTTTTGTTTTTGTTTTGAGATGGAGTCTCACTCTGTCGCCGAGGCTAGAGTGCAGTGGCACAATCTCGGCTCACTGCAACCTCCATCTCCCAGGTTCAAGCAATCCTCCTGCCTCAGCCTCCTGAGTAACTGGGATTACAGGTGTCTGCCACCATGCCCAGCTAATTGTTTTGTATTTTTAATAGAGAGAGGGTTTCACCATGTTGTCCAGGCTGGTCTCAAACTCTTGACCTCAGGTGATCCACATGCCTGGGCCTCCGAAAACGCAAGGATTACAGGCATGAGCCACCGCACACAGCTGTTGTTTTTTTTTTTAATCAGAGTTTCACTCTTGTTACCCAGGCTAGAGTGTAATGGTGCAAACTCTGCTCACCGCAACCTTTGCCTCCAGGGTTGAAGTGATTCTTCTGCCTCAGCCTCCCGAGTAGCTGGGATTACAGGCATGTGCCACCATGCCCGGCTAATTTTGTATTTTTAGTAGAGACGGGGTTTCTCTACTGACGATGTTGGTCAGGCTGGTCTCGAACTCCCGACCTCAGGTGATCCACCCATGTCAGCCTCCTGAAGTGCTGAGATTACAGGTGTGAGCCACTCCATCCAGCCCATTTTGCTTTTTTAGTAGAGGCAGGTCTCACTATGTTGCCCAGGCTGGTCTTGAACTCCTGGCCTCTAGTCATCCTTCTGCGTCAGCCTCCCAGAGTCCTGGGATTACAGGCACGAGCCACCAAACCCAGCCAGTTCATTTTCTTAATACTCTAAAGTCTGATCTCTAGTCTTAGTCCAGCTTATAATGTCTAAGGTAGATAATGTGAACATCGATTTAATTAATTCAGAGGAAAAGAATTCAGGTTGAAGTAGGGGGTGATCAGGGAAGTATTTGGCATCCATTGGGCAAGACATTGATTAGATTTAAACAGCTGCTTAGTTATGAAAAGTTGGAGGAATTTAAGAAAGAATGAATAGGATTTATTGTTTGCAATTTAAAAGAATTGAAAATGAGTTAAATATGTGTTCTGTCCCTAAAGGAATATGATAATGAAGTTGCACAGTTAAGATAGTATTTTGGAGATTATATATCAAAATATGTTGACATGATCTCTGTGATTTTGGGTCTCTGTAATAGTGATGGGTTTCCTGTAGTTGGAGCTTGGGATAGGGTAGAAATGTGAGGCAGGTATTTTTCTGGCTTATGCTTTGTATGGAATAGGAAATTGTCTGGGATTTCCCACTTTGAGGCAGCTTTATGGCTGTGGTCCCATTTTGTGGCTAAATTGTAGATGTAGAAACTGTATAAGGAGTGTTAGGATATATAGCTTTTAATTTGACTGACTCATTTTCATCTTGCTGAGATGATGATGAGATCATTCTAATGCAGTTTGTTGACTATTTTCTCTTAAATTGTTTGTCTTGTGGAATGGTGATCACCATCTTTTTCTGCTTTTTTTTTCATATGATGTTCAGTATATATTGAACAATGCAGATCTTGAAAAATAAAAGATCTTGGCCGGGCATGGTGGCTCATGCCTGTAATCTCAGCACTTTAGGAGGTGAGGCGGGTGGATCACAAGGTCAGGAGTTTAAGACCAGCCTGGCCAAGATGGTGAAACCCTGTCTCTACTAAAAATACAAAAATCAGCCAGGTGTTATGGCGGGCGCCTGTAATCCCAGCTACTCGGGAGGCTGAGGCAGGAAAATTGCTTGAACCCGGGGGGCAGAGTTTGCAGTGAGCCGAGATCATGCCACTGCACTCCAGCCTGGGCGACAGAGTGAGAATCCGTCTCAAAAAGAAAAAAGAAAAATAAAAGGTCTTAAAATTTTTTCACCAAACCACTTAAGTTTTCAGTAGCTCTTCCACTGCTGATAGATGGCAATGTGATATTACTAATGTCATTGATGCCTTTCCTTTGACTTTATAAGTATGCCTGAAACAGAGCTATCATTTGCATGTTGAACTTTCTTTCGATATCCTAATTTAGGATTATATACCCTGTGGGTGTTGCCACCTCTTTTGATTTTTTTTTTTTTTTTTGCTTTTTTTTTTTTTCTTAGAGACATTTTCTCCTTCTGTCTCCCAAGGTGGAGTGCTGAGACGTGATCATAGCTCACCGCAGCCCTGAACTCCACCTCAAGCCATTCTCCCACATCAGCCTCCCAAGTAGCTAGGACTACCGGCATGCAGCGCCACACCCTGCTAATTTTTTTTTTTTAATTTTATGGTGCCGTCTTGCTATGTTGCCAAGGCTGGTCTCTAACTCCTGGCCTCACACAATCATCCCACCTTGGCCTCTTAAAGTGCTGGGATTATAGGCACGAGCCACTGCAGTTGGCTTGATTTTTTTTTTCCTAGTGCCCCAATATATTTTTTATTGTGACAAAATACATAGAACATAGTATTTACCATTTTAACTATTTAAAAATGGGCTGGGCCTGGTGGGTCATGCCTGTAATCCCAGTACTTTGGGAGGCCAAGGTGGGAAGATCACTTGAGTCCAGAAGTTCAAGAACAGCCTTGCCAACGTAGACCTTGTCTCTACAAAAAATTTAAAAGTTAGTTGGATATGGTAGTGCATGCCTGCAGACCAAGCTTATAAAAAAATGGGCCGGGTGCGGTGGCTCACGCCTGTAATCCCAGCACTTCGGAAGGCTGAGGCAGGGGGGTCACCTGAGGTCGGGAGTTCTAAACCAGCCTAACCAATGTGGAGAAACCCCATCTCTACTAAAAATACAAAATTAGCTGGGCATGGTGGCACATGCCTGTAATCCCAGCTACTCGGGAGGCTGAGGCAGGAGAATCGCTTGAACCCAGGAGGCAGAGGTTGTGGTGAGCCGAGATTGTGCCTGGGCAACAAGAGCACAACTCTGTCTCAAAAAAAAAAAAAAAAAAAAAGTACAATGTAGTAGCATTAGGTGCATTCACAATCTTGTGTAACCATCACTGCTGTCTAGTTTCATAACTTTTTCATCAGCCCAAACAGAAGGCCTTTACCCACTAAGCAATCACGTTCTATTCACCTTGTGCTGTAGCCTCTGGCAACCACAAATTTGACTGCTGTGGCTGGATTTGCTTATTCTGAACACTTTGTGAATGCTGTTTCTGTCTGGCTTCTTTTACTGAGTATAAAGTTTTCAAGCTTCATCCATATTATAGCATGTGTCAGTGCTTTATTCCTTTATATGGCTGAGTAATATTCCATTGTGTATATATATATCACATTTTGTTCATCCATTCATCTGTTGATGAATATTTGGGTTGTTTCCACCTTTTGGCTGTTGTGAGTAGTACTGCTATGAACATTCCTGTGCAAGTTTTTGTTTGAACACTTTTACTGTTTTCACTTCTTTTGGGTATGTACCTATGAGTAGAATTGCTAGGTCATATGGTAATTCTACTTATTAAGGAATCTTCCACCTGTTTTTTTTGTTTTTTGTTTTTTGTTTTATGACACAGAGTCTTGCTCTGTCGCCCAGGCTGGAGTGCAGTGGCGTGATCTTGGCTCGCTGCAACCTCCGCCTCCCAGGTTCAAGCAATTTTGCCTCAGCCTCCCGAGTAGCTGGGACTACAGGGGTGTACCACCACACCCAGCTAATTTTTGTATTTTTGGTAGAGACGGAGTTTCACCATGTTAGCCAGGCTGGTCTTGAACTCCTGACCTCAGGTGATCTGCCCTCCTCTGCCTCCCAAGGTGCTAGGATTACAGGCGTGAATCACCGAGCCTGGCCTGCTACCTGTTTTTGAATGGCTGTAAACTAAGAATAGTTTTTACTTTTTAAAATTATTGATAAAAAAATAAACTTTCATAGAATGTGACATACAAAGTTGAAAGTCATACGTATTGGAACACAGCCCCACACTGCACTCTTTTTCTACCTTTTTTTTGAGACAGTGTCTCGCTCTGTTTCCCAGGCTGGAGTGCAGTGACATGATCTTGGCTCACTGCAACCTCTGCCTCCTCCGGGTTCAAGCAGTTCTTCTGCCTCAAGCTCCCGTGTAACTGGGACTACAGGAGCCTGCCACCATGCCCAGTGAATTTCTTTATTCTTAGTAGAGGCTGAGTTTCCCCACGTTGGCCAGGCTGGTCTCAAATTCCTGAGCTCAAGCGATCCTTCTACCTTGGCTTCTCAAACTGCTTGGATTACAGACGTTAGCCACCATGCCCAGCCAGCTTTTTTCTTTATCTGATGTCTTGAGATGGAGCTTAGAGTATTGATTTTCAGCTTCTAATAGATGTACATTTAAGGATACTCATTGCTTTCTGAGCATGACTTTAGCCATCCAAAGGTTTGATGTGTCATATATACATTGTCTTTCACTTCATCATAATCTCTAACTTCCATTGCAAGTTCATTTTTGATCTATGGTTTATTTAAAAGTGTATTTCTAGGTGGGATGATCACTTGAGCCCTGGAGTTCAAGGCTACAGTGAGCTATGATCACACCACTGTACTCCAGCCTAGGCAACAGGGCGAGACCCTATCTCTTTTAAAAAATAAAAAGTGTAATTCATAATTTTCAAACAGTGGAGGATTGTCTAGATGTCTTGTTTGTTATTAATTGATACCTTAAATTCACATTGGTAAAAGAAACTTTTTATGACTTTAATACTTTGAAATTTGTTGAACCCTCATTTTTATGTCTCAGCATATTGTCAGTGTTTATATGTCCTTTGTGTATTGGAAAATTATAGGTATTCTGCCCTTATTCATTGCAGTGTTGCATATATGTTGATTTAGGTCAAAGTTTGTTAAGTTGTTCAGCTCTTTCATGTCTTTACTGATTCGTCTGCCTATTCTGTCACTGACTGAGAGTGGTATATTAAAACATACCATGATTATGGATTTGTCCATTTCTCTTCTGTCCATTTTTGCTTTATATATTTTGAGGCTGTAAGATTTATACTCTTCCTGGTGAACTGAACCTTTTATTATTATGAAATTTTCCTTTTAAAGACTTTTTGACTAAAAGTCTGTATTTTCTGATATATATTGTTTTTCTTTAATTTTTTTCTGAATACAGAATGTGAGGGCGTCTTTGCTTAATTTTTACATGGCTTTTTTTCTTCCTTTTATTTGTAATCATTTTACATCATTTATGGTGCATTTCTCTTTTTGAGACGGAGTCTATCTGTCGCCAGGCTGGAGTGCAGTGGCGCAATCTCAGCTCACTGCAACCTCCGTCTCCAGGGTTCAAGCAATTCTGTCTCAGCCTTCCTAGTAGCTGGGATTACAGGCGCATGCCACCACGCCCGGCTAATTTTTGTATTTTTAGTACAGACGGGGTTTCACCATGTTAGCCAGGCTGGTCTCTAACTCCTGACCTCAAGTGATCCGCCTGCCTCAGCTTCCCAAAGTGCTGGGATTATAGGTGTGAGCCACCGTGCCCGACCTTAAGGTGTATTTCTTGCCTCTTGTTGGGAATATTTGTGCTTTTAATGTAAATGCTGATATATTGAGTTTTAAGTCTTCCTTCCTAATTGTTTTTCTACTTGTGGCACCTGTTTAATTTTTCTCTTTTCCTTATTTTTACATTAAAATTTTTTTTGAGACGGAGTCTGGCTCTGTGGCCCAGGCTGGAGTGCAGTGATGTGATCTCAGCTTACTGCAACCTCTGCCTCCCAGGTTCAAGCAATTCTCCTGCCTCAACATCCTGAGTAGCTAGAATAACAGGCACCTACCACCACACCCAACTAATTTTGGTATTTTTACTAGAGATGGGGTTTCACCATGTTGGCCAGGCTGGTCTTGGACTCCTGACCTCAGGTAATCTGCCCACCTTAGCTTCCCAAAGTGCTGGGATTACAGGCATGAGCCACTGCGCCCACCCTATTTTAAAAACATTTTTTGGCCCATGACAGCGCTCAGGAGATCCTGAGAAATGTGTCCCAGTGTTTTGGTTCTCTCCTTTCTTATGTCCTTTTGGACTGATTAAATGTTACTGCTCTCCCTCCCTCTCTTAGCTTATTATTTGTCTTAGTTTGTTTTGTGCTGCTATAACAAAACACAGAAAACTGAGTAATTTATAAAGAAAAGAGATTTATTTGTTATAGTTCCAGAGGGCCTGAGAAGTCAAAAAGTGAGGCGTCCTCATCTCACAAGGGCCTTCTTGTTGCATCACTCCAGATTGGAAGGCAGAGGAGCAGAAGAGCCCAGGGTGAGGGGGACTCCTGTGATAATGGCATTAATTCATTCATGAGGGCAAAGCCCCCATGACCTTCTCACCCCTGAAAGCTCCCACCTCTCAGTACTGTTGCATTGGAGATTAAGTTTCCAGCACATAAACCTCGAGAGAGATGTTCAAACCATAGCACTAGTCATGTATTTATTTTATTCTTTTTGGTTTTTTTTGGAGACAGAGTCTCACTCTGTCACCCACGCTTCAGTGCAGTGGTGTGATCTCCACTCACTGCAACCTCTGCGCCCAGCTAATTTTTGTATTTTTAGTAGAGACAGGGTTTTGCCATGTTGGCCAGGCTGGTCTTGAACTCCTGGCCTCAGGTGATCCATCCGCCTCAGCCTCCCAGAGTGCTGAGATTACAGGCATGAGCCACCATACTTGGCCTATTTTATTCTCTAGTAGATAATCTGGGGGAAAAACTTGCCTTCTTGACTTAAAAAATAATAATAATATAAATTAAGAGTTACTACTTTCTGGATAATATAAAGACTTCGGTATACTTGGACTACATCCCTTTTGTCTCGACTTATATGCTGTAGGTTTTGTATACTTTTTATATTTTAAACCCCATGAGACATTTTATTATTGCTTATATATTTTATGTTTAGATTTTTTCATATTGTATATTCAATTTTTATTAATCTTCATTTCTTCCTGCATATTTCTGCTTCCATTTGGCTGAAATTTTTCAGAACAACAAAAGATAGCGGTCTGTAGATTCAAGAAGCCCTGTGAGGTGCAGGGATAAGGAGAAAGAAAACCACATCTAGAAAACATCACAGAAAAAGTGCTGAATCTTGCATTCTGTTGTTTCTTTGTGCTTTAATCTGGATATTTTCTTCTGACTTGTCATCTAGTTCACTAATTTTCTCTTTAGCTGCATCTAATCTGTCATTAGATCCATTCATTAATTTCTTGATTTTAGTTACTATATTTTTCAGTTCTAAAAATTCGCTTTGATTCTTTTATAATTTATAGCATACCATTGAAATTCTCTATCTTGTTTTTCATTAACAAATTAGCATTTTTTAAAGTATTTTTCATTTTTATTTTTAAATTTTTTTATTTTATTTATTTTTTTGAAACACAGTCTCACTCTGTCGCCCAGGCTGGAGTGCAGTGGCACGATCTCGGCTCACTGCAACTTCTGCTTCCTGGGTTCAAGCGATTTTCCTGCCTCAGCCTCCCGAATAGTTGCGACTACAGGTGTGTGCCACCACTCCTGGCTAATTTTTTTTTTTTTTTTTTTTTTTGTATTTTTGGTAGAGACGGTGTTTCACCATGTTGGCCAGGGTGGTCTCTATCTCCTGAGCTCGTGATCCACCTGCTTTGGCCTTGCAAAGTGCTAGGATTCCAGGTGTGAGCCACTGTGCCCGGCCTAAACTTTTATTTATTTATTTTTTTGAAACAAAGTCTTGCTCTGTTGCCCAGGCTGGAGTGCAGTGGCACAATCTTGGCTCACTGCAACCTCTCCCAGGCTCAAGCAATTCTGCCTTAGACTCGTGAGTTCCTGGGACTGCAGGCGCGTGTCACCACACCTAGCTAACTTTTGTATTTTTTGTAGAGAGAGAGTTTCACCATGTTGCCCAGGCTGGTCTGAAACTCCCATGCTCAGGTGATCTGCCAGCCTCAGTCTCCCAAAATGCTGGGATTACAGGCATGAGCCACTACTCCTGGCCAAAAGTCTGTTTTTAATATTTTTATTATTTTAATCTCCTCTGTGTACGTTATCTTTCTTTCATGTAGGCTTTCATTCATGTGATACGGTCTTTCTATATGTCTGGTTATTTTTTAATGCTATGCCAGACATTGTATAGGAAAAGCTATAGAGATAAGTGTGGGCTCTCACAACTGTTTTCTTCTAGAGAGGATTTATGTGTTTTTTTGCCACTAGTAATTATTTGGGGGTTGGTGGGGATGCAAATTATTCAAAGCCTTTTTAATCTGGAATTCAGATGTCTTGAGGCGGGGAGTCGGTACCTATTCAGGGAAGTCTAGGCAAGTCTATGTATGATTTACTGTTACTACTACCTTGTAGCCTTTGACTTCCAACTTAAAGCCAGGGATGTGGCTGGTTACAAGAGTCTTTTTCCTTGAACTACAATTTTTGTTCTCTATGTCTTACATCTTTTTGTTTTTTTTTTTTCCTGAGACAAAGTCTTGCTCTTGTCCCCCAGGCTGGAGTGCAGTGGCGCCATCTCTGCTCACTGCAACCTCTGCCTCCCTAGTAGCTGGGATTACAGGCGCGTGCCACCACACCCGGCTAATTTTTGTATTTTCAGTAGAGACGTTTCACCATGTTGGCCAGGCTGGTCTCCAACTCCTGACCTCAGGTGATCCGCCTGCCTCGACCTCCCAAAGTGCTGGGATTACAGGCGTGAGCTACCATGCCCAGCCTATCTTACATCTCTTAAGAAAAAGTGTCCTCAGTTTCTTACCCTCTCAACTAGAACTTTTGTAATGCCATGATACCATCAGTGATAAAGTATACCACATACTAGGCTTACCTCTCTGGGCTTCCGTTGTTTTCTGATTTGGGCCTCTGTAATTGCCCACTGTCTCAGTAGCTGTTTTATGCCTTCAGACAAATGAATTGTGTGTGTGTCTTTCTATTTGGACAACAGGGTTGGTTAAACCATTTATTCCACCATTGGCAGGAGAGGAATTCCTATGCTCATTTTATTAGTTTCTTTTTAAATTGTTCCGAATTATATATTTGTTCTAATACTTTTAAGATCATCTATAGAAAGTAATGTATATATTGGCCCTTTTTCTAGGTGCTACCATATTGGGGAAATCCTCATGATAGAAAAGTCATCAGAAGGTTCTGGAGTCAGGTAACATTCTACTTAAACTGCATACATACGTACCGTACATGCAGTCATTATTTCTCTAATTGATGTGGATAATTTCTTTTAGACAAAAATCTTCTTATCTATTATATATTTCTGGACACTGATCAAGTTTCCATTTTTCTGATACAATACTTTTCCTGTTGTAGGCAATCAGCTGGACTTGATTTCCAGGATTAATTAAGAATCTTTTTTTTTGAGACAAGGTCTTGCTCTGTTGCCCAGGCTGGAGTGCAGTGGCATGATCACATTTCACTGTAGCCTTGACCTCCTGGCTCAAGCAATCCTCCCACCTCAGCCACCCAAACTACAAGCAGGAGACAGCACACCCAGCTAATTTTTGGGACTATAGGCTCGCTACACCATGCCCGGCTAATTTTTGTATTTTTTATAGAGATGTGGTTTCAACCTGTTGCCCAGGGTGGTCTCAAACTCCTGGGCTTAAGTGATCCTCCTGCCTCGGCCTCCCAAAGTGCTGGGATTACAGGTGTGAGCCACCACACCTGGCCAGAACTTTTTTCTTTAATAAGCTGAAGACTAGTTTCAGCCTAGTTTGTGGTAAATGTGACTGCTTTAAAAACAGTTATAGTGGCCGGGCATGGTGGCTCATGCCTATAATCCCAGCATTTTGGGAGGCCGAGGCAGGAGGATCACTTGAGTCCAGGAGTTCGAGACCAGCCTGGGTAACATAGTGAGACCCCATCTCTACATAAAATAAAATAAAATAAAAAAATTAGCCGGGCATGGTGGTATATGCCTGTAGTCCCAGCTGTTTGGGAGACTAAGGCAGGAGGATCACGTGAGCCCAGGAGGTTGTGTTTGCAGTGAGCCATGTTCACGCTGCTGGACTCTAGTCTGGGTAACGGAGTGAGACCCTCTCAACAACAGCAAAACAACAGACAAAACCCCACAGTATGGTTCACTTCACTGCACATCTCCCTACCATATGGGAGAAGCACATCTTCAGGGCTGTCTTAAACATTTTGGCCCTAGAAAAACAGTCCATACATCAGTTCCTTATTATGAATTATTAGGTTTCTCTTTTCACCCTTCCCCTTTTATATTTACAGAAGACCCTCTACACTCAGGATGCCCCCTTCCATGTGGTTATTACCAGCTATCAGCTGGTGGTGCAGGATGTAAAGTATTTCCAGCGGGTCAAGTGGCAATACATGGTACTGGATGAGGCTCAGGCGCTCAAGAGTAGTTCCAGGTAACATGAGTAGTAGAAACCAAACTCAATGCATTGGGTTAAGTACACACACACACACACACACACACGCACACACACACACACACAGACTTGTATATATGAATAAAATCAAGATATGAGAAGTTTTATTTAATTTTTTTAATAGAGACAAGGTCTCGCTTTGCTGCCCAGGCTAGTCTTGAACTCCTGGCTTCAAGCGATCCTCTCGCATCGGCCTCCCCAGGTGTTGGGATTAGAGGGATGAGCCACCCGTCCAATATATGAGAGGTTTTAAATATGACGTGACATGATCTCTGCATCAGTCGTGTACCTGATCAGAAGGCAAAAATTCCCTTTTTTTATTTTTTCATGGAACACAAATGTTAATGCCAAGAATACCAAGACTTTTCTCAACTTTTATCTCCCTGTTCAAGAAGGTGACATTTTTACAGGTCATCTCTTCAGGGAAAATTTCTATAGAGGAAGGAGTCTCTGCCCTTGCTTTAAGGTATTATTTTAGATAGGAGTTCTAAGTAGGAGGTAGAATGTTAGGTTATGTGGATTGGATGCTCTGTTTGTTTTATGTTGATTATCTGAGACCCTGGATGGTTTTCAGATCTCCAAGAATCCTTTTATTCTAAGTTATGTGTTTAAAATATTCCAATACCTTTGAGGTCCCAAAGTAAATAAAAAGTGTTATTTGGTGATATTAAACCTCAGGCTTGATATTTTTTTTATTAACTCATGGTGAGTCGTTAGAAATTTATTAGAGGTCCATGTTAACTGGCTAGATGATATTTTCTGTAGAACTTTGTTTTTTCTATTCTTTTCTTTCTTTCTTTTTTTTTTTTTTTTTTTTTTTGAGATGTAGTTTCACTCTTGTTGCCCAGGCTGGTGTGCAGTGGCGCAGTCTCGGCTCACTGCAACCTCCACCTCCCAGATTCAAGCAATTCTCCTGCCTCAGCCTCCCGAGTAGCTGGGATTACAAGTGCTCACCACCATGTCCGGCTAATTTTTGTATTTTTAGTAGAGATGGGGTTTTGCCATGGTGGCCAGGCTTGTCTCGAACTCCTGACCTCAGGTTATCCACCTGCCTCTGCCTCCCAAAGTGCTGGGATTACAGGCGTGAGCCCTTCTGTGGAACTTTCTATCCTCAGAAAGGTCTTACTTCCTACAGCAATCTTTTTTTTTTTTTTTTGAGACAGGGGATAGGGTCTTGCTCTGTTGCCCAGGATGGAGTGGTGCAGTGGCGCAGTTGGGGCTCACTGCAGCCTCGACCTCCCTGTCTCAAACGATCCTCCCATCTCAGTCTCAGAGCTGGGACTATAGGCGTGTGCCACCATGCTGGGCTAATTTTTTGTATTTATAGTAGACACGGGGTTTCTCCATGCTGCACAGGTTGGTCTTGAACTCCTGCACTCAAGCCTCCCAAAGTGCTGGGAGTACAGACATGAGCCACCATGCTTGGCATACTGCAGTTGTT
Organism: Homo sapiens; assembly: GCF_000001405.40. Classification (NCBI taxonomy): domain Eukaryota; kingdom Metazoa; phylum Chordata; class Mammalia; order Primates; family Hominidae; genus Homo; species Homo sapiens. Next base: position 41,057,176 of record NC_000015.10, on the reverse strand, counting down.
CGAAGGAGCATATGCCTTTGGCCAGGAGCAATGAAGATTCATTTTACATTTTCTTCTCACCAACACTCCTCATAACTGCTCTCTCCAAACTCATACTGGAAGTGCACAGATTAATAATTTTGACACTTTATACCACAGATATGTACTTTCTAATTAAATGACTTATGTCAGCAAAAATGACTAAAGATAATAGAAGAGTTTATAAAGCCAGAAATGATACAACTCTGCCTATTTGAGGCTATTTTTTTCTAAATCCAAATACCGTGTTTTCAGTAGAGAGGACTCATTTCCCTTGGAAGTGTCCTGTTTTCAGCTTTGTTGAATAATGTTTTTCAGTTGAATACATGATGGAGTACTTGATTCTGAATGTTAGTTTTTTGGAAGGCATTTTTGTCAATATGGGGTCTCAGTAGGATAATTAAAGAACAATTTATTGCTAACATGAATTTGTAACTTATTTTATCAAACAGTGTTCGTTGGAAGATCCTCTTACAGTTCCAGTGTCGGAATCGGCTTTTGCTAACCGGGACCCCAATTCAGAACACCATGGCAGAGGTAGGCACTAGTCCAGGTCACAGGTTTATATCTTCATAAAACAGAAGGATTCCAGCAGAGCATAGAATTCTTTACCCATTCCCTTGCAGTGCTACTGCTTTGTATAAATTATAGTCCCCACATAAAAGACTTGCCCCAAGTCGTCTTTTAGGCATAGGCATCATTCCTGTTTTCTTATTCTCTGGCATAAGGCCAATGAATTACTGTATTCTTTTGTATTTAAGGAATACTGACCACATTAGAAAATGTAAACATTTAATGCAGAGACGTGTTTTTGCTAGAGTTGAAATGTAATATTTGTTAACACAGAGGGGAGCTAAAATTTTTGGGGGGAGTTAATTGATCATCTAGAATAAGGGTCAGAAATCCTTATAGAGGCTGCGTGCAGCTGCTCATGCCTGTAATCCCAACAACTTGGGAGGTCGAAGTGGGAGGATGCCTTGAACCCAGCAGTTCAAGACCAGCCTGGGCAACGTGGTGAAACCCGGACGCTACAAAAAAAATCAAAAAATTAGCCAGGCATAGTGGTGCATGCCTGTAGTCTTAGCTACTTAGGAGGCAGAGTTGGGATGATTGCTTGAATCCTGAGGTCAAAGTTACAATGAGCCGAGATTGTGCCACCGTATGCCAGCCTGGGCAACAGAGTGAGACTCCATCTCAAAAAAAAAAAAAAAAACCAAAAGAAGAAAACTTTATAGAAACTGACAGATAGTATATATTTTATAGAGTTTGGAGGCCATGCAATCATGGTTGCAGCTACTCAACTTTGCTTGTGTAATAAAGTAGCCATAGGCAATACATAAGTGAATGGCCATGGCTATGTTTCAATAAAACTTGATTTAAAATAGTGGTAGACCAGACTTGGCCCAACAGGCCATATTTTTCTAACCCCTAATCTAGGATTATTAGTAGCAAGTTATCATACCTTAGGTTGTGTTCAATTATGGAATAGATTTTTATAAGAAGATCGTTAAAACTATCCCATTGCAAAATCTGAGCATGACTTGCGCTTTGAAACTTTTAGTTTGAAATTAGTTGAAAAAGAATCACATTTTGCTACAGCACCTAATAAAATTAGGGTTGGTTGATGAGGCAAGAATGTAGTTGAATTCATTCATTTTCTGTCTTTCATTCACACATACACATGCATCTAGGCACTTACACACTAATACACCTGCAATTTTCTCTATCTAATACATCCTTACACGCTGTCATTTTATTGCTCTATAGCTATTTCATTTTTGTCTTTGTTTACAGCTTTGGGCTCTGCTGCATTTCATTATGCCAACATTATTTGATTCACATGAGGAATTTAATGAATGGTTTTCCAAGGACATTGAGAGCCATGCCGAAAACAAATCTGCTATTGATGAGAGTGAGTACTGTTATGAGCTGGCTTTCTATCTACCTATCAGTGTAGGCAACCACGTAATTGCATATTTTCTTTTATTTGAATAATTTTTCTTCCAGTATACATAGACAAATCAGCGGGGAAGAAAACCACATTTTTTGCTTATAAAATAATTTTGTTTTTTGTACATATTTAACAGTCAAAAAAGAACTAATTTAGATGATTACTACTGTAGTCTTGTCTAATCAAGGCAGATCAGGCTTGATTCATAAAGTATTATATTTTAGCTTGCAGAATTCACATTTCCCATTTAGATCTTGAAAAATTCATATTGGCCAGGCATGGTGGCTCACATCTGTAATCCCAGCACTTTGGGAGGCTAAGGTGGGCGGATCACGTTAGGTCAGGAGTTCAAGACCAACCTGGCCAACATGGTGAAACCCTGTCTCTACAAAAACGCAAAAATTAGCCGGGCATGATGGCGGGTACCTGTAATCCCAGCTACACGGGAGGCTGAGGCGGGTGAATCGCTTGAACCCAGGAGATGGAGTTTGCGGTGAGCCGAGATTGCATCATTGCACTCCAGCCTGGGTGATAGAGCCAGACTCCATCTCAAAAGAAAATTCATATTTAATTCTTTGTGGGTCAAATGGGTCAAATGCTATGGGTCTAATGGGTCAAAGCTTTTTTCCTGTGATAAAAACAGCAAATATTAGAAGGACCATTTTTGTTATTTTTCTCTATGTATTAGAATTTGTTTTCATTGTGAGCATTTTTAACCTTATCAATACTTTTGATATTGTTGAATAATATCTCTCTGATTTTAAGAGCATTCTGAAGTGTTTATTACACAGACATGAGCTTGCTCACTATTAGAAAAATCCTTATGTGATTTTACACTATGAGTTGTTAATTTGCTGACATCCTTTGGAAGGTAATTTTTGGGGAACACTGAGAGTCTCAGATAATTTTTCTTATACTTACAACCCTATTAGTGATAAAATGTCCCTAAAACCTAAAAATGAATTCTAATGAAAATAGAGCCTAGTATATTTATCCTGTTGACTATAGCAAGATGGTATAAAAAATTAAAATTCCTTGCTTTCCTACTTGGGAAAAAGTTTCAGTCTGCTTTTAGAGAATCATTGAGCCAAAGGAGTTTTGAAGAGTTTGGTGAGAGGTGAATGTGGTATTTGTTTCTGTTGTTTTTGTGAAATCACTATAATGTATTATTTGGGGGCCTCCCGGCATTTCAGATCAACTTTCTCGCTTACACATGATTTTGAAGCCATTTATGCTGAGGAGAATCAAGAAAGATGTGGAAAATGAATTATCTGACAAGGTAAGTAAAGAAGACCTCATGTGTTTAAGCCTCAATAGGCACCAACTTAAGATTCCAGGGGGAGAAATTTATTGATATATGTTTAGTTGAAGTTTGCTTGAAGGAAGACGTTTAAACTTGCATGGATCAAAGAGGACTTAAAATGAGGCAAATAATTGAGGAAAATAACATCTTTTTTTCTTTTTTTGAAATGCTTTTTACTGGAGAATTTGAAACATTACAAAAATAGAAAGATAGTATAATGAATCCCCTTGACCCATTGTTCCGTGACAATAATCATTAACTCTACCTCTCTCTTATTCAAAAGCAAATCCCAGATGTTTTATAAATGAATATTTGTTTATGAAGTATTTTCATGTATATTTCTAAAAGATTTGGTTTTTTTAAACACTGCCTAACCACATGCCATTATCACACCTATTTAAAAAGACCAGTTCCATGATAGCATCACGTATCTAGTCAGTGTTCAGATATCTCCAGTTGTCTTTGTGTGTCTGTCTCTCTTCTTCAAAGAATTAATTTGTAGCCGGGCACGGTGGCTCATGCCTGTAATCCCAGCACTTTGGGAGGCTGAGGTGGGCGGATCATGAGGTCAGGAAATCGAGACCATCCTGGCTAACACAGTGAAACCCCGTCTCTACTAAAAATACAAAAAATTAGCCAGGCATGGCAGCAGGCGCCTGTAGTCCCAGTTACTCGGGAGGCTGAGGCAGGAGAATGGCATGAATCTGGGAGGCGGAGCTTGCAGTGAGCCAAAATTGTGCCACTGCACTCCAGCCTGGGCGACAAAGCGAATGTCTGTCTCAAAAAAAAAATGTCAGAATAAGGATACAAGCAAGGTCCATACATAGCATTTGGATGGTCTGTCTCTCAGCATCTGGTTTGTTGTTTCTTTTGAGGCAGGTTCTTACTCCTTCACCCACACTGGAGTGCAGTGACACAATCTTGGCTTACTGTTGCCTTGACCACCTGGGCTCCAGTGATCCTCCCCTGTCAGCCTCCCAAGTAGCTGGGACTACAGGTGTGTGCCACAACACCTGGCTAATTTTTGTATTTTTTTTTTTTTTTTTTGTAGCGACCAGTTTTGCCATGTTCCCCATGCTGGTCTCAAACTGAGTTCAAAGGATTCACCCGCCTGGGCCTCTGAAAGTGCTAGGATTACAGGTGTGAGCCACTGTGCCCGACCTCTTAGTATCTTTTAATCTCTCCCTCCGTTTTTTCCCCTTGTATTTTTTTTTTTTTTTTTTTTTTTTTGTAAGACAAGGGCTCGCTCTGTCACCCATGGTGGAATGCAGTGGTGCAATCACGGCTCACTTCAGCTTTGACCTCCTTGGCTCAAGCAGTCCTCCCACCTCAGCTTCCCTAGTAGCTGGGTCTACAGGTGTACACCACCACACCTGGCTAATTTTTCATTTTTTTCTAGAGACAGGATCTTGCTATGTTGCCCAGACTAGTCTTGAACTCCTGGACTCCAGCAATCCTCCCACCTCAACCTCCCAGAGTGCTAGGACTATAAGCATGAGCCACCGTGCTGGACTTAAAAAATCAGGGATTGTATATATATCCTCTTCAAAGAGAGGAGTAGAACTGTACCTTTATTTAGTCTTTTTTTCTCAAAATCTTGATGGGTAGTTTTTTGAAATTGGCTGATTTTAGCTAATAAATAGCAATGTCACATAGATACAACTGAGAGAAGGAAAACATTTTATTTAAAAAATGAATCCCTAATGCATTTATATTTAAAGGGTCATGTAAACAATAGTTCATTGTTTAAAATTTTTTTTTTTTGAGACTGGATTTTTTACTCTGTCACCCAGGCTGGAATGCAGTAGCATGATCATGGCTAACTGCAGCCTCATACTCTAGGGTTCATGGGATCCCCCCACCTCAGCCTCCCTAGTAGATGGTACTATAGGTGCACACCACCATGCCTGGCTAATTTTTTATTTTTTATTTATTTTTTATTTTTTTGAGACTGAGTCTTGCTCTGTCGACCAGGCTGGAGTGCAGTGGCGCGATCTCAGCTCACTGCAACCTCCGCCTGCCGGATTCAAGCGACTCGCCTGCCTCAGCCTCCCTAGTAGCTGGGACTACAGGTGTGTACCACTAACGCCCAGCTAATTTTTGTATTTTTAGTAGAGATGAGGTTTCACCATGTTGGTTGGCCAGGATGGTCTCGATCTCTTGACTTCGTGATCCACCCACCTCGGCCTCCCAAAGTGCTGGGATTATAGGCATGAGCCACTATGCCCAGCCCTAATTTTTTATTTTTTAATTTTTATAGAGTCAGGGTCTCACTGTGTTGCCCAAGCTGGTCTCAGAACTCCTGGGCTCAAGCGATTCTCCTGCCTTGGCCTCCCAAAGTGCTGGGATTGCAGGTGTGAGTCAGTGCACCCAGCTAGTTCATGATTGTTGTTTAGTGCTACATAGAGAGGTGATCTGAAGATCTAGTATGGTTCCTAACCACTGTGTATAGTATGTGTTTCTTAAACATCATTTAGCGTTTCCTATCTTACTATAGTTTTGCTAGGGAAAGTTAGAGAAGGCATTAAAGCAAAGATGACATGTGAGCTAGGTTTCAAATGATGAGTTGGCATTTACTAGGAAAATATGGTGGGAATGGGGGGCTAGGCAACAAGGGCAGTGTGAGCAAAGATAGAGTAACATCGAAATATGCAGCCTGTTTTGGCTAATTTTCAGATCATTGTGGCTAAGTGGTATGTGAGGAGGTTATGATGATGAGAAACTCAGACAGTAAGGTAGGTTTGATTATGGGAGAACTTTCTTTTTTTTTTTTTTTGAGATGGAGTCTCATTCTGTCACCCAGGCTGGAGTGCAATGGTGCAATCTCGGCTCACTGCAACTTCTGCCTCCCGGGTTCAAGTGATTCTCCTGCCTCAGCCTCCTGAGTAGCTGGGATTAGAGGCACGTGGTACCACACCCTGCTAATTTTTGTATTTAGTAGAGATGGGGTTTCACTATGTTGGCCAGGCTGGTCTTGAACTCCTGACCTGTGATCTGCCTGCCTCGGCCTCCCAAAGTCCTGGGATTACAGGCGTGAGCCACTGCGTCCGGCCTGATTATTGGAGGCTTTCTTTGCTGAGATGAGAAGTTTCAACATTTTACTTTAGGCAAAAATGCACATTGAAGATTTTTCAGCAGTTGAATTCCTTTATAAGCTATATGTGGAAAGTATATCACAACCGGAAGAAACTGGAGGCAGGAAGACCACAAAATATTATCAGTCTATACTATATCAGATGAGGGCCAGCAGTAGGGCAATGGGTATGGTTAGAAAAGGTGGTAGATTTCCAAGCTGAATTGAAGGATTTAGGAAATACTAGAACATGAGGTGTGAGAGAGCATTCAGAGGTGAGTTAAGTTTGTCTTTCCCAACTGAAGGAATGGTAATGCTGTTAACCAATTTAGTAAATTGTGGAAAAGAGAACTGTTTTTCTGACACATCACATATGCCATTGCTGCAGACTGAGTGGTACTCTTAGAGTTAGTAGTTGCAGGTACTGGCCTGGGTTATGTTTGGGAATGTACTTTTGTATGTTACTGTGATGGGTGTTAGTTGGCACAGTTAGAAATGGAAGAAATTGCCCAGGGAAAGCAAATGGAATGAGTGATGAAGAGAAGAGGGCCAAGGAATATACATTTTTTTCTGAATGATTGTCCACATTCACAGGTTTATAGAGATACTGAGTTCACATATGTTTATTCTCAATCATAATATGGTTTGTGTGTGTTTTCAACTTTAAGCTGATGCTGAATTTTCTTAAAAACTACTTTTCCAAATATAAATGTTCTTATTGATTTTTAGATTGAGATTCTAATGTATTGCCAACTGACCAGCCGACAGAAGCTGCTATATCAGGCACTAAAGAACAAAATTTCCATTGAGGATTTATTGCAGTCTTCTATGGGCTCTACCCAACAAGCACAGAACACCACCAGCAGCCTCATGAATCTGGTCATGCAGTTTAGGAAGGTAAGAGCTTACGTCAGTTCCCTTGAAGTTTTGTTTTTTGTTTTTTGAGATAGAATTGTCTTGCTCTGTTGCCCAGGCTGGAGTGCAATGGCGTGATTTCGGCTCACTGCAACCTCTGGCTCCCAGGTTCAGGCAATTCTCCTGCCTCAGCCTCCCAAGGAGCTGAGACTACAGGAGCCTGCCACCACGCCTGGCTAATTTTTGTATTTTTAGTAGAGATGAGGCTTCCCCATGTTGGTCAGGCTGCTCTCAAACTCTTGGCCTCAAGGGATCCACCCGCCTCGGCCTCCCAAAGTGCTGGGTGAGCCACTGCGCCTGGCCTTGAAGTTGTCTTTATTAACCTTTTTCAAGAAAAACAGTCTATCCTTGATGCCAGATAAGCAAAGGCTATTAATGAGATGAAAATGGGAAAGTATCCATTCCCAAAGGTAAACATTTGGGATTTGGGATCCCCTGTCATTACGTATGATGTCTGCATGTGGTAATATTGTCTTACCATTTCCCTTCCTTTTAGGTGTGTAATCACCCGGAGTTATTTGAACGGCAAGAAACTTGGTCTCCATTTCATATTTCCCTAAAGCCATACCACATTTCAAAGTTTATCTACCGTCATGGACAGATCAGGGTCTTCAATCATTCACGAGACAGGTAGGGAAGTATTACTATCTGTTCACTATTAGTGTTTTATAATTTACAGTTTTATGGCTTAGTAGATAAATTTAGTGGAGAGAATATGAGTTCCCAGCAATGAGACATTTAAGCAAAGGGTGGACAACTATTTGTTGAGGGATCTTATGGAAGGAATTTGAGCACTGTTAAAACTTCAGCTAGGTGGCCTTAAAGGCCCTAGTCACTTCTGGTTCTTCTTTGAATCAGGAATGTGCACCAATTTGTAAATATGTACTTGCAGCAAGTATGCATATCTATGCCCCATTGCTGAAATTGGTTTGTGGTGGCTTACTTTACATTTGGAATTGCACTTGTGGGTGAACTGATTGTATTGTAAGTTAATCAAATTTACCTTTTTCTCAGAGTCAGCAACGATAAATTTAGTAAAGTTTGAAGTGGTTGTTAAGGTAATGCACTAGAGACGACTTCCATTCAGAAAATAGATGTGTGGTCCATTCCACACCTGTGAGTTAGTATGGCCCTGGCTTCTGAATTTTTAAACAAGTTCCCAGAGGTTTTTTCTGCATATCAACATTTGAGAACCATGGATTTAGAAAGCTGTTTTATAGAGAAACTCATCACCAATATTTAGTTTAATGAAACTGAAATTGAAACACATTTCTTGGATTTTACTTCATGAGTTATTTGTAGCTCCAGGTTAATATTTAACTTGAGCTGGGAGGAACAGGCCAGAGCTGTATTGCCTTTTGTTTAGTATGGTATATGATACCTTAGGGCACTAGAATTGTGATTCTCTGAAATAAAATGAGACTACTTTTAATTTGTATTATCTTCTTACACTTTCACTAAATATTTTGTATTTTTTTAAATGTATGCTATGATTTTTGCCTGGTAATATGGCAAGAAACTTCTTAAAAGTGAAACAGTTTCAAAACTAAAAGGTTTTACTTGCTATGGAACCTCTAGTCTAGTTAACTTTCCATTATTTATGTTTGGGTTTGGCTTTATTTTATTTACTTACTTTGCAGGTGGTTAAGGGTTCTTTCTCCATTTGCACCAGACTATATCCAACGGTCTCTCTTTCACAGAAAAGGTAGGTGTTTTGATCTTTGGGAAAGTAGGTTTGTCAGGGTTTTACCAGGATGCTCTTTGTTTTGCTGAGAGACTGATTTAGAACGAGTATTAGTTTTGCCTATATGGTAGGCCCTTATTTATAAAATCTTGATAAGATTTAATTAAGGAAATTAGTTATCTTTATAGGCTCTGTGATTTGTAGCTATGAGAGGAAAAAGTAGAAAATAGTATTATTGACTTTCCATCTTTATTTTATACCTGCCTTTCAAGAATTTCTTGCCCTTGAAACTTGACAAAGTCGGTGCTGGACTGTCTCATTAATGAGACTTCCTTCCGTCTTAGCCTAAGGAAAAGAAGCTACTCAGCTTTGCTCATTGTCCAAAATATTAAGGCCAAGGTTCAGAACCTTTCACCTCTGTCCTGTCCTTTTCTTTTTCCTAGCATTGGACAAAGAGAAGGCATTTAGGCAAGCATCCAAAAATCCCAAAGGTAATGTAGGAGCCATCTCTAGTCTGGTCCATATATATATGCCATATCTCATAGGCCTGCCTCTCTTATCTGTTATTGTAGTATAAAGGTGTGGCACCCTAACTTGCACCAAAGTGGCTAGATCAGAACCTTTAGAATAGTGTTTTTGTTCTTAAGTCAAAACTCAGCAGTTGAGCAGGCTTTAACTGAGCATCGTCTCTTGGTTTGCTGTTGGGTTTCAAATTGTCTTTTATATTTCAGGTATTAATGAAGAAAGCTGTTTCTCTTTCCTTCGCTTTATTGATATATCTCCAGCAGAAATGGCAAACCTTATGCTTCAGGGACTTTTGGCCAGGTGAGAGGTTTGCTTATTGCTTGATAAGAGGCCAGTTAGGAATAAATGGGATAGATATTGAATACTGTGGAATTAAATATTTAATATGATATCATCTTAGAGAACTTGTCATTAATTTTCTTTTGTTAAGAATAAAGTTTGTAGGCTGGGCACGGTGACTCATGCCTGTAATCCCAACACTTTGGGAGGCCGAGGCGGGTGGATCACCTGAGGTCGGCAGTTCAAGACCAGCCTGACCAACATGGAGAAACCCCATCTCTAAAAAATACAAAAGTAGCCGGACATGGTGGTGCATGCCTGTAATTCCAGCTACTTGGGAGGCTGAGGCAGGAGAATTGCTTGAACCTGGGAAGTGGAGGTTGCCGTGAGCTGAGATCATGCCATTGCACTCCAGCCTGGATCAGTTGAGGCCAGCCTGGATCAATTGAGGCAACAAGTTCAAAACTCCGTCTCAAGAAAAAAAAAAAAAATAGTACAGTTTGTTGACCAGGCCCAGGCGCAGTGGCTCACACTTGTAATCCCAGCACTTTGGGAGGCCAAGGTGGGTGGATCACTTAAGGTCAGGAGTTCAAGACCAGCCTGGCTAACATGGTGAAACCCCATTTCTACCAAAAATACAAAAATTAGCTGGGTGTGGTGGTACACCACTGTAGTCCCAGCTACTCGGGAGGCCGAGGCAGGAGAATTGCTTGAACCCAGGAGGTGGAGGTTGCAGTGAGTCAAGATCGCTCCACTGCGCTCCCACCTGGACAACAGAATGAGACTCGGTCTCAAAACAGAACAAAACAAACAAAAAGACTGTAATTTGTTATTCATAAGTGAATTGTACCTTTCTTTTGCTCATTTAGTAATTGTATGATGCTTCATAATATATCTTAAATAGGCCAGGCGCAGTGGCTCATGCCTGTAATCCAGCACTTTGGGAGGCCGAGGCAGGTGGGTCACCTGAGGTCAGGAGTTTGAGAGCAGCCTGGCCAACATGCTGAAACCCCGTCTGTAATAAAAACACAAAAATTAGCCAGGCATGGTGCCACGCGCCTGTTTCAGCTACTCAGGAGGCCGAGGTGGGAGAATCACTGGAACCCAGGAGGTGGAGGTTGCAGTGAGCCTAGATCATGCCATTGTACCCCAGCCCGGGCAACAGAACAAGAATATATATATATATATATATATATATATATATATATATATATATATATATGTATGTATACGCACACAGAGACACACACAGACACACACACACACAGACACACACACACCCCTTAAATATAAACTGTTTAGGCTTTTCTCCCATAATTTCTAGTAAGTCTTGTTTACTTGTTTCTACAGGGCAAACGGAGGCTGGTGATTCATTTAGTTAGTGATTGCAGCATAGCCTGCCTCAAGTGTTCTGGGAAGTTTAATTCTCTGTTCTCTGGTATAATGGTTCTCACTGATTTTATTACTTTTGATTTATGTAATCAGAAATGGTTATCTCCTTAATATGAAGGAATTTTTTTTTTTTCCCGAGATGAAGTCTCACTCGGTCGCCTAGGTTGGAGTGCAGTGGCTCGATTTTGGCTCACTGCAACCTCCGCTTCCTGGGTTCAAGTTATTCTCCTGCCTCAGCCTCCCAAGTAGCTGGGATTACAGGCGTGCACAACCACGCCTGGCTAATTTTTTGTATTCTTTTTTTTTTGTAGAGGTGAGGTTTCACCATTTTGGCCAGGCTGTTCCCGAACTCCTGGCCTCAATTGATCTGCCTGTCTCATTCTCCCAAAGTGCTGGGATTAAAGGTGTGAGCCACTGTGCCCGGCCAAGGTGAATTTTTTTTTTTTTTTTTTTTTGAGACAGAGTCTCGCTCTGTCGCCCAGGCTGGAGTACAATGGGGCAATCTCGGCTCACTGCAATCTCCATCTCCCAGGTTCAAGCGATTCTCATGCGTCAGCCTCCCAAGTAGCTGGTATTACAGGTGCCTGACACCACGCCCTTTTGTAGTTTTAGTAGAGACTGTATTTTGCCATCTAGGTCAGCCTGGTCTCAAACTCCTGACCTCAGATGTTCCACCTGCCTCGGCCTCCCAAAGTGTTGAAATTACAGGCGTGAGCCACTGCGCCTGGCAAATTTTTTTAAATACTGATAGGAGCTTTGCGGAGGATTTTAGTTTTCATAGTAGCAAACCATGTAATGCGAAATAATGTATCTGAAAGTAGGAAAGTAGGAAAGAACTGTTTCTAAAATGATAAAGATTTACAAAAGAGTTATGTTAATGAGAGACAATCCTTGCTGCTATGAACGACCCTCAAACCTCCATGGAGCACTGAATAAGCGTGTCTGCTGTGGTTTGTTTCAGATGGTTAGCTCTTTTCCTGTCTCTGAAAGCCTCCTACAGGCTCCATCAGCTACGCTCCTGGGGAGCGCCAGAAGGGGAGAGCCACCAGAGATACCTGAGGAACAAGGATTTCCTTCTTGGGGTTAATTTTCCACTCTCCTTTCCAAACCTTTGCAGCTGCCCTTTGTTAAAGGTAAGCAATTATTTGAGCATAAATTACCTACTTAGTATCTTCTTTCCTTTTCCTTGAATAAGTAAAAATAATAGTAAAGTAAATGAAGGCCTGAGAGAACCAAAAAGTTCCCAGAGGAGTGGGCGGTGCAGCATATTGAGTTCTAACTTAATTTACACTTTGTATATATATTTTTGAGTGTATTTATATTTTCAAAATGTTTTTTTTACAATACTGTGAAGTACACAGATCTTAAGTGTACAGCTCTGTGAATTTATATATGTGTATACACTTGTGTAACAACCACCTAGATCAATATATAGAATACTTCCAGCTCCCTCATGCTCCTTTCCGTTTAGTAGCTCTAGTTTAGAAAAAGACAAACCAACAATTAAAGGTAATTGCCATATTCTACTTCTGTCACCGTAGATTATTTTTGCCTGTTTGTGAACTTTATATAAATGGAATTATCTTGTATGTACTCTTTTGTAACTGGGATTTTTCACTCAGTATTGTTTATGAGATTTGTCCATGTCATATATAGCATTCTTTTTTTATGGCTATGAAGTATTACATTGTCTGAATGGACCACAATTTATTAATCTGTTCTACTGTGGTAGATATTTTGTTTGTTTCCAGTTCTAGGCTATTATGAATAAAACCCCTATGCACATTTGTCTACATGTTATTTGATGAATGCAAACACTCCTTTCTTTGGTGTTTATATCCAGGAATGGAATTGCTACACTGTCAAGTATAACCCTGTTTAGAGTTAGTAGCTTTTGCCAAACGTTTTTCTAAAATAGTTTTATAAATTTACATTTGCACCTACGGTATGTGAGATTTGCTATTATTCAGCATCCTCCACTACACCTGGGAATGGCAGTCTGTTTTGTTTTGTTTTGTTGTGTGACTCCTTATGAATAATCATTCCTTACAGTTTTAATTATTTTTGTGAATGTGTAGTGGCATCTCGTGATCTTGAATTATATTTCCATGAAAAGTAATGATGTTGTGTACAGTTTCATATAATTCTTGGCCCTTACAGAATAGTAGGTGACAAAGAAGGTGAAAGAAGGTGACAGGAACTGAAGTTATAGATGTAGGTCCAGGTCATATGGAACCTCATAAGAATTGCTGAGGGTTTGGAATTTATTCTGAGTGAAATGAGTAATGCTAGAGAGTTTTGAGAAGAGGAGTGACAGTTCTTTGTTATAGTCCTTCAGCTAGATTGAAGTTTAGAAACTAGGTCATTTTCCTTGTATCCTATAGAAAATGTTATGGGGTAGTTTTACAGTTACTGTTGTAGAATGAAGGACATTCTTTGGCTAGCTCATTCAGTATTTGCCCCCTGTACACTGAAAAGCTCACATGATTTCCTTCTCTTCTGTTTTCCCAGTTGGTTTCTTAAGCATTGCTTCATGTAATTTTTGGACTTTGGAGAGGGAATCAGTAATGCAAATTAATGTAATTGGATTCCAGCCTGTTTGGAGTAATGCTGTCAGTGGTGGCAGGGTGATTTCCTGCTGGTGAAATATTCCTAGTATGTCTACTGGGAACACTGGTATGTCTGAAGAGTTGCTTAATCTTCTGTAAAGATTAATTCCTTCTCTCAACCCCTAAATTTGGTAATATATGTTACTACTGTAATACATTTTTATCAGTTCTGCTTTTTATACAAAAAGCACCATTCTTCCAAGACATTGTTGTTCCCTGTTATATGGACACCTGCATTTTTCTTAACGCTAGAGATATGCATCACTCATTTGTATTCTTCTCTGTTTTCTGAAAATATTGTAGTATGTTCCAGAGCGTCTGCTTAGTGAGGTCCTTATATCAGTTAGAACCGTCTGAGAAATGCAGATGTGGGTAGTATGCTTTATGGGAAACTGGTCATAAAATATGTTTACGCAGTTGAAAGATTCACTTATATTTACTCATTTTAATTTGCTCTTGTAGTGGTTTAGAGTATACACTGAATTAATGAGCTATTGGGCCACGGGGAGCTGAAAGCTTATATATGTGTGGAGACACTGTTCTGCTTTCAATCTCATCATCCTTATCTCCAACATATGTATGTATATTGAAATACCAACCAAGTAGTGTATTTTGCTAGAGCTTATGGTTCTCATAATTAATGATAAGACTGTCAGCCGGGCGTGGTGGCTCACACCTGTAATCCCAGCACTTTTTGAGTCCGAGGCAGGCGGATCCCTTGAGGTCAGGAGTTCAAGACCAGCCTGGCCAACGTAGTGAAACCCCACATCTACTAAAAATACAAAAATTAGCTGGGTGTGGTGGCACACGCCTGTAATCCCAGCTACTCGGGAGGCTGAGGCATGAGAAACTCTTGAACACGGGAGGCTGAGGTTACAGTGAGTGGAGATCACACCACTGCACTCCAGCCTGGGTGACAGAGCGAGACTCCCTCTCAGAAAAAAGACTGTCAGTTTTAAAAGATCTCTGCTTTCAGGGCCAGGAGTGTTGGCTTGGGCCTGTAATCCTAGCACTTCGGAAGGCCAAGGTGAGAGTATCATTTGAGCCCAGGAGTTCAAGACCAGCCTAGGCAATATAGTGAGACCCCATATCTACTAAAAAATTTTAAAAATTAGGTGGGGCGTGGTGGCTTACCCTTGTAATCCCAGCACTTGGGGAGGATGAGGTGGGCGGATCCCTTGAGGTTAGGAATTCAAGACTAGCTTGGCCAATGGTGAAACCCTGTCTCTATTAAAAATACAAAAACAATTAGCCGGGTGTGGTGGCACATACCTGTAATCTCAGCTACTCAGGAGCCTGAGGTAGGAGAATCTCTTGAACCCGGAGGCAGAAGTTGCAGTGAGCTGAGATCATGCACCTGCACTCCAGCCTGGGCAACAGAGCAAGATTCTGTCTCAAAAAAAAAAAAAAAATTAAAAATTAAAAATTAGCCAAGCATGGTGGTGGGTGCCTGTAGTCCCAGCTACTCAGTAGTCTGAGGCAGGAGAATCCCTTGAACCCAGGATGTCAAGGCTGCAGTGAACCCTGAGTGCACCACTGTACTCCAGCCTCAGTGACAGAGCGAGACCCTGCCTCAAAAAAAAAAAAAAAAAAGGAAATCTTTCCTTTCAGCCAAGCAAAATGATCGTTAGATATTATCCACTCTTAAAGGTTAGCCTAGGTTCTGAATAAAGAACTAGAAGCCGGCTGGGTACAGTGGCTCATGCCTGTTAATCCCAGTACTTTGGGAGGCCAAGGCGGGCAGAGCACCTGAGGTCAGGAGTTCAAGACCAGCCTGGCCAATGTAGTGAAACCCCGTCTCTACTAAAAAAATACAAAAATTAGCTGGGCGTGGCGGTGTGCGCCTGTAATCCCAACTACTAGGGAGGCTGAGGCAGGAGAATTGCTTGAACCCAGGAGGTGGAGGTTGCAATGAGCCAAGATCGCGCCATTACACTCCAGCCTGGGGAACAGGAGCAAAACTCCGTCTCAAAAAAAGAAAGAAAAAAAAAAAAAAGAACTAGAAGCTCCAGGTGTAACAATTAACAACAATGTAGAGGCTAGGCATCGTGGCTCATTCCCGTAATTCCAGCACTTTGGGAGGCTGAGGCGGGATGATCGCTTGAGCCCAGGAGTTAGAGACCAGCCTGGCCAACATGACAAAACCCCATCTCTACCAGAAAAATACAAAAATTAGCCAAGCATGATGCCGTGTACCTGTAGTTCCAGCTACTTGGGAGGCTGAGGTGGGAGGATTGGAAGGCTGAGGTGGAAGGATCGCCTGAGCCCAGGAGGTTGAGGCTACAATAAACGGTGATCCCACCACTGCACTCTGAGCCTCGGAGAGTGACAGAGTGAGACCCTCTACGTCTTTGCAGGAATGTGGCATTGTCTGTCTCTTCATTTAAACTTTGTTGGGTAGTGGTGTCTTATTATGTCTTTAGTTAAATTTCTCCTGTGAAAATGATATTGAATACCTTTTCTGGTGTTTATTGGCCATTTGGATAATTGCCTTTATGAAATGTTTGTTCAGAATTCTTGTTTATTTTTCTATTGGGCTGACTGTATTTTTCTTATGATTTGTAGTTCTTTGTATATTACAAATATCTTCTACTCTGTAACTTTCTCATTTTCAGTGGTACCTTCCCCTGCCCACCCTTTTTTTTTTGAAACAGGATCTGAATTGTTCTGTTGCCCAGGCTGGAATGCACTGATGCAGTCGTAGCTCAGGATTAGGGTTAGGTTAGGGTTAGGTTTGCTGTGTTGTTCAGGCCGGCCTCGAACTCTGGCCTCAAACAATCCTCCGGCCTCAGCCTCCCAAAGTGCTGGGACTTAGGCATGACCCACTGCACCCAGCCTCAATGTTGTCTTCTGATGAATAGTGAATAATTTTTGTGTCCTGTTGAAGAATTCTTTGCCTCCAACAAATTCGCGAAGATAATTCTATTTCTCTCCATATCCCGTTTATTGAAAAGACCATTCTTACTGGACTGTAGCATCACTTGTCAAGCAGGTGTCTATATATGTGTTGGTCAGTTTCTGAACTCTGTTCTCTTCCATGAACCCATTTGACTATCCTTGAACCAGTGCTACTCTATCTTAATAAGTACAGCTTCACGGTAAGTCTTGATAACTGGTGCACAGATCCTCTGACTTTGCATTTCTTCTGTATTGTTTTGGCTGTTCTTAGCCCTTCGTGTATTCATGTAAATTTTAGAATTGGCATATAAATTTTATTTTATCATATTTTCTTTCCTTTTTTTTTGGTAGCAGCAGGGTCTCACTATGTTGTGTCCAGGCTGGTCTTGAACTCCTAGGCTTAAGCAGTTCTCCCACCTTGGTCTCCCAAAGTGCTGCGATCACAGTTGTGAGCCCGTGTACTCGGCTAAATCTTATTTTAATCTCACCTCTTTTTAGCAGTCTAGGTAGTATAGGTCAGTAGTCCCCAAATGTTTTGATTATGTTCCTCTGTAATAACAACATTCGTACTCTATTTCTCCAATGTCTGTATGCTATTTTGTTTTAAATTATATACATGTATTCACATATTAATATTTACATTGTGAAGTTTACGTGTGCCTACCTTGGAAACCACCGATGTGAGCAGTTTATTTGAGTAGGGAATGGTGGTAGAGTGGAGACTCAGTGTTTACTACAGAAGATATTCCTGTGTTTTACATGCTGTACATTGTTTTTCAAACTATTTTAAATTATTTGACCTCAAAGGTCCGTGGAGGGCATGGATTTGTATATCGTAAGTGCTTATCGATTGAATGAATCTCCAGTGTAGACTGTGATCTTTGGGAATTGTCTGGTGCTTCTTTTTTCATTGCTCTAGGCTACCTTCAGAACAGCCTTTTCCCAATGTTAGTCCAGTCCAGCAAGGAGAAACATACGTAATTAATGTTGTTTACAAACATATTACTGCATACCACAGTAGGCAAAGTGTGTTAACAATCATTATCCCTGTGCTGTATTTGGAAGAGTCACTCATGCACATATTGAAAATATACACTCATGCTTAAAAACACACACACACACTGAATGTGGTTCAAGATAAGACTTTAAATACTACACAATTAACTGCCTGAGTAATGGTAGATAATGAATGGTAGAGTTCAGATGGGAGAAGATCACTTTATAGAAATAGTATTGTTAAATTGGATCTAGGCCAGGTGTGGTGTTGGCTCATGCCTTTAATCTCAGTACTTTAGGAGGCTGAGGTGGGAGGATTGCTTGGAGCCAGGAGGCAAGACCAGCCTGGGCAACATAGTGAGACTGTGTCTCTAATTTTGAAAAAGTTGGATTTTGAGTGGTAGAGATTTGGATAGGAGGAACATAATTCCAAGTTAAGGATTTGAGCCAAAATAAAGGACAGTAATGACAGAAAAGTCTAGAAGGGTAAGTTTGGAAAGTCTTTGAATGCCACCCTATGCGGGTTTAGATAATAAGCTTGTCGTCCCAGCCCTATTTGTCTTACTTTCTTCAACAGATGCTTAAAGTTGTATTCCTCGGGGTCAAGTGTTGGTAGCCAATGTGAAGCCATGAGAAGTAGTATTCTGGTAGCAGGTTCAGTAAGGCTGCTAAATTACCAGAGTCATTATATCAAACCAGTTGGGATCTTTGTTATTTGTATTTTATGAAGATTAACCTCAGAGTGTGATATCAGGAAGAATGGAGGCAGCAATCCATGTTAAGGCAGATGTTAAGCAAAAGTTTCAAGTGTCAGGTACTAAAGACCCGATAGCAATGGTTGTAACAGAAAGATTATAGAAAAGGGATCAAGGGACTTTGATCAGTTTGGATATGGATGGGCACTGGAGATGGAAAAATTACTTCAAAAAGCCAGAGTTCAAGAGAGGATCCAGAGGGAATCTTAAGTTCCATATCAAGTTTAAAGCAAAAACTAAAGAGTGAGATTAAGAACTCTTTGATTGTGAGTACAGATTAAAAAGAGAAGGCAGAAGCCCAGTTGTAAGGATTTTTAGGGAGAAAGATCCTGGTTAGGAGGTGTAGAGAATGAGTATTGAAGTGTGACAGTTAAAAAGTAAGGTATTTCAGGAGGGGAGTTTGGTTTAAGTGAAAGTTGACTTTTTTAAGAGAAAAGAGTCTTGCAGATTTCACAACGAAAAGGGAAGATGTCGGGTGCAGTAGCTCATGCCTGTAATCCCAGCACTTTGGGAGGCTGAGGTGGGCGGATCACCTGAGGTCAGGAGACCAGCCTGGCAAACATGGCAAAACCCTGTCTCTACTAAAAATAAAAAAAACTAGCCAGGCATGGTGGCCTGTGGCTGTAATCCCAGCTACTACGGAGGCTGAGGCAGGAGAATCACTTGAAAACGGGAGACGAAGGTTGCAGTGAGCTGAGATCATGCCACTGCACTCCAGCCTGGACGACAAAGCAAGACTCCATCTCAAAAAAAAAAAAAAAAAAAAAGAAAAGGGAAGAGGGGCAAGAGAGGCATTTGGTGGGGGTGCGCAAGTTGGTTAACTACACTTTTTTTTTGAGACAGAGTCTTACTCTGTCGCCCAGGCTAAAGTGCAGTGGCACAATCTTGGCTCACTGCAACCTCTGCGTCCCGGGTTCAAGTGATTCTCCTGCCTCAGCCTCCTGAGTAGCTGGGACTACAGGCGTGCACCACCACTCCAAGCTAATTTTTGTATTTTTAGTAGAGGTGGGGTTTCGCCATGTGGGCCAGGCTGGTCTCGAACTCCTGGTCTCAAGTGATCCTCTCGCCTCGGCCTTTCAAAGTGCTGGGATTACAGGCGTGAGCCACCACACCCAGCCCAACTATACTTTTTAATAGGATGAAAAACTCTTGTGAATACTGGCAGGCTGTATAATTAACAGAAAGCTATTTCTCTGCCACAAAGAATGTTTTAAAATGTCCAGAACAACTAACACTAAGCTTAACATTATTTTATTTAATTAATTAATTTTTTTGGAGATGGAGTCTTGCTCTATTGCCCAGGCTCGAGTGCAGTGGCACGATATTGGCTCACTGCAACCTCTGCCTCCTGGGTTCAAAGTAGTCTCCTGCCTCAGCCTCCCAAGTAGGACTGCAGACATGTGCCAACACGCCCGGCTAATTTTTGTGTTTTTAGTAGAGATGGGGTTTCACCATGTTAGCCAGGCTGATCTCGAACTCCTGACCTCAGGTAGTTTCCCACCTCAGCTTCCCAGAGTGCTGGAATTATAGGCTTGAGCCATCGTGCCCGGCCTTAAGCTTAACATTAAAAAAAAAAAAAGTCCTATTAAGTGGTTCTCTTTCTCTCTCTTTTTGTTCTTTTTTCAAGTGAGAAATCAATCTATTTTTAGTTTTTGTTTTGTTTTGTTTTGTTTTTTGAGATAGAGTCTTGCTCTGTCACCCAGGCTGGAGTGCAGTGGAGTGACCTTGGCTCACTGTAACCTCCACCTCCCGGGTTTGAGCGATTCTCTTGCCTCAGCCTCCCAAGTAGCTGGGATTACAGGCATCTGCCACCACACCTGGCTAATTTTCGTATTTTTAGTAGAGAGACGGGGTTTTGCCATATTGGCTAGACTGATCTCAAACTCCTGATCTCAAGTAACCGGCCTGACCTCAAGTAACTGGCCTGCCTCGGCCTCCCAAAGTTCTGGGATTACAGTCGTGAGCCACCGTGCCTGGCTAAAACCAATTTAAATGTTTGGACATTTTATATAATTCATCTTCCCTTTGTGGTCTGGTTATTTTGGGCACTTTTAAGGTTAAATAAGTGTTTGCTGAATGACCTAGTGAATAATGGCACATTATATTAATGCACCAGTATTAATATTAATAACAATATTGGTGGATTGGTACTAATCTTTGGAACATGGTATGTATTAATCTGAGGGAATGTCTTCTAGCCTAAAATTAAAAGTACAGTTTTACTCTTAATATTTTAAATAGAATTTTGTGAAGAGCACTAACTTCTAGGGGTTTAGGGAAAGTGGGCAGGATAGGTAATCTGTTTGATCATTCATTGATCTTATTGCACTTAGTTATTTTTGCCCTGCATTTGATCTGAGAACTAGAGGTGACACGTTCCTTGGGTAGTAAGGAACACCAGAGAGAAGTGAATCTATAGAAACTTGCAATAGAGGTTGCTAATGAGCTCAACTATGGATTTTAGCCCCTGTAGTAGTAGTTATATAACATGTTATCTTAAAACCTAGAGACTAAAACAATAAACACTTGATATCTCACACTGTTTCTGTTGGCTGGGAACTTGGGAGCAGCTTAGCTATGTGGTTTTTTTGGGTTTTTTTTTTTTTTTTTTTTTTTTTTTTTCGAGAGAGAGTTGCACTCTGTTGCCCAGGCTGGAGTGCAGTGGTGCGATCTCGGCTCACTGCAACTTCCGCCTCCTGGGTTCCAGTGATTCTCCTGCCTCAGCCTCCTTGAGTAGCTGGGATTACAGGTGTGGGCCATCATGCCCAGCTAATTTTATGGGTTTTTTTGTTTTGTTTTGTTTTGTTTTTAAAGCAGAGATGGGGTTTCACCATGTTGACCAGACTGGTCTCAAACTCCTGGCCTCAAGTGATCTGCCCACCTTGGCCTCCCTGAGTGCTCCGATTACAGGTGTAAGCCAAGGCGCCAGACTTTTTTTTTTTTTTTTTTTTTTTTTTGAGACAGAGTCTCACTCTGTCCCCCAGATTGGAGTGCAGTGGTGTGATCTCGGCTCACTGCAACCTCCGCCTCCCAGTTTCACGCCATTCTCCTGCGTCAGCCTCCCGAGTAGCTGGGCCTACAGGTGCCCGCCACCACACCCAGCTAATTTTTTATATTTTTTAATAGAAACGGGGTTTCACCATGTTGGCCAGGATGGTCTTGATCTCCCGACCTCGTGATCCATCTGCCTCGGCCTCTCAAAGTGCTGGGATTACAGGCGTGAGCCACCGCGCCCGGTCTTTTTTTTTTTTTAGAGATGTAGTCTTGCTTTGTCACCCAGGCAAGAGCGTAGTGGTATAGTCATGGCTCACTACAACCTCCACCTTTGGGGCTCAAGCAGTCCTCCCACCTCAGCCTCTCAAGTAGCTGGGATTACAGGCAGGTGCCACTACACCCAGCTAATTTTTGGATTTTGGCCTCAAGGGATTCCCCTGCCTCAGCCTCCCAGAGTGTTAGGATCAGGTGTGAGCCATCACACCTGGCCAAGGAATTTGTGGCCATATAAAACTACCACAGCCCCTTATTTCCATGCTGATCCCATTATATCAGATATTTCATTATGAAATTTGTTTTGGATTTCCTGTTCTGAGATTCTGGCTTAGACTGTAGATGGTTCTGACTGTAGTACTAGTTCTTAACTAGTTTTTCAACTAGAAAGGATTTTGGACTCTATCCTTGTGCTCTGTTACCCGTGTTTCTTCACAGCAAATGTTAGCTGGGAAAGATAGTAACTATAGTATAATAACGAGGTTTCATTTTCAGCAGGGATTCTTTACTCATAAACTCTTAACTCCTTGTGAGCATTTTTTTTCTTTTCATTGCAAGCTCTGTATTTTCATTTAATTTGCCACATTAGTTCTGATTATGTAACTTTAATTATTTGGAAACATAATGCAGAAGAGAAGCAGTTCTCCAGTGAAGACAAATTATGTTTCAAGGTTTTAATGGAAGAGTATGCAAGTTGAACCCAGATTCCATGTTCCAGATCAGTCTTAAAAAGTTTGGGGTTATTCTTCGGCCAACAAACCTGAGAAGAGACATGGGGAAATGTAAAAGTTGGAAGGGGTCTCATCATTCTTTTTCTTACGAAATTCAAATAATATTTTAGACTAAAGCTCCTTTGGAGCTAACAAGTTAGTTTTGAGTTAATTTCCCCATATTCAGCTTTGTCATCTTAAGGCAGAAAATTTTTCATTCTGTTTCCTTCTACGCCTTCATTTGTTGTATAAAGAGAGTTATTGTTCCTGTAGCCTGTCTCCTAAATATAACTTCCTATCATCAGATCAAGGTAAAGACTTTGTTTTTCTTCCTCTGTGGAGACAGATCAGTGTTCACTTAGCTACATGTTGTCATATTGGTCTTGGTAAGCTGTGTGAGGTCACATACTACCTGAGCCATATTCAGCAGTCTAACCCAGTCCTCCCCTTCTTCTCTTACTCCCCAGGGAAAGGAATGAATCCAAACAGTGAGAAGCTCTCTTCTCCTTACCTCCCCCAACCCCATAATGTGCCTATAAAACCCTTGCACTCACCCACCCTATGGTGAAGATAAAATATGAATTTTTTGTTACAGAATCCAAAGAAGTACCATTCTTGTATTATTAGCTTCAGGATGATACACATAAACATCAAGAAGCTAAGAACTAGGCTAAGGACACAGATCGGTTGATACTTAGAGGTGTTTTGGATAAAGTTTTGGGTTTTTTTGTTTGTTTTTTGAGACAGAGTCTCGCTCTGTCACCAAGACTGGAGTGCAGTGGCACCATCTCAGCTCACTGCAAGCTCTGCCTCCCAGGTTCACGCCATTCTCCTGCCTCAGCCTCCCGAGAAGCTGGGACTACAGGCGCCTGCCACCACGCCCGGCTAATTTTTTTGTATTTTTTTTTTTAGTAGAGATAGGGTTTCTACTCTAGCGTTAGCCAGGATGGTCTTGATCTCCTGACCTCGTGATCCTCCCGCCTTGGCCTCCCAGAGTACTGGGATTACAGGCGTGAGCCACTGCGCCTGGCCTAAGTTTGGGGTTTTTAAAAAATCTCTTAATTGATGTGAATACTTTTCAGAGATTTCCTTCTCTTATGTTTGTAGAACAAAAACTAGCATGGCTCCCTGTATTCTACTTAATTTTCTTGTGTTCTACCCTGCATTGCTATTAAGAATTTCAGGAATGAGTAGATTTGGGTCAGAACTTTCGCACACCTTCCCTGCACACTGTGGTACCTCTGGCCAGAGTTATTTTCTTACACTGTTTTGCAGTGGATAAAGAGTGTGATTTTGTTTGTTTGTTTGTTTTGAGACAGGGTCTCACTCTGTCTCTCTACTCAAGGAGGCTGAGGTGGGAGGATCCCTTGAGTCCAGGAGTTTGAGATTACAGTGAGCTATGATCACACTACTGCACCCCAGCCTGGGTAACGAGATTGTGTCTCCAAAAAAAAAAAAAAAAAATTCTGATTCAGGCAGCAGAGATAGAAAAATAAAATTTTATTTTGCTTAGAAGAATAAAGACAAAAAAGAGAGCCTGTCGTAAATATGCCATTTAGTTATCTTTCTTGGGGCAGAACAGATTTGAGTCTATTCCAATTAAATGTCATGTTAAAAATTAAAAATGATGGTTGGCAGACACAGAGTACAGTACCAGTATTGATTCTGTCTCCTGTCTGTCTCATTGAAACTGTTGTCATGGTAATGGTCTACTTATGCATAGTACGTGCTGAAAGTTTTTTTTGTTTGTTTTTTTGTTGTTGTTGTTGAGACGGAGTCTCTGTCACCCAGGCTGGAGTGCAATGGTGTGGTCTTGGCTCACTGCAACCTCCGCCTCCCGGGTTCAAGTGATTCTCCTGCCTCAGCCTCCTGAGTAGCTGGGACTATAGGCGCATGCCACCACCCCTGGCTAATTTTTGTGTTTGTAGTAGAGACGGGGTTTCATTATGTTGGCCAGGCTGGTTTCGAACTCCTGACCTCGTGATCCGCCCTCCTCAGCCGCCCAGAGTGCTGGGATTACAGGCATGAGCTACCACGCCTGGCCTGAACATTTTATATACTCTACAGTTCTAGTGAGTCAAGTGACTCCTAAAAATCGGGGGCATTTCAGATTTTGCAATTTAAAATACACAAAGGTTCTAAACATAGAGTTGTTTTGAAGAGAGTGGCATATGTTGAAGTTTTAAACACTATTCTGTATTAAATCCTTAGAGTTTTTTGACGGGCTATTGATTGAAGATTTCACCCCCCAAACAGGAAGTTTTCAAAAACTCTTCCACTAAATGTTAGTTTTCAGCTACAGTACCTGTATCTATATCATCATTTCCTGAGATCGTGAGTGCTGCAAATGCCCCTTATGGAAAGCTCTGGGAAACTATTGTGTTTCTCTGCATTAATTTTCCCTCTTTTTGTTTGGATGCTTAAAATATCCATGGAAATATAATCCGTATAATCTAAGAGCTGATTTATCAACACTGTGCTGTTTCATTTAAAGTGAAACTTTTTCCTCTGTATCTAAATTTGACATGCTCTTTAAGAAAAGATGTAGAAAGCTAATTTTGAGTACTGGAGACCTAAATTTTTAACATAAGCATTTTTAATTTTAAATAAAACATGTAGTACAAAGCATGACCTCTTATTAAATGAGTAAGTCTAGGTCTGAGGGAAAAACATCGGTGTGTTTTCTGTGCTGTGCTGTGCTGTGCTGTGCTGTGCTGTGCTGTGCTGTCCTGTGCTGTCCTGTGCTGTGCTGTGCTGTGCTGTGCTGTGCTGTGCTGTGCTGTGCTGTGCTGTGCTGTGCTGTCCTGTGCTGTGCTGTGCTGTGCTGTGCTGTGCTGTCCTGTGCTGTGCTGTGCTGTGCTGTGCTGTGCTGTGCTGTGCTGTGCTGTGGCAAGGAGTATGCAGCTATGGAGCCTGTCATCCTGGCCTATTTATTTTCACTTGAGACTTTTGTATGGTGCGAAAAGAGTCTTTAGAAAAGGCTGACTTCACTACTGTGTGCATATTATAGTCCTGGCGGCAAGACGCACACATCTGCCAGTGCTTCCGGGGTAATGAGACATTCAAGAGCATGAGAAAGGGACAGAAGAATAGCAAAAGCTGTGACCACGTGAAAACCAGGTCAAATTCCCCATAGTATGGCATTCTCCCTCCCTTCCTCCCTTCCTCCCTTCCTCCCTTCCTCCCTCCTCCCTTCCTCCCTCCCTCCCTCCCTTCCTCCCTTCCTCCCTTCCTCCCTTCCTCCCTTCCTCCCTCCTCCCTTCCTCCCTTCTCCTTCCTCCCTTCCCCTTCCTTCCTTCTCCTTCCTCCCCTCCCTCTCTCCTTCTCTCCCTCCTTCCCTCTCTTTTCCTTCCCCTCCTTTCCTTCTTTCTTTCTCCCTCTTCCCTTCTCTTTCACTTTTCTTCTTTCTTTCTTTCATGACCAAGTTAGACTAAAGAAGTAATGAACAAACTTTCTTTTCTATCTACAATATTGCTTAAGGTATTCTTTGTATTCTTCCATGTCAGGCATACATTTTTCTATATCTAGCAATGTCTAGCAGTTCATGTTGCTACATGAAGGGAAATTGGATAGTGTGGTGGTACCAAGGTTCACATATACTAAACCAGATTTGATGGAACTAATGTTAAGAGAAAAGAATCTAGAAAAGTATATATTGGGTAAAACATTCTAGGGGTAGTCAGGGTTTCTCTAAAGTTGAGGCTATATGTTGAGCATTTTGAACATAGTTATTATTTTTTAAAACCTGGAATCAGAAAGCTATACATCACCTTGACTTAGCAACTTCAATGAGAATACTATTTTAACCCAGCTCATAAAAAATAAGTGAATGAGCCAGGCACAGTGGCTCACGCCTGTAATCCCAGCACTTTGGGAGGCCAAGGTGGACGGATCATGAGGTCAGGAGTTTGAGACCAGCCGGGCCAATATGGTGAAACCCCATCTCTACTGAAAATACAAAAATTAGCCAGGTGTGGCGCACACCTGTAATCCCAGCTACTCGGGAGGCTGAGGCAGGAGAATTGCTTGAACCCTGGAGGCAGAGGCTGCAGTGAGATAAGATCACACCACTGTACTCCAGCCTGGGCTACAGAGTGAGACTCTGTCTCCAAAAGAAATAAAATAAAATAAGTGAATGTTGGCCAGGTGTGGTGGCTCATGCCTATAATCCCAGCACTTTGGGAGGCTGAGGAGAGGGGATCACTTGTGGCCAGGAGTTCAAGACCAGCCTGGCCAACATGGTGAAACCCCATCACTACTAAAAATACAAAAATTAAAGGCGTGGTGGTGCGCACCTGTAGGCCCACCTACTCAGGAGGCTGAGGTGGGAGAATCGCTTGAACCTGGGAAGGCAGAGGTTACAGTGAGCCGAGATCGCACCACTGCACTCCAGCCTGGGTGACAGAGAAAGACTCTGTCCCAAAAATAAAAATAAATGAATGTGTTCTAATTTGGGAATGACCACCCCTGGGAATAGAATTATTGCTAGTCAGACTTTTTCCAGAAAGGTAATAACAAATAATGTGCTTTGTTAAAAGAACTCCCTATGGTGAGTTGTATTCTTTTCTTAGTAATAACTACAGTGCTGAAGAGAAGATAATTGGAGGAAATGTTCATTCTTTTATTTTCTACCTTTATATTATTGGAACAAAGTAAGAAACAGGTTTCTGTTGAATTTTGAATTTTAGAATACTCAAAATGAAGATGAATTAATGCGATACCTGATAGAGACATTATTTAGTGACTGGTCTGTAGAAGTTAGTAAGAATTCAGAAGTCTTCAGGTCAGCTACTGCTGCTGCCTCAGCCATCTGCCCAGGAATGGTCTGATTGACAGTGGATGTCCCAGCTGGCAGCCCTGAACTACTACTTAGCTGGCGGTGATGAGCAGAAGTTGCTAGACTTGTCATCTCTCCTCCCCAGTGAGGGAGCAAGATGGGCTACTGCTGATGTCAGAAATGCACTTTCAGGAAACAAACAAAAAACGTGGCTACATCTTTTTACCTTTTTCCTCCTAATTATTCAGTATTGGAAGAACAGTCTGACACCTAGCCTGCTAATCTTTGTAACGATACTCATGTTAGACATTCAAGTGATAATGGGCATAAACATGTAGAGAGATAATGAACTTCAACGGAGATGCTACCCAAAATCAAGATGGGAACACAGATGTTATTGAAAAGCTGTCAGAATGTTAAAATTCTTCTTTGGGTAATGACAGGGACCTCAACATTTAGAGAAAAGGCCAAACATATCATAGCTACATGGGCCTAGCAGTATATCAAATGTTGTAAACACTTCTGTAGTCTGTAGTCAGAAACCACCTAAAGACAGCCCAGCTATCCTGGAAAATAGCTATAGTCTTCAAATTGTTGATGACAGTTATTTAGAAGATGCTGATTGGTTCAGGGAAACAGATAACAGTGCATATGTCGTACTAGACAACTTGAGATCACTGCTTTCAAACTATGAGCCTTAAGAACCCATTTCCTTACAGAGATGTAAGCCCTGTGGAAAATAAAGCTGTATAAGTGGAAGAGCAGGATATGAGCTGAACAAATTATCCTCAGAGTGATTTGGTACTGGTATTATAACTATTATTCTCTTACAGAGGATCCAGGTTGCTGTTCTGATCTTGCAGTTTGTATTCTTGACCTTACAACAATGTATAAATTAGACTGCCTTGTATGTTATCTTCATCTACATGGTTATTTTGGTCATCAACCTGCCTTATTGAGATATCAGTAAAACAAATAAGAATGCAGATCCAAAGATAAAACGAATAACATACTGAGGAAGGAACTTCTGCATTTCTTATATAGAACACCATGTCCCACTGAGGAGTGATTTGTATGTGAACATTTCATACTTAAAATCTTTCATATGACTGGCTGTGACCTGAAGCTGTAACATGAGTTATGAAGTCTGTTAAAATACTTTTTTTTTTTGGGACGGAATTTCACTCTTTCACCCAGCTGGAGTGCAATGGTGCGATCTCAGCTCACTGCAACCTCCGCCTCCTGGGTTCAAACGATTCCCCTGCCTCAGCCTCCTGAGTAGCTGGGATTACAGGCATCCGCCACCATGCTGGCTAATTTCTGTATTTTTAGTAGAGACAGAGTTTCGCCATGTTGGCCAGGCTAGTCTCAAACCCCTGACCTCAGGTGATCACCTAAAGGTGATCCCGGCCTAAAATACATTTTTGATACGGCAACATAAGTGAACAATAAATATATTTTAAATGGTTGTCAGAGGCACTAAAGAGATAGAATTTCCTGTTACTGACCCCTTGTATTGATTACTCTGAATAAATTAATAAGAAAACAAATGGTGCTAAACTGCCTTAAAGAAAAATTTAGAAGGAAATTGCCAGGTGCAGTGGCTCATGCCTGTAATCCCAGCACTTTGGGAGGCCAAGGCAGGCGGATCACCTGAGGTCAGGAGTTCGAGACCAGCCTGGCCAACATGGTGAAACCCTGTCTCTACCAAAAATGCAACAATTTGCCAGGTGTGGTGGTGCACGCCTGTAGTCGCAACTACTCGGGAGGATGAGGCATGAGAATAGCTTGAATCTGGGAGGTGGAGGTTGCAGTGAGCTGAGGTCATGCCACTGTACTCTAGCCTAGGTGACAGAGCAAGACTGTGTCTCAAAAAAAAAAAAATTTAGAAGGAAATTGTGTTGGTCATCATTGTTTTCAACACAAGACATGAGTTTGCATCCACAGTGCAACAGATGAACCAAACTTCCCCTGACATTCCCATACAAGTGATTTGTCTAATGAAGTTTTGCTGTGCCTGTTTTTGATTAACAATATCTCTTCCAGAAAAAGGTAGAATTATAAATGACAGTTGTTTAAGGTATATTAATAAAACCACATTTTGAAATTAACATGGGCTTCAACTGTATTATATACTTGGTTCTAATTAGTGGTTGTTTATTAGAATTAATAGTATTTACAGGGAAGAAAGCTCTTAAAGTTAGATGTTTAATATGTGGCTTTTTTTTTCATTTTGCTTACATTAAACATAATTATAGTTGGCATTCATTTGCATTTTTATTTTGCAGTCTCTTGTTTTCAGCAGCCACTGTAAAGCAGTGAGTGGCTACTCAGACCAGGTTGTCCATCAGCGGAGATCAGCTACCTCCTCGCTGCGTCGCTGCCTGCTCACTGAGCTGCCATCTTTTTTGTGTGTGGCCAGTCCACGAGTAAGTGCTCCAGGAGGGAAGAGATGAAATAGATGGCAATAGGAGAAATAAACCAATTTTTAAGGGATTTATTTCTTAAACAGAATTGTTTTAAACTATTTGGACTTTAAGAAACATATAAATTCTAGTATTTTAAAATGTGGGCATTTGTGATTCTGGCCTGCCCCAGACAACACTTATATTCACCTTCATTTGTTGATTTAAGAATAGTTGTATGGTCGATAGCTTCTTTTTATTTAGTCAGGGGCTCTAAACTATAGTGGGAATAAACCATCTGTCAGGTAGAATATATATCACCCAATAGCAGGGTCGGGGCGAGGGAACCATTTGTCACCTGTGTTGAGGTTTTGAGGGTTTTCATGAGAGGGCGTCAGATTGGTAAGGATTGGGGGAGATTTGATCCGGTCATATCACCTCAGTACAGTCTCCAGATAACAAAAGGAAACATAACACTCCAGCATCAAGAACCTTCTCAGTGTTGTGTTTTCTTGCTTTCCAAAGCAGCCTCACTTGGACTGTCATTCACATGTCTGTTCCATCTGAAAAGTGACTGTTGTATCTTCTTTGCTATTCACCATTTGTCCACTGTTGTTTGCAGATTGGGCTTAGTTTCTATTGTGGTTTCAACTTTAGCAGTTGTCTGCATCCTTCCTAATACCCTGTTTATCAAAATAGAGCCCTCTTGCCATTGCTGACAAGCATTGCTGGAAAGGCTTTAATTGGCACACTGGGGTTATTTACTTTGCCTACATCTTCCATCCTCTTTTTTATCCATGTTGATCAGAGCCAGAGAAAAGATCTACCAAGAAGGGAAATAATCGAACTGTGGCCAGGTTCTGTGGTTAGAGCCAAGAATGAATTTCTGTCTTCCCAGTTCATTTCTTTTTGCTCCAAGAGGCAACTTTCCGTTAGCCAGGAAGCTCTAAGAGGTTGACATTTCTTACCCTTTTATGTTTTTCTCTTGTTTCTCCACTCATCTTAGCAAGTGTACTGTTTTTACAGGTTTGTTGGTTTTTTTTGTTTTTGTTTTTTTTAATGCTTTTGAGACAGGGTTTCACTCTGTTACCCAGCCTGGAGTGCAGTGGCATTATTTCAGCTCACTGCAACCTCAACCTCCTGGGCTCAAGTGATCCTCCCACCTCAGCCTCCCAAGTAGCTGGGACTACAGGTGCGCACCACCGCTCCTGGCTACTTTTTAAATTTTTTGTAAAGACGAGGTTTTGTCATGTCGCCCAGGCTATTCTCCAACTCCTGAGTTCAAGCTATCTACCTGTCTTGGCCTCCCAAAGTGCTGGGATCACAGATGTGAGCCACCGTGCCCAGCCTGTTTTCACAGTTCTATTAAAAGAAGAAGGAGCCTTTTCTGTCTCCCTTGTTAATATTTTTCTACCATTATTTTTTATCAGCTTGCGTTCTTTATTCAGTTTATCAAAAGACAGAATCTGACAGGGGACCCCTAGAAAGATGATGAATCCTGTTGACTCCTGCCTGCCTAGATTTCTGTCTGCTGCTCCTGTGCTATATGAGTTTAATTCCCTTGTCACTATCAACTTTGTTTGGTTTATACTGGCTATCCAGAAAGTATTTGGATTTTGTACATATCCTGTTCTTCCAAAGTATTCTTGGTCTCAGAAGCTTAAGTTAGTGCAGGGAAATGCACTTTTTCTAGGAAGCATTTAAAGCCAAGAGCTTCCATAGAAGGCAGGCTTCAGTCTTTCATGGTTGTGTGGTTGGTTTTGTTCTCTTAGTATGATAGGTGTATACCAAGAGACCTAATAAAAGGAAGTTTAGATTTCTGAGAGAGGCACATCAAGTCTTTTTAACTTCTCCTGTTCCCAGTGTTTTGTTTTTTGGTTGTTGGGGTTTTTTGTTTTTGTTTTTGAGATG
This sequence comes from Homo sapiens, assembly GCF_000001405.40. Lineage (NCBI taxonomy): Eukaryota > Metazoa > Chordata > Mammalia > Primates > Hominidae > Homo > Homo sapiens. The sequence continues at coordinate 41,025,708 of NC_000015.10, read as the reverse complement.
GAGCCTTGCTCTCTCACCCAGGCTGGAGTGCAGTGACACAACCTTGGTTGAATGCAGCCTTCGCCTCCCAGGTTCAAGCAATTATCGTGCCTCAGCCCCCCAGGTAGCTGGGATTACAGGTGCATGCCATCACGCCCAGCTCATTTTTGTATTTTTAGTAGAGACAGGGTTTCACCATGTTAGCCAGGCTGGGCTCGAACTCCTAACCTCATGTGATCCTCCTGCCTAAGCCTCCCAAAGTGCTGGGATTACAGGCCTGAGCCACTGTGCCCAGCCTGTTCCCAGTGTTTAAAGAGCCAATAAAGATGAGCTCTCTTGGCCTGTAATTGTATTTATTTGTTGACCTGAAAGTTCTTCATTTTTTACCACTTGGAGCTCCCCAAATATCTATAACCCACCACTCTCAAGAACAGTCCCACTCTCTCACACATGCATGCCCCATCTATACTACTTCAGTATTGTTTTTAGAGGAGCCAGAAATCCCAGCTACCATGCCTGCTGCTGCTGTTTCTCTCAAGAAAAGTAAATGTAGCTTGAGGAAAACTCTAATTGCTGTGAACATGTGTTGGCAAGCAGGGAGCAGGAGAAAGCTTTTATCGTTTGGCTGAAAGGGTGCTCCTTTCCCACTTGGCCCCTCCCATGTTTGTAGAGTTTCTTTACATAGTATGTGCTAAACCTGAAAATGGGAGTAATTACACCGTGATTATTAGGAGGACAGGAAGAAGAGTTTAGATATCTCTATTTCATACACAGATCTACAACTTTTACCTTTCAGATCAGTCCTAGGGATTCAGATCAGTGAATAAGGCAAAATTTCATGAGATACCCTAATTATATCTTATATTGACTTCTAACCCATCTGTATTGGGGAGAGAGAAACTGATGTCCTTTGAAGCCAACCCTGGCCTTGAATTAGGCAAATTAATTTCTCTGACACATGCTATGAAAACTTGAGGGTTAGTTCAGGAAGAACTGTGCCACTATGGAAGGAATTATAGGAGCTGTTTTATCATTAGCTGAGGAAATAATTCTGCAGGGTTAATAAATTAAGGCCTTAGGAATTATTCTTACCAAAATACTGCAGCGCTTGGAGCGGTTACGCTTCCTTCAGCTAGAGCAGGAACATACGTGTCCTCAGGAAGGACGCGCTGAACGCTTAAGGGGGCAGCCCCTGAAGGTACTGTAGTTTCAGAGGTTAATGAAGCAAGAAAGGGGTTAGCTCCTGTAGGACGAGGGAGAGTATGCATTTTTTGTGGGGAGGGAAGAACGGTACGTCATGCTTCATCTCTCCTTCTGATCAAATCGGGAGGTCACTTGGGGTTAGCAGAATAGGGGGAGGCTGTCTGGGATACAGCTGACTTAGAAAGCAGGATTTACTCTAAGTATATTGGACATTTTTGCCCTCTTTTGGACCTCATAAGTACATTGCTTACATACTTACAACATGACATTGTATGATTCTGAATATATTAATATCTTGATCCTGGGCTCCTGGCCAAAGAAGCCTCTCAAAACACTGAAAAATATTTCACTAAGAACAGTGTCTTGCAAACCTCTTAAGCATTCAATCCTAGACCTGGAAGGGTATCATCAAAATGAAAATTGAAAAATAGATGAAAGTTTATAACTGGAAAAAGTTGTTTTGTTTTTAAACTATAAGAGTGCCTAGAAATGAATCCCAGGCAGAAAAACCATTTTTCCTGTTTCTCTGTTCTTTCATGCTGAGATTCTAGCTTTTGGCTTTTCATCTCGAGACTATGAGCCCAGAGTCTTTATGTATAATTCCAATATAAGTTCTGCTTTTTTACAAAATAAATAAATAAATAAAAATTTTTAAATCAAAACGGTTATCTGTGAGTATAAAAATTGGTCTGTATGAGGTTTTTTTGTTGTTTTTTTTTGTTTCTTTTTTTCGTTTTGTTTTGTTTTTTTTTTTTTTTGAGACAGAGTCTCACTCTGTCACCCAGGCTGGAGTGCAGTGGTGCAATCTCAGCTCACTGTAACCTCCACCTCTTGGATTCAAGTGATTCTCCCACCTCAGCCTCCAGAGTAGCAGAGATTACAGGCAGGCACCACCATGCCCAGCTAATTTTTGTATTTTTAGTAGAGACGGGGTTTCACCATGTTGGCCAGGCCAGTCTCGAACTCCTGACCTCAGGTGATTCACCCACCTCGGCCTCCCAAACTGCTGGGATTACAGGTGTGAGCCACCGCGCTTTAGTCTTACTAGAGAAGACTAAATATGCTTTACTTATCTAAGAGTATGCATGCTGTTCAAGACATATAGAACTGGTCATATTTCTATAGTCTAGACTTACTTTTTAAACTTTTTATAGAAGTATAGCTGCTATTAATTTTGCAGGTCTGCGACACACATCCTACATGGGAGATGTTTGCTCTGACCCACGATCTGCTGGGATACTGCCATGTCAAGTCATAGAAGGGAGAGAGACCCAATTTTCATCCACCTGCTTTGTATTCCTGTATTTATTTGCTTTCTTTTGGTCCATATTTATTTGCCCATGCTCATGTATTAGTGGGAAAAATGAATAAGTTGGAAGCAAGAAAACAAGTTCCTTCTTTTTTTAACTTTTTTTTTTTTTTTTTTGAGACAGTCTGTCACCCTGTTGCCCAGGCTGGAGTGCAGTGGCACAGTCTTGGCTCATTGCAACATCTGCCTCCTAGGTTCAAGCCATTCTTGTGCCTCAGCCTCCCAACTATCTGGGATTAGAGGTGAACGCCACCATGCCAGGCTAATTTTTGTATTTTTTGTAGAGATGGGGTTTTGCCATCTTGGCCAGGCTAGTCTTGAACTCCTGACCTTAGGCGATCTGCCACCTCAGCCTTCCAAAGTGCTGGGATTACAGGTGTGAGCCACCATGCTCAGCCGAAAACAAGTTCCTTTTGGAGAGGATAAAGGTGATATGAGATTCTAGTATTGTTTGGATAAACTATTTTTGTTGTGAACTGGTTTTGGAACTCCAGGCCCAGTTTGCTGTGACCCTCTGTAGTTTTGCATCTGGACCATAGATGGCACTGCTCCCTAGCAAACTCAGTTCAGCTTCATCTGCAAGCCAGAGTACTCTCTGGTTATTGGTAAATGATGCTCTTTCTGTCACGTTGGTACCCTCCAGAGGCACCTACAGCCCATGGTCAGCTGTTCATATGTCTCAAGGCAGTATTTCTCAAGGTTCAACTTGGGACGCTGGGGTGCTTGTCAAAAACATAGGTCTATTGGCCCCTCCCTCAGTTCTTCTGGTTCAAAATCTACACTTTTGGTCCGCTTCAAAGGAGGTCCTTATGTGTACCAAAACCTGACAGCCATTTCCCTAAAGCTTGATCAACACAAAAGGAGAAAAGTTAATAGCAAGATCAAGTTCCCTTGGTGCCTAACTTCCACGAAATGATAGAACTACCTAACTAGATACAGCCGGTGTTTTATGTTCTGATCTCTCCTGTGCTGTGGCCTTTGCTTCTCATACGCTGTTTCTCCCCATGTCTTAGTCTAGCTTTAGGGTTCTTCTGAGCAATTCTGCGTATGCAGATTGAGTATCTCTTATCCAAAAATCCCAAACCCAAAATGCTCCAATGAGCATTTCCTTAGTGCATCATGTAGGCACTCAAAGTTTTAGATTTTCAGATTAGGGATATTCAACCTGAAATGGGCTTTCAGCATATTTGTCAGCGTGGGCTTGACAGATAATCACAGCCTCCACATTTTAACAAAAGCTAGCCTTGTCATCTTCAAGTTCCTTACCAGTTGACTTCACAGGTATCTGAATACTGCCTATTAGAGTAGGAATAAACCCAGATAGCCAAAGAAGGATAAAATCTGTGTTTCTGAATTGGCAGGAGCCCTCTACTCCATCGAGTGAGCAGCAGCTGAGTGTTGTTTGGTTATACCTTGTATTGAGATAAGAATTTGTGTATAGCCTTTGGCCAAGCCAGGAAACAAATCTGCTACTCTCTGGCAATTGCTTCCCTACCCTCCCCTGCCTCCGCACTCCCCCTTCCCCAGTTTATGGCCTGAAAGAAAGTTTCTCTTCCATTAGGTTTGTCAGTCAGCAACCTGGTCAGGGAAGAGGAGAAAGCTGTTGATAAATTTGGGAGCTTTGCCACAAAAGCATTAAAGATGACTTCAAATATGCCAGGCCAATATTCTTTAGTTTTTAAATGAAGTCTGACTAGCTGCAGCTCCCTTTCTGGCATCACCATCATGCATATGGTTAAGAGAACTTTGCCAAGAACAATATCTAGCAGTGAAGGGGAGGTGGCAAAATGATCAGATATATATGCATATAATAGAGTTATTGCTGACCTGGTATTCTCATTTATCTGCAAACTCCAGCTCTCTTTGGATCTTTAGTTTGTTTGCAGGTTTCATTTTATAAGAGGTTGGCTTTTTATCTGGAAAAGCTCACTAAGTCATTCATTAGGGACAGCTTAGTGTGCCAGAACAGATATTTAAAACCACTAGTCTAAGAACTATCCACATTAGTCTGATTTCAAAGTTGAGGTTCCCAAAAGGCATAGTGTGTATGGACAACGTGAAAGAGCCATCTCATGTGAATCTTTAACTGCAGGTTACCGCAGTGCCATTGGATTCTTACTGCAATGACCGAAGTGCAGAATATGAAAGGCGAGTTCTGAAGGAAGGAGGGAGTCTGGCAGCCAAGCAGTGTTTGTTGAATGGGGCCCCTGAACTGGCTGCAGACTGGCTAAATAGACGATCACAGTTCTTCCCAGAGCCAGCTGGAGGTCTGTGGAGCATCAGACCTCAGAATGGCTGGTCTTTCATCAGGATTCCAGGTGAGTTCTCAATCCTCTTGGAATGTGTTCCTCGCTTTGGCAAGGGGAGAACCAGGGTTATCTTCATGTGGTCCTTTCAGATATTTGGAATTTACTGTTCTTGAGGTTTCTGCTTCCTTTTTTGGCCTTAGTAATTCATAGGTAAGAATATTAGTAATTTATGATGAGTGGAGAGAGAAATGTTTTTAGATTTGTGCTTAAATACACTCCTTTGACATGCTTACAGCTGAGAAAGAAATGCCACTCTTAAAAAAAAAAAGGTAGAAATAAACTTAGTAGGAAAGGCTCTAGGTTGAATGAGTACGGTTGTCTTGTGCCATTGCCAGTGGAATGAATGAGAATGTCGTCACTCACAGAAAGCCTCATTTAAATAGCATAAACAGTGTCCTACATGAAGCACTAGAGATCTGAATGATAACAAGAGGAAAAACAGTGCATTCTATGCCAAAATACTAGCAGATTCCCAGATCCCCTAGGGTCAAAGTCGGGGGTTGAAAGGAAACTAGGTTTTCATCTTTGCCTTAGTGAGACTACTTTTAAGGAAACTGAACACAGATAATTCATAGGCTCACGTTCTTTGCTTACACCTGCAGGCAAACTGGAATGGTAGCTTGGAGCTATAGTGTTAGTTTTGGTTGTCCAAAATCTCTGACATTTTGACTACATTCCTTTTTTTTTTGAGATGGAGTCCCGCTCTGTTGCCCAGGCTGGAGTGCAGTGGCGTGATCTCGGCTCACTGCAAGCCCCGCCTCCTGGGTTCAAGCCATTCTCCTGCCTCAGCCTTCCAAGTAGCTGGGACTACAGGCGCCCACCACCACGCCTGGCTAATTTTTTGTATTTTTAGTAGACATGGGGTTTCACTATGTTAGCCAGGATGGTCTCGATCTCCTGACCTCGTGATCTGCCTGCCTCAGCCTCCCAAAGTGCTGGGATTACAGGCGTGAGCCACCGCGCCCGGCCAACTATATCCCTTTTACTGGCATGTAATGGAAATAAACTAGAGCTAAGCATTCAACAGAGGTCTTCTTCTGTCTCTAAGAGATAACTGGATTCCAGTGTGTAAGGCCTGGTTTTTCCACTTTATTTTAACTTTGTCAAGTGTCAAGGGGTTTGCCCCAGCCTGTTAGTGCTTTGAGAACTCCAAGATGTCTTTCTGCGTATCTGAAGGCAGTATTACACATGGCCTTGTAGCTGACTTAAAGCACATGCAGTGAGTGGAAATATATTGTTTGAAAATCAGTGGGGGAACCTAAGTGTAAAGCAAGCTGGTAAGGAAACTACAGAATCCCAGGCAAGAGATGAGCACCGTTATTGAAAGAAGCAAGATAGCACCTTACTTCTTTTTTCTCCCTTCTTGGTTCTGGCTCCTAAGTTCCCATTACAGGAGTAGATGGCTTATTGCTGGCGTTGTGGGAATCTCTTGTGGCTTTTCCTGTTCTTTGAAAGAAAAATGGACCTTGTTTAAATAGCAGGAAGCGTCTGAGTTCTTTTTGCATCGATAAAAAGCACCAGCCTCACTGGCTGTTTACTGTGAGAACCAACCAGCTCCTCACCCCATTGTGCTCTGTAGACTAGCTGGGACAGGGCGGGGGTTGGGGGTGTCTCACTGGAACCCTTTATCATCTCTCTTTCCTTTATACTTTTACGTTTTCTCTTTCCCTGAGAAGGGTTGCTTCCATATTCCTTGAGAGACTGACCAAAATCTTCTGGGTTTCACACCTTTTCTTCTCCATGTTTCACCAGAAAGATGTACAATCCCTTCAAAAGTCCCCTTTCCTTGGAAAAATGAGATATTATTTAATCTTTTGCCCTAATTTTACTGCCATAGGCTACATTCTTTTTATCTCTGAACAGGATCTTACACCGTGGATGGTAAAAACCTGTGTCTAATGAAAGTACTATAGGATTGTAGGAAAGTTTGTAAGAGAGTAGGATAGGTTTGTTCATTTAAACATTTTTTAAGCTCCTGTTTTATTTTATTTATTTTTAACACCCAATGATCCAGAAAGCTCCTGTTTTAAAGAAGGGTCTGGGCACAGGTTTGACTTAGCAGAATCAGCTGGATTTCCAGAGAAGTGTGTTCCTTGTGTCTCTGTATCCTGCTTAGCGACAGGTGGAGCTCTTGTCCAGTGCAACTTAAGTGACTGCTAAAAACTTGGCTAACAAATACCAGCCCCAGAAGTCACTCTAGTGTGTTCAGAGAAAGAAACCTGTTTTTCCTGCATATCTTACTAAGGACAAATACTAGAGACTGATTTTCTCCATGCTCACCAGCAAATCAGAGATAGTGTTCATTTTGCTGAAGTGTTTTAAGGCTGTTGCTGAAGTGTTTCTTCTTAGTCATTTTCCTTCAGGGCAGTACAAAGAAGTCCAGTCCATCCACTTCTCCCTTCCCCACCTACACAATAACAAGATAACAAGCTGACAGCAGGTACCACTTCTTGCCTCCTTTAGTCATGTTAGAGTTCTGTCTTTATAAGTATATGCACATCTTTATTTCTGAGCTTTTCTAATCCTAGGAACAGTTCATTCTGATTAGCAAAGTAAAGTAGATGTGGGAGGCAGGACTGTTTGAAAACCATTGAATCATGATTTTGAAATAATTGAAGTTTCTCAAAATTCAGACATAAAACAAATTTTTATATGCATTAACATTTGTGCTAAGAGAGTATATCTAAATGGAGAAAGAAGATAAGCAGGCTACAGAAATCTTACGAACTTAGCTTGCCCACCCTCACTCAAGGGCTGAAAAATATGTGGTCTTTTTTTTTTTCACCTTGTGCTTTTAATGAGAACGGAAAGAAGTATGTCTAAAGCTGATTGGTAGCTCTGTGGTGAATGTTTAGGAGCTATCAAAATTGAGAGACCTTAGGGAATTCAATTACTGGAGAAGGGTAATTGTGGTAAGAATAAAACCTTAAAAGTTGTTATGAAAGCTTTGCTGCCTGCTCAGACTTGGAATTTATACAGTACTCCTTGTCTGGTGCCAGGGAGAGGGCTTAGCAGTCAATTCTGTCCCAGCTGCAGTCATTTGATTGTGTTGGTAAGGAGACCAACAAAAAGAAGAGCATTTCAATAATCTAAACAGGACCAAACAAAGAGACTGAACAAAGGTGTGTGCCACAGCTTCAGGGAGCGGGTGGTGGAAGGAGACATGGCCTGGCAGCATTCTGAAGGTGGGAAATGGCAGGCTGCAGTGCAGAGGGAGTAAACAGCCAGGACCTGTGGCTTTGTAGCAAAAACAGAGTGGCTGATGATTTGTTATGGTGCTGTCAGCACATCCGTTCTTGTTCCTTGTATACAATAATTGTGCATTTGGCAAATTGTGGCAAGAACAGAGAATGACTGTTGAGAACTTTTGGATTGCTGTCAACGGTCAGACTGTGGTTCTGAAGAAAAGCCATAGGTTCAAACCCAGAAACTGAGGAGGAACATTGTGTTTTTCTTTTAGTTGTTAGTTGTCTATATAATATCTCCATTCTTTCTCTCTCCCTTTTTGTGTCCTATGGCCACTTCCACATATACTCTTACCCAACCCCTTAAACCTAAACTCTTCCCCTCTTAATGACAGCAATTGTTCAGGGCATGTTTATGGACCAGTCTGCAAACAGGAAACTCTACTTCCTGAATATGATAGGAGTTAAATGATACTAACTGGATAAGATGAAAATTTGTGAGTTAAGTGTTCTTTAAAGATCTGTTGCTGAAATGCTTTTCTTGTGAGAAGAGGAAAGAGAAAGCACAAGTTAGTGAGTGAGAGGAGCTTCACTGCAGAGAAACTCAAAGTCAGTCTTTCTGAAAAGCCCTGCTTTCTTTATTGAATTAACATACAACTAGGGTTAACGACATTTACCAGTCAACCTATTTGCAGTCCTCCAAGAGAGCTAGTTTTGGGTTTAAAAAAAAAAAAGGGTAGGGGGGCTGGGTACCATGGCTCAGCACTTTAGGAGGCTGAGCTGGGAGGATCCCTTGAGCCCAGGAGTTCAAGACCAGCCTAGGCAATATGGCAATACCCTGTTTCTACAAAAAAAGAGAAACAAAATTAACTGGGTGTGATAGCTCACTTGTAGTCCAAGCTACTCAGGAGGCTGAGATGGGAGGATCACTTGAGCCCAGGAGGTCGAGGCTGCCATGAGCTGTCATTGCGCTGCTGCATTCCAGCCTGGGTGACAGAGTGGAACCCTGTCTTGAAAAAGGGAAAAAAAAGAGAGAGGTTATAAATCTCTTTGTTTACTTTTCTCCAAAGGCAGGTAGGATACGTTCTCAATGCTTTCAGAACTAGCAGAAACAGATATCTAGAGATAGGATGAACAAAGAAAAAACAAAATTTTCAGGTCACTTAACAGCAGATTGACATAGATGTCACCCATAGATGTCCATGTATACCTGGTGTCCTCTGAGTAAGGATGTGGAGCAGGGATGCTTTTAAGTGCCTTAAGAGCACATGTCTGATTGGGAGTGATCAGGGAATCTGCACTTCCCCCTTTGGGGATGTTTTTTCCCAGGGCACTCCTGGAGTCGTGATATTTTCAGGGCGTTGCATTCTCCCTTTAGAGCACTTTTCTGATCTCATGATGACAAGCATCTTGGTTTTAGTGATTGTGGTTGCATACAGCTTTGCATTGAGTGATTTTGTCGCTTCAATTAAATACAGTTCCCCCTCACCCCCTTTTCTTCTCCCCAGGCAAGGAGAGCCTCATCACTGACAGTGGAAAGCTGTATGCCCTTGATGTCCTGCTGACTCGGCTCAAGTCTCAAGGGCATAGGGTCCTTATCTACTCCCAGATGACCAGGATGATAGACCTACTGGAGGTAGGAGAGGGAATCTTGGGGACCTAGGATACCTTGACATTTAATTTGTAGGAATCAGATGTCCATGACTAATGTTAGTCCTGCTTAATGGGAGCCCCAAAACTCCCTTTTGTCTTTTTTCTTTTTCCTTTTTTTTTTTTTTTGAGACAGAGTCTCACTCTATCACCCAGGCTGGAGTGCAGTGATGCGATCTCGGCTCTGCAACCTCTGCCTTCCAGGTTCAAGGAATTCTTCTGCTCCAGTCTCCCGAGTAGCTGGGATTACAGGCGTGCACCACCACACTCAGCTCTTTTTTTTTTTTTTTTTTTTTTTTAAGTAGAGATGGGGTTTCGCCATGTTAGCCAGGCTGGTCTTGAACTCCTGGCCTCAAGTGATCCACCCACCTCAGCCTCTCAAAGAGTTGGGATTACAGGCATGAGCCACCACACGCAGCCCCCAAAACTCCTTTTTTTGATTTTACAATCTATAAAGGGAGCAGAGTTAGCTCCTGGCATGGGGAGTATGTGAAGGACTTCTGCCCCCTGCCCTACACCAGTGAAATAGAACACCCCTTACATCCTTTTACTAGGGAAGACATTTCTTAATTTTAAAGTAGGTCACAGCCTAGGAATCTAAAATTATGTATGGAAAACAAGATTTAGGATTAGTTCTCTGCGTAAAAAAGCAGAGAACAGCTATTCAACCTGAGTTAATATAGTGATTCTCAACTTGACTACATATCGCAATCACCTGAGAAGCTTTAAAAAAATATGGATTTCTAGTCCTATTTCCAGAGATTCTTATTTATTACATTTGAAATGAGGCCTGGGCATCAGGATATTTAAAAGGTCCTGGGGTGATTCTAATATGCAACCAGGCTTGACAGCTACTAAGTTAGTGGAAAAGATATGACTGTGCAAGGCAGCTTTTGTTTCTTTAATTGCTTCTTTGTTGAAGTTTTTCTTTTTCTTGTCTGAGTGGTGACTTATTTTTTAAGGGACAGGAGGTCACAGACCTAGAAACAGGAGAGTGAAAATGAGAACAGATAATCACAAACTAGTACAATAAGTCTTTATATAAATAAAGTTTGAGAGGCAGAAGTACCTGGTTGTCAGAAGTACATAAATGTTCTCATGTTTTTACATGTGTAAGGCTTCATACCCTCGCCCTGCTACACCAGGGAATCGTAATAAGTAAGTGGAAATTGTACTGTTATTTTCCTTATCTAGGAATAAAGCAATAGGGACCATATCAGTACAGAAGGAATGAAGGCTAGCATTAAGGAGGGTTTTCAGGCTTTTTGGAAGCCAAGATTGGCTTGTTGAATTTTGCAATGAATTTATCTGAAATCAGTGGGAGGTTTCTTTTAATAATCCGGCAACTTCTTTTAGCAAGAGACATAAATGATTTTTGGGGTCAGTTTCAGCACTAAGTCTTAGGTTTCATAGCCCCTTGAATGCTGTTGACAGACTAAACTCTCTGGTTTGTATTATGAGTAGGCCACTTATTCCTAAATGATGGAAGTGCTTATGAGTGAATGTAAGTCACCATAAGAGAGGTGATTAAGCTGTTGTGTTTGATGTATATATTAACTATGTTAAATATCCTAACAGTAGTAATCCAAAATAAAAGGACTGCCTGCATGTCTAGTGTTCTGTTCAAACAGATGATCCCAACAGCCAAAACAACATGAGTAACTTTTCCTGCAGTGGGGCTCTTTTTAGGTAAAGTGCACTTTCCTTGTCCTCAAGAGGCAGGGAAAGTATAGCTAAAGTAGTGATCTTCAGCTGCTAACAATTAAAGAAAAAGCAGTATGCTAAGGATACTGGTAAGGGACATAATGGTATTTCTTTTCCAAGACTATAGTCTTACATGTTGATTCATATGAAAGGAAAGTTCCAAGGGAATGTGAATGAGCAATCCAAAAATAAACTAGCTTCGGTAGGTGAAGGTGAGTGTAGGTGGTTTAAGTTTGATACAGCCTTTATTATAGTCCTTCCCTCGGTGTATCGCACACTTCTAGGTTCTCATTAAATATTACTAAAATAAGTAATTCAGAGTATGATAAGCTTTGTTCAGGATAAGTGCTGTAAACTCTACCCACCAGGATCACTTCCTCTCTATCTATAATCCAACAGTTATTTTTGGGTTATGGACCTAGTGGGTAGGTTTTGCAAACAAGCAGCTTGAGAACCTCTCTAAACATAGATGTATTTCTAAGGGGAATTCCAAATTAGGGAAATGCAAATTCAAAGCCTGAATTTCACAACTGCTGACATTGCTTAGCCATATGTATAACATGCATCTTGGATGTTGAAACCAGAAAATGTTGCAACTATTTGTATGTTTTAAAAACTAAAATGAAATTCTTCTCTGGTTTCCTTAATACTACACTAATGGTTCTTCCTTTAATTTCTTAAAGTTTATTCATTTTTAATTTGTTTTAATATTACCCACTCAAATGAACCACATTCTGTATTCCAGGAGATTAGTACTGAAATAGAATTTAATTTATGAGCATGGAATTACAATGCCCAAAGTGTTTACCATATATTTAATCATTGATTGAAATATAAACATATTGTACGACTTGAGATGGTGCAGCACTAGGTCTGCGTTTTTTTATCTTTGAAAGAGTGTTTTTCAGTCACTTTCATAATAGAAACTCTGAGTATTAACATTCATTAAAGCCATGTTTCAGCATTAAAGCATGACCTGGTACATGATCTTGCAGTGGGACCTTCTGAATAGATCCTGTCCATTGAGTATACTTGATCTTAAGAAAAAACACAAACTTAAGTCTCAAAATGTTGGTTGTTTTGTTTTTATTTCAGGATTTTCCTTTTTCTCTTGAAATCGTATACCCTCTTCAAAGAGAGAAAGAAATGCTTCCAATAGAGTAAGAGTTAGAAACTCACATTGCGGGTATCAAAGCTCTGTGTTGCTGTGGAGTATGTGAGCAACTCTCTTTCATCCAACAGCCTTTTTGGGTTTTTGTTGTGGTGGTTGTTGTTGTTGTTGTTGTTGTTGTTGTTATGTGCCTTAGCCATGGCTGGCTGTCTGTTTCTGGGACTTGGCAGAACTAGAAGACATTAAGAATTCACATACTTCTCTATGGCCAGGTTTCCATTCTGTGAGAAATACTAGTTTTGGACATTACTATTTGCACAGTATTTTTTAAAGTCATTGATCGCTTCCTTTTTCCCTTGGGTAAAAATCTGACTTTAAATTTCTTGTGTATATATCAGATCTTCTTCCAAATAGACTATATTCAGAAATGTTGTATTCTTTCACATGGCATCCAAATAGTAGTATTTCTAGATAGGGGATTTTTAAAAGGAGAGTGCTTTTGCTGTAACAAATGGGCACTAAGAAAAACAAAAATAGTGAAGAGGAGACTGCTTAATTTCCAAGCCAGGAGTTTTTAGTTTGCCACGGGCAGAAGCCAAGGACATAAATAGGTGAGGAAATCATAGATCAATAAATGTCATTATGAGTTTATTTTATATTTACTGAATCGCCTATAGGATCTTTTTTTTTTTTTTTTAAAAAGAGTCTCGCTCTGTCACCCAGGCTGGAGTGCAATGGCGGGATCTCAGCTCACTGCAACCTCCAGCTGCCGGGTTCAAGCAATTCTTCCTCAGCCTCCAGAGCAGCTGGGATTTCAGGCGCGCATCACCACGCCTGGCTAATTTTTGTATTTTTGTAGAGATGGGGTTTCACCATGTTGGCCAGGCTGGTCTCAAACTCCTGACCTCAAGTAATCCTCCCATCTTGGCCTCCCAAAGTGTTGGGATTACAGGCGTGAGCCACCACGCCTGGCCACCTATAGGATCTTGGCTGTTGGGCATACTAGGGGAACACATAATCCCTGTGCATTTGGGATGGTGGTATCCAGCTGGATGTCAGGCAGAACTTTTCCTGCTACCACCAGTTTTACCATGGTTAGGGACTCTTCTCTGTATTCTAGTAGCAAAGAGCTTTTAACTTATTACAGATGACTTATCTCTGAGTCTTCTCTTTTGAGTTTCATTCCTATTGCATCTAGCAACTGAGTTTGTAGTTTAAGGAAATAGGCCACTTGATACTTCCTATACAATAAAGAGTACTTGGAAAGAGTTAATCAGCTTATGCTATATGTGGTGTAATTGTTAAATACTGAAATCCAGACAAATCTTGAACTCTACCAACATATGATAATAGTGTAATATAGAATTAAATCCAGGTAATCCATACATAATGACATTTGAGACCCTGGGTTGTGTAACTTGCTCAGTCATCTATCCAAGCGCAGTGCCTCACTGGGGGAAGATTTATCCTGAGCAGACATTCTGTCATTTATGAGTTGGCCTCTCTTAGAAATGCAGGTTACCTTTGGAAGCTGTGATTCTGAAGATACTGGGAAGCTGGGTATTCTGAAAATGCCCCATGGAATGAAAAGCAAATTGGATTGGCACACTTGATATCTTAAGTTGCCTTCTTGGCCTTCTTCCAAGTGTACTTTACTTCCTTTCAAAAAAAAAAAAAGAAAGAAAATTGGGGCCACTGTTAACTAGAGTTCTTATTAGGTCTTAAGAATTGTAGAAGGAAATTTGTCAGCTTACAACCATGCTGTGTATAAGCTTTTTTAAATTCTTTTTTCCTCCATGCTACCTTTGAGCAAGGCATTAATGCTAGGCAGATGCAAATATTAGTTAGACGTGATGTTTGACTTTAAGGAATCTATTTAGTGGAGGAGACATATACATACACAAATACCTGTCAGTGTACCCTGATACTAATGTCAAAATGAAGCGTGAACAGAGCTGAGGATAGCAAGAAGGATATGTTTATTTCTAACTGAGTCACTCTTGAGGAAAGCATCACAAAGACAGTGGCATCTGAACTTAAGAACAAATAGAATTTCAACCATCAGGGAGAAAGGAATTTGAGACTAAGGAAGCCAGATGTAAAAAGAGAGATAGAAAGGTACAAGAGTAGTCCATTGTGACTGGAACATATGGCATAGAAGAAAGGGAAATAACAGGAGTAGGTTGAAGTCAGATTATTTTGGGCCCATGATTGCCTTTTGCTAGTCTTGCTCCAAAGGGCTCTGTATTAGATAAGGGAATTACGGCTGTCATATTTAACTCTTGGTTCAATTTGCTTGGACTGCAGAAAAATTGTAATAGAGTAGCCTTTTGCTAATGATATACCCCAAAAGATGGAAAACAGCATGTCCAAGAAAATAAAATTACATCAGATCTGCAGGTTTGTGGACCATATTGAGTCCTTCCCCTAAATTGTTTTATCAAAATGAAATCTGGTTAAAATGAAAGTCAGAGCCAGCTTTGGAATAGAAGTTTCAGAATGAAAGGTTGGTAATAGGATATATAAACATTTGCCTTTATTTTTTCAAGTGTCCAATTATCCTTTATGATGATGATAGATCAGGTTATGGACAGGATATATTAAGAACCTTAGGGTTAAATGGGGCTCCCTTTCTATTTTCATCTTAGTAGTACTGATCATCCCTTCCATCTGGGAAACAGTAGGAGGGTTAAGCCATGGACTCTGGAACCAATCTGCTTGAGTTTCAGTCCTAGGTCTGCCACCTACTGCCTGTGTCACTTTAGGGACCTTAACATCTGTAAGATAGGAGGGACAATAATAACACCTACCCTTACTATATACCCATGAAAATTAAAAATCTAAAAAAAAAAAATTTAAAAAGGAGGTGATTGGAAGCTGTTACAGAACAGATCATGAAGATTTTGATTGTGATCTCTGATCCTGGGGGAAAAAAAATTAAAAGAGAAATTAAAAAAATATTTAATAGCACCTACCTTAAAGGTTGCCATAATGATTGGATAAACATAACCAGGTAAAATAGAACAGTGACTGGCAGTTAGTGAATGCTCAGTAAAACTATCTTGAGTTATGCTGGCAGCTCTGTTTGCATGCCACTGATGTGGTGTGTGGATGTGATCTGTAAGTCCTACTTTTTAATCAGTGGCATGCAAGCAGAGCATTGTCTTCTCAACTTGTATAGTAAAACAGTGGTTTTCAGACTGATGGGATGTGTTAGAGGACCAGTAGATATTAAGCGGAGATGGCCACTCTTTATCAGTCAGGATAGCGATGCTTTTATCTATTTTATATATTAGAGGGGTTCCGTGTAAGAATTTGCTTGAAGAAAGTGTTCCGATGCTTTTAAAACAGGTATGTTTGGCCGGGCACAGTGGCTTACACCTGTAATCCTAGCACTTTGGAAGGCCAAGGGAGGAGAATCACTTGAGCCCAGGAGTTCAAGACCAGCCTGGACAACATAGCAAGACCCCCATCTCTATAAAAATTTAAATTTAAATTTAAAAATTAGCTGGGCATAGTAGTGCATGCCTATAGTTCCAACTACTTGGGAGGCTGAGGTGAGAGGATCATTTGAGCCCAGGAGGTCGAGGCTGCAGTGATCCAAGAAAACTATACTTCATCCTGTGCAATAGAGCAAGACCCTGCCTCAAAAACAAAACAAAACCAAAACGCATATGTCAGCCATAAAAAATGATGAGTTCATGTCCTTTGTAGGGACATGGATGAAATTGGAAATCATCATTCTCAGTAAACTATCGCAAGAACAAAAAACCAAACACTGCATATTCTCACTCATAGGTGGGAATTGAACAATGAGAACACATGGACACAGGAAGGGGAACATAACACTCTGGGGACTGTTGTGGGGTGGGGGGAGGGGGGAGGGATAGCATTGGGAGATATACCTAATGCTAGATGACGAGTTAGTGGGTGCAGTGCACCAGCATGGCACATGTATACATATGTAACTAACCTGCACATTGTGCACATGTACCCTAAAACTTAAAGTATAATAAAAAAAAAAAAAGAACAGTATAAGGAACTTAAAAACAAAAACCGCATATGTTCTACAATAGTGTTTCTCAAAATTAATGCTTTCGAATCAAATGTTATTAAAACGCACGTTATGCCAGGTGTGGTGGCTGATGCCTGCAATCCCAGCACTTTGGGAAGCCAAGGCGCATGTATCACCTGAGGTCAGGAGTTTGAGATCAGCCCGACCAACATGGTGAAACCCCATCTCCACTAAAAATACAAACTTAGCCAGGCATGGTGGCGCATGCCTATAATCCAGCTACCTGGGAGACTGAGGCAGGAGAATCGCTTGAACCCCGGAAGTGGAAGTTGCTGTGAGCCAAGATCTCACCATTGCGCTCCAGCCTGGGCAACAGAGCGAGACTCCATCTCAAAAAAAATAAAAATAAAATGCAGATTATGATTTACTAGGTAAGGGATGTGTCCCTCAGTTCTGCATTTCTAACAGACCTCAGGTGGTACAAGTGCTGCCCATTTGAGGGCCATGCTGAATGGCAAGGTTCAAAGGGAAACTGCCTTGCCTTCCCTTTCTAGTGGTTGCTCTCAGCTGCTGATATAGGCTATCAGAATAATCTTTGAAGCTTTTTCCAGCTACAGCTTTATTGATGTATGCTTGATAAATAAAAATTGTATATATTTAAGGTCGACCATGTGATATTGTCTCTCTTAGAAGAGTTCACATATACGATACAATATTATTAGCTCTAGTTACCATGATGTACATTAGATCTCCAGGATTTTTTCATTTTGCATAACTGAACCTTTGTACCCTTTGACCAACATCTCCCCATTTCCCCTACCCCCTGGCAACCACCCTTCTACTCTCTACTTTTATGAGTTTTAACTTTTTAAGCTTGCACATATAAGTTGAACCATGCAGTATTTGTCTTTCCATGTCTGGCATATTTTACTTAACAGAATCAGGTTTATTCATGTTGATTTCCTTCTTTTTAAGGCTGAATAATATTCGTGTGTGTGTGTGTGTGTGTGTGTGTGTGTATGTATATATATCACATATTCTTTATCCATTCACCTGTTTTGTTTGTTTATTTTGAGACAATCACCCTGTTGCCCAGGCTGCAGTGCTGTGGCATGATCTTGGCTCACTGCAGCCTCAAACTCCCTGGGCTCAGATGATCTTCCCACCTCAGCCTCCTGAGTAGCTGGGACTACAGGCACATACCAGCACACCCAGCTAATTTTTGTATTTTCAGTAGAGATGGGGTTTCGCCATGTTGGCCAGGCTTGTCTCGAACTCTTGATCTCAAGTGATCCACCCACCTCGACCTTCCACAGTGCTGGGATTACAGGCGTGAGCCACTTCGTCCAGCCAACCACCATACCTGGCCCCAACCTTTGTCTTTTAGGTGTTTTCCTATAGTGTGAGGATGTAGATGTCGCTCTATTCAGCCTTTTAACACATCTTTCCATGTCCATTTTCTTGTTTTTTTTTTTTTTGAAGCTATTTACTGAAATAGACTCTAAATTTACTAAAGCCTGAAGTCCCACTGCTCGTCTTAGTTCAAGAGCTAAGACTTGAAGCAGTGGAAGGGAATAATTCACTTCTGTTGCCTCAGTAACAGGCTCTCTATAATCAGGGTTGGTTTGATTATGGTCTAGGATTAATATCCCCGGGGTTGTGCTGGCCTTGATATATAAATATATAAACAGCAAAATTTACTAGAAGATTCATTCATCAATGCTTTTATGAGGCTAGAAGTTCAGTTTAAAAGGCAAATCAGGCTTGGCTCAGTGGGTCACACCTGTAATCCCAACACTTTGGGAGGCTGAGGTGGGCAGATCACCTGAGGTCAGGAGTTCAAGACCAGCCTGGCCAACATGGCGAAACCCCATCTCTACTAAAAATAGAAAAATTAGCCAGGTGTGGTGGCAGTTGCCTGTAATCCCAGCTGCTAGGGAGGCTGAGGCAGGAGAATCGCTTGAACCTGGGAGGAGGAGGTTGCAGTGAACCACGATTGTGCCACTGCACTCCAGCTTGGGTGACGAGCAAGACAGTGTCTAAAAAAAAAAAAAAAAAAAAGAAAAAAAAAAAAAGAGTGCCTGTGCAGGAAGCCTACCTTTTTGCTAAAATTATAATCTGTGTTTTGGGTGTCTCTGTAAACTGTCTTGGTATTGTCTAGTTACTTTGTTGTTCTGATTGCAACGTTCTGTGATTGGATTAGCTGCAAAAGGTATAGCAAGCCTCTAAGGACCATCATCTTGCTATCATTTTATACCTTCTTTCTTGAAGTCCTTTTTATCCAAAACGCCCCCTACCCTTCTGCCATTAGTTCAGTCCTACGATATAGCAATACCACTAAGTATGAACTTGAAGCTCACTTTATTTTATGCTTCTCTTTGATTATCACAGCTCTTAAGGAACCACTTTGAGACAGAAATGGTAAAAAATTAAAAAATCAAAATTAAACCAAATATAAAACACAATGAAGATGCATATGTCAATGAGCTTGTCTACTTTGTTGACCAGCTTCGCTTCACATGTACCCTAGCCAGAGACCTCTGCCAAGTTCTTGGCACTCACTCCATCTAAGAATAGGCTGTCACATACGCTGCACCAGATATTCCAAACTACAGCAACCTGATGTGCTAAAATGCCCCACCAAGTATAAGAGTTACATATGAAAATATTGCAGTATAAGAACATTTGACCACAGAAAACTAATTAACACAAACATTTCCCAAATGTAGAAATGATTAGTCTTTTTCAATAGAGAAGTTATTTTAGAACCGAATCAACTATTTTATGCTGTTTCTTATAAATAGGCAGCTGTGTTGAGTTTTTGATACTAGTTCTTCTACAAGTGGACTTTTTGTAGCATAATCAGAGATAACAAAAGAGGAAATAAATGTTCATTTGGACATAACTATAAGAAGAATTGCAATTTCTAAGAATGGAGAGGCAGTCTCTCTATTGTATCTTTTGGAGTCTCTTCATTCTTAAAAGTTGTAATTCCTCTTGATGATGTCAAGAACATTCTCTGCCATAGAAAATTACCTTGTCTTTTGTTTTACTCTGATGCTTAGGCCTCCCATAACAGTGATGCATGCTCTGTTGGGAGAAGGAAGCTTAGGCTGTAAATTTAAGCATTTTAATCAGTAAAGGTTTGCTCTGGGGAAACACATTCGTTTCAGTGAATGTTATTCACTGACAAAAAAAGTAGGTATTTTCATAGCTGTGAAAGATATCTGGTTGATGACTGAAAAACTATTTTGGTTTGTGGAATTTTTTTTTTTTTTTTTTTTAATGAAACCTACAGGAATTTACAGGAATAAGATTAGGTTCCAAACTGAAATTGAGAGTGATTATAATCTTCAGATTGCCCTGGATTTTCACACATTGGCAGTAAACTCATTTACAGATTAACTTCTTGTACTCTTGGGGTTACTCTCTCCCCATTCTGGTTATAATGGCTTGCCTCCAGTGTGGACAAGGTAGAAGATGGGTAGATGCCTGTGGAAATCAGAATACAGTAATTTGCATCAGATTTACTGTGTCCTTTTATCCTGGTTGGCAGGAATACATGGTTTACAGGAAGCATACCTACATGAGGCTTGATGGCTCATCCAAGATCTCGGAGAGGCGAGACATGGTTGCTGATTTTCAGAACAGGTAATGTTCATGGGAATTACAAAAATTATCTTTTTAATTTCCCTCTAGTGCTTGAAATGGTAAGTTTTTTTTTTTTTTTAAATGCCAGGACATCTGAGATTGTTAAGGAATCAAGATGTAATTCCTGCCATTTTAAGAAGTTACTAAATCTGCTTATCATAATTCAGATCTATGTGTCTGGGAGAGAAAAAGAGAATATACCTGATAGTTTGTATGTTTGAAGTATGCTTTCTTATGACACCAGTGCCTATTTCTTTGGATAATAAAAGAAATCATTTCTAAGTATGAACCAAGATCCTCCTCAATGGATAATAGGTATGTAGAAAAAAATCCACCAGCCTGTATTCCTCATTGCTTACAGTAGCCATTTCTTTTTTTTTTTTTTTTTTTTTGTGTGTGTGAGACAGTCTCTCCCTGTCACCCAGGCTGGAGTGCAGTGGCATGATCTCAGCTCACTGCAGCCTCCGCCTCCCCGGTTCAAACAATTCTTGTGCCTCGGCCTCCCAAGTAGCTGGGATTACAGACATGCGCCACCACATCCAGCTAATTTTTGTATTTTTAGTAGGGACAGGATTTCACCATGTTGGCCAGACTGGTCTTGAAATCCTGGGCTCAAGTGATCCACCCACTTCCACCTCCCAAAGTGCTAGGATTATAGGGATGAACCAGTGATCCCGGCCACTAACAGTAGCACTTTCTGAGTAATGACTTAAAGTTATTAGTTTGTTTCTGTGTTTCATTTTGTATAAGAAAAAGTACCTTTTATTTTCCTGCTTTCCTTTTAACATAGTAGCAGTACAGTGCCTTATGACAAATTGCAATACTGTACAATCTACTCAGCTGGCAGCTCTCAGCCACAGTACCTCTCCCACCTGCTAATGAGCCTATGAAATTTCAATTACTGCCTGCTGAATGCTGATGGTTTACCGAGCCATAATTATCCTGAGTGCAGCTTCTCATTGTAATAGGTAGAGTCTGGTTACTGCTTTCTCCAAGGAGAAAGCCAGGCTCCACTAGTGACGGGTCTGTTGAACTTCGTCTTCAGTTTTCCTCCTTAGACCTGGAGAGCCAAGGAATAAAGCAGATCTTAATGTCAGTAAATCAGAACAGCTTTGACTTTGGCTTTTAATTGCATGGCCTCTTAATATTTCACTTCTGAATTCTTATTAAGAAAATTAAGCACATAGCCATTTTATTTAGATTACAATTTTTAATTCCATTCAGTTCTAAAGCATAGTTTAATTCAGACATAAAATAATTTGGCATAAAACACATCCACAATTCAACATAGAGTGTCCTCTGTTTAAAGAATTTTTCCTAAGTTAAAACTACACACCAGAATTCCAGGTGCCTGTTTGACCAACAATAAGGAGAAGATCTGCTTCAAACCCGTTT
This sequence comes from Homo sapiens, assembly GCF_000001405.40. Taxonomy (NCBI): domain Eukaryota; kingdom Metazoa; phylum Chordata; class Mammalia; order Primates; family Hominidae; genus Homo; species Homo sapiens. The sequence goes on along the minus strand of NC_000015.10, from coordinate 41,004,197 downwards.
CCATTTGTTACCCTCGTGCAGCTGTGTGGATAGCCTAACCTAGCTTCTCACCTAGCGGAAGCTACCAGTAGATTCTAAAACCAATTATTTGAAACATAAGCATTGTGCCTCCTTATTCCACCACATTGTTTTGGCAAAAAGAGGAAAAAAAATTACTGGGTGATCTTCATCTTTTCTTAATTCTGAAATCAGTGATACATATTTTATCATGTCATGTCCTTACCTACTCCAGCCTCAGAGCTGCAACTTGACAAGAATCTTATGTGCGAGCTATAGACTGTATGTTTCCTCAGAGTGCCTGTATTTTCTCCAGTCATGCCAGTATATCTGTGATGTGGGCATACTGGTATGGGGTGGCATGCTTTGTGAATTATGAGAAAAGCCATTAAGTAATAGGTATTTCACCTGATACTGTTTTTATTTTCCACTAGTATATTTGATACTGTACATTTAAGGATCTTTTTAACAGTAATGTTTTGTTTTTCTTCAGTAACAGTTGGGGACTTTATAGATTATAATGAAATGCCTATTGAGAAAAATTTGAAAAATATTTAAAGATGAAAATAAAGTCCAGGCACAGTGGCTCACGCCTGTAATCCCAGCACTTTGGGAGGCCGAGGTGGGCGGGTCATCTGAGGTCAGGAGTTCGAGACCAGCCCAGCCAACATGGTGAAACCCCGTCTCTACTAAAAATACAAAAATTAGCTGGGCGTGGTGGTGGGCGCCTGTAATCCCAGCTACTCGGGAGGCTGAGGCAGGAGAATCACTTGAATTCGGGAGTTGGAGGTTAGAGTGAGCAGAGATCCACCACTCCACTCCAGCCTGGGTGACAGAGCGAGACTCCATCTCAAAAAAAAAAAAAAGAAAAGAAAAGAAAAATCACCCACAATCCCACTACTTTTAACATTTTGGTATATCCTCTAGTCTTTAATGTATGTATAGGGTTATATTTATACTATTATATTATAGGTGGGATTTTGTATCCTGATTTCTTCTACTTAATATTCTGTCATAACCATTTTCATATATCATTAAAAAGCCTTTGCCAACAACTTTTGTTTTTGTTTTTGTTTTTTCTGAGACAGAGTCTCGCTCTGTCACCCAGGCTGGAGTGCAGTGGCGTGATCTTGGCTCACTGCAACCTCCACCTCCTGGGTTCAAGCGATTCTCCTGCCTCAGCCTCCCGAGTAGCTGGGACTACAGGCGCCTGCCACCACGCCTGGCTAATTTTTTGTATTTTTGTATTTTTGTATTTTTAGTAGAGACAAGGTTTCACTATGTTAGCCAGGATGGTCTCAATCTCCTGACCTCATGATCCACCCGCCTCGGCCTCCCAGAATGCTGGGATTACAGGCGTGAGCCACCGCATCCAGCCTTGCCGACAACATTTTTAATGATCACTATTCTGTTAACACTGGGTATATATACCACTTTTCTATTGAATAGAAATATCTACTAGAAATGTTGAGTGAATATTTTTGTGTATAAAGCTTTGTCACTATTTTAGATTACTGTCTTAGCATAGATTCAAACATGGGAAATTACTGAGTGAAAGGATAAGAACATTTAAGACTATGTATATTTCTTTGTAGAAAATTCTGCTAATATAGACCCCAACCAGAGCTGTAGTATGTTGACTTCTAGTGATTTGGGCTTCTGAGTTTTAGAGCCGCAGTCGTTCTCCTGGCTTACCCAATTATTAGAAAACTGGGCTGTGAGACCCAGGGCTCAGTATATTTTGCAGTACCTTTGTGGTGGAAAAAAATCAGGAGGTGTATAATTTATTACCTCTGAAATATCTTACTTAACTTGGGAAGCAGAATTACTTGGGCAGTCCCAGTAGTAGTGCACAATGATTTTGAAAAGTTTAGCTCTAAAAGAGTGGCATTTTCACCATTAAATTTTACTTGGCTCTACTTAGTAAAAATGTAATTTTTCACAGATTTTATTAGGAAATCTTGCTTGAGCCTTCAGACTCTACAACTTAGAATTACTTAGGTAACAGTGAATGTTATTTAGAGTCAACATTTGGGTAACCATCATTTTAACACCCTCTGTCTAATATTGGGCAAAATGGAAAAAGAGACTAAAGTCTCCTTCTGATCCCTGCCTACATTACAAACTGGTTGCTTAGAGTTGGGATTATGGCAAAGAAGTAATCTATTTCTCATGTGTAGAATCTGGACTATGCATATGCTGACCCCTCCAAAGGGCGGAAAATGCTCAACTTATAAATTTGAGTGACTGCAATCGCCTGATATAGAGAAAAAGACAGGTGTTTTTGGACACAAGCACTCCTTCCCAAATATTTTAATTACTGTTAATGAAGGACATCAAAAGAAAAAATTGCAGTTTCAACTGGAAAGCCCTGTGGTCAAAGGTCAGCCAGAGTAAACAACAACGCCTATAAAAAGCCATTTACATTCCTTTCATACAAGATTTATTTATGAAGGATCCTTCCAGGAAAAAGTCTGACTGAGACTAAAGACTGTTTGGCCAGGATGTCCTGACGGGGCAGCATTCAGGGCATGTGACCAGTGCGTGATCCTGGAAGCCATTCACAAGGTCTTTGCTCTGTGGTGCTTTGGCCTTTGCTTCCCTTCCTCCTAACCCATGACCTTTACCAAATGGATCCTCTCCCCATTATCTGACCACTCAGTGTGACTCTTTGGAAAACATGAGGAAAAAGTGACTGTAGCATGGATTTTTTCTTTGTGAGTGTTGTAGAGATTCACAGTTGTCTTTCATTGTGGTTGTTTTTCAGTCATTCAACAAGCCTTTACTGCAGTCAGCTATGTGCCTAGCACTATTTGGGTATGTTGGTGCAAAGTCACCTCAGTGGGTTATTAAAGAAGAGTGAGAGCGAGACCTACACATGTCTTTGCTGTGTGGTTTTATAGGCCTCTTTACAGACCAGCCAGATGCCTAGTCTTTAAGGTCTGTTCTAAGAGACCCTGAGTTGAGATGCCTTTTCAGCCTCCTAGAGAGGGCACCCAGACCACCATGCTGCCTTCTGGGATTTTGTTTTCTCCTGTTTAGTCAGAGCCCCTAAAATGTTAATTCACATTATCAATACTATTATAGCGTTATTCAGTAGAAAGGAACTTCTTAGTAGTTTGATTTAGATACTTTTGTTTTTTACAGCAGTATAGTCCACGGTAGGAACTAATTTCTTTGATTATAAGAACCCAAGGTGTCTGCAATTCTTATTTTTTATTACAATATGATAAAATTACATTGAATTCATCTACCTCATCATCACAAGGCATCTTTTCAATACATAATTGATATCCAAAAGAAACCATTGTATTTCTAAGTTTTTCTACTAATTTATTTTTACCTACATTTCTTTCACTAGTGTTCTTCTGTATATAGCCCCTATTTGTAAGTGATTACATCTGAACTAATCTCTGGCTGTACAGACTATGGAAATTACCCATCTTTTTCTTTCTCTTTTCTTTTCTTTCTTTTTTTTTTTTTTTTTTTTTTTTGAGACAGGGTGCCACTCTGTCACCCAGGCTCTGGAGTGCAGTAGAACACAGTAGAGCAATTAGAACTCACTGCATCCTTGACCTCCCAGGCTCTAGTGACTCTCCTACCTCAGCCTCCCAAGTAGCTGAGACTACAGGCTCGTACCACCACACCCAGCTAATTTTTGGATTTTTGTAGAGACAAGGTTTCGCCCTGTTGCCAAGGCTGGTCTTGAACTCCTGACCTCAAGTGATCTACCCACCTCAGCCTCTCAAAGTGTTGGGATTACAGGCATGAGCCACCGCACCTGGCCAGAAATTTCTTATCTTTTTGCTTCTAATACTTTATTTTGTTGTACTTCTCAAATGCCTTGTCTTTTCCCACCAGTCCCCCATACTCCCACCCTGTACCCATTCCCTGACGCCTACCCCATGCTCATATTTTGGGTCTCCTCAAGAATTAACAAAAAAAAGTCCTAGCCATTGGATGACCCCATCAACTCTCACGCAGGTATCAGAGAGGAGCCTTTGATTCCTTGCCTTTGTACCCACCAAAGCAGGAGAGGAAGATGTATGGAGCAAGAGCAGTCTTCTCAGTGCGGAAGTGGGAAGGATTACTTATCCTTTTTAAGAGATGGGATCTCACTTTGTTGCTTAGGCTGGAGTGCATTGGTATGATATATAGCTCACTGTATCCTTGGACTCGGGCTCAAATGATCCTGCTGCCTCAGCCTCCCAGGTAGCTGGGTCTACAGGTGTGTGCCACCATGCCTGGCTAATTTTTTTAAAAAAAATTTTATGTAGATGCAGGGTCTTTCTGTATTGCCCAAGCTGATCTCGAACTCCTAGGCTCAAGTGATCCTCACACCTCAGCCTTCCAGAGATTAGTACGGCCCTAAAAAGCTCAATCAGTTTTTATTTGAAGCCTTATTGTGGTTAAATACTCTTCTTTGGGCCTGTGAGATACCCTGCCTCCTTCCATTTACATCATCCCATATCTGTGGGAAAATGTGTTTAAAAACTGGCAGATGCCCTTCAACTTTTTGGTTTACACTACACAATTTAATCATAAAGATGGCGTTTTATGAATTAAATAAATACAATTACGAAATATTAACCTTTGTGATAAAATTTAAGGATAAGCTAGTAGAACTTGCATGGGAGCACAAAGCATTTGGAATCACTAACTGAGAGACCGCCACCCGTGGTCTGTTATCCATGCCTCTGTAGGAAAGTTGTGTTTAATTCAATGTAAATAATGGGCAGATTTGTACAGGACATACCTACCTTAGTGATTAACCAGGATGTTTATTTCAAAATAGTTCTTTCACCGATACTTATGTTTGACATTGATACGTCATCAGTTAGTCACTTCAGCAGTATTCATAGCATCTTCATTTTATAGTCCAGGAAACAGACTGTCAGCAGTCAAGTGACTTTACCAAGGAAGAATAGCCTGAAGGGATGAGAGCATCCTGATGTCAGTATGTTTGTTTCTGGTGTTTTTTGTTTTTTGTTTTCCTTACTGGAATCCACAAAATAAAATTAATTTTACACTGTGATTTTAGTACCTTTATTCTATATTTGAAACTTCACAAAACATTACTTACCTTTATGACCTGTAATGCATTAGAATATTTTCTAATCTTTTTTCTTTCTTTAATTAATTTCTTAATGCCATCTAAAGCACCAAACTGAGCCCTTATTTGTGTGTGTGTGTGTGTGTGTGTGTGTGTGTGTGTGTAGATAAATCTTAGAGTCAAAAGCCTGTTCTGCCGGGCACAGTGGCTCACGCCTGGAATCCCAGCACTTTGGGAGGCTGAGGCACGTGCATCACCTGAGGTAGGAGACCAGCCTGGTCAACATGGTGAAATCCCATCTCTACTAAAAATACAAAAATTAGCCAGGCATGGTGGTGGGCACCTGTAATCCCGTAATCCCAGCTACTCGGGAGGCTGAGGCAGGAGAACTGCTTGAACCAAGGAGGTGGAGGTTGCAGTGAGCCGAGATCGTGCCACTGCACTCCAGCCTGAGTGACAGAGCTAGACTCCATCTTCAAAAAAAAAAAAACAAAACTTGTCCTTTGTGATCTGGTATGGGCTTGTTCCCAGAAGACATTCCGTAAATATTTGTTGCTCGAGTGAGTGACAGTGGTACCTATTGGTTTATTTGTAATTCAGTGTTTCTTTGAAAGAACATAGGAAGTAGAAGGAAACTGAGAAAACCATATTTAATCATTTGTATGTAAGGGGTATGTTGACATTCATCCAGAAGTATTTAATTCCAGCCTGTCTTCATGGACTGATCCTAAATTCAAGTTAGCACATAAAAGTCACAGCCTGGGTCTTAGTTATTTGAGTCATTTTTCTGGGACTCAACTTTCTTCATCTTAAAATGAATGCTTTGGGGCCCCGCACGGTGGCTCGCGTCTATAATCCCAGCACTTTGGGAGGCCGAGGCGGGCGGATCACGAGGTCAGGAGTTCAAGACCAGCCTGGCCAATATGATGAAACCCCGTCTCTACTAAAAATATTAAAAATTAGGCAGGTGTGGTGGCGAGCGCCTATAGTCCCAGCTACTTGGGAGGCTGAGGCAGGAGAATTGCTTGAACCCAGGAGGCAGAGGTTGCAGTGAGCTGAGATCGCGCCTCTACACTCCAGCCTGGGCGACAGAACAAGACTACGTCTAAAAAAAAAAAAAAAAAAAAAAAAGAGTGTTTTGGAATAATAACATTAGTCCCCAGACTATTATAAGTCATGATTCTTAGAGAAAACCAGGAAGCTAGGAATGGTTTGATTTAAAAATATGACAGTGAGAGAGGTCTGTACATCTATGGTAACATTTTTCTGTTATATTTGCTACATGTTTATACTTGTGTTGCCTATCAGTCATCTATTAGTGGGCAGCAAAAGTTTATCTGCAAATTGGAAGATGACCTCCATGTTTGGTTGTAACAACAGAGCAACATTGTATAATGCTTTACAGAAATACAGTCAGGCCTAGGTAACCACCAAAACTCTTTTTAGTCCTAGACTTTATGTTCTGTATTCAGAGATCTCTCTCTATTGATACATGCCATTTTTTCTTTTCAGTTTTTCCTTTAACATATCTCTCCCTTTTCTGCAGGAATGACATCTTTGTGTTCCTGTTAAGCACACGAGCTGGAGGACTGGGTATCAATCTCACTGCTGCAGACACAGTAAGTAATGAGAGCACAATCAACTAGATATGCAGGTTTTCTACTATGAAACCTACTATGTAGGTTTTTCTAATATGGCATTGTTTGTTTTACCCTTTGCTTTTGTGTCACAAACTTGCAAACTTTTTATTTCTTTGCCTCTTGTGTTAAAAGACTCTAGTTGCTCTTTGACTGGAACTAGAGTATTTTAGCTTTCCTTATGGACTTTACTATTCATTTTCTTTGAACAAGTTTTTTTGTTTTTGTTTTTTGAGATGGGGCCTCACTCTGTTGCCCAGGCTGGAGTGCAGTGGCATGATCATGGGTCACTGTAGCTTCAACCTCCCCAGCCTCAGGTGATCCTCCCACCTCACCCTCCCAAGTAGCTGGGACTATAGGCATGCGCCACCATGCCCAGCTAATTTTTGTATTTTTTGTAGAGATGGGGTTTTGCCATGTTGCCCAGGCTGGTCTTGAACTCTGAGGCCCAAGTGATCCACCTGCCTCAGCCTCCCAAAGTACTGGGATTACAGGTGTGAGCCACTGCACCTCGCCTGAATAAGTGTCTTACACATTCATTCGACAAATATTTCACTAATGCCTACTATGTGTCTGATACTGTTTGAGACATTTAGGGTACATCAGGGAAAACAGACTGGAAAAACAATCAGTCCATCCAGATTTGTTTTAGGAGCTATAATTGAACACATCAGAAAGGATTGTTTTGTTACTCTTATGCATTATTCCATTAATGGAAAAACCCATTTTTTGTATCCTGAACTTCAAAAGGTGGTTGGAGAGCAATGAAAAGGGTAATTTCAAAAATAAAGTAGAAAAGATATTCCAACAAATTATCCACTCTTTCCTACCCAGTCTTCTTGCAGGAATGCTTCAGTGTTTGAAAGGGTGAAGAAAAGAGGATTCCTGGCTGGGCGTGGTGGCTCATGCCTGTAATCCCAGCACTTTGGGAGGCCAAGGCGGGTGGATCACCAGGTCAGAAGATCAAGATCATCCTGGCCAACATGGTGAAACCACGTCTCTACCAAAAAAAAACAAAAAAAATAGCCGGGCGTGGTGACACATGCCTGTAGTCCCAGCTACTCGGGAGGTGAGGCAGGAGAGTCGCTTGAACCCGGGAGGCAGAGGCTGCAGTGAGCCAAGATCATGCCACTGCACTCCACTCTGGGCGACAGAGTGAGACTGTCTCAAAAAGAAAAGAGGATTCTTTTTGAATCTCAAAATTATTGCTAAGATTCAAATATATTTAATAAGAATTTTAGTAACTTTGAGATTTAAAAATACGTAAATGGGAAATTATTTTATAAAAGGCATGACTCTAAAAATGGCACTTAATGTAACTATCGTGGTGCCTCTCTGACATATAGAACATCAAAATCCCCACAACTGTGAGGAGAAAGCAAACTCATGAGGGTAGTGGAGAAATGAGGTGCAAGAGTGTAGAGGCTTGAATAGATTCACAGCAGCAGGGGGAATCTCTCTCTCTCTCTCTCTCACTAATCTGATACTACACATTCTGTAATAGCAACTATAGGATGCACCTTCCTTGGCATCTAAACTTTCAGTTAACCAGGTACGGCAAGACGTCAGCGCCTGAGGGCCACTGGAGGCATTGCTGGGTAGCTGTACATCATCAGCATCTGTCATACTATGGGAGGGCTGTCAGTGTGGCATGTGTTGTTCCTGTGGGTTCTCTGATGTGGTGGCTCACTTGAGCCATATCACATAGTTTCTACCATATCAGATAGTAGAAACTTGCCTTTTTCCTTGTTATCTCTTGGTTCCCTGCTCTCTGTATCTTTTAAGAATTTCAGCATAGTCATACTCTCAATGTGAGTACAAGATTCATCACTTTGTCCCAGCTGCTCTTTTGGACTCCACTCTCAGTTCCCGGCTTCATACCTGTTGATCCAAATCCATTCTTTGCTATGCTGGTACTCTGTTAGTTTCTCTCTGCCCTTTATTAATCATGCCACTCCTTTGATTAAAACTCTTCAGGAATTCTTCATCAATTATAAAATAAAGTATAAGGCTCTTCATTTGTGTCCTTTATCTACCTTTATAGCTTAATTATCAGACCACTTTCCCTTCCAAATTTTATATTCCAGAAATAATGATTGACTTCTAGTTCCCTGAACACACCATGCCATATCACACTGTTGGATAAACTGTTCCCTCAGCCTAAGTCATCCTCCCATGAGTCTCCTCTTCCACCTGGTGAACTTCTGTTTGTTCTTTAAAACCCCATTCAGGTGTCAATATTCCTTTCCCAGCCCCTCCCTTTATTCAAGTTAATCAAAATACATTGTAAGTAATTATTTTACATACTAGACTTTGGCCTCAACAATGGAAGGAAGTCAAAAGTCTGCATTTCTAGGCTGAACGCGGTGGCTCACGCTTGTAATCCCAGCACTTTGGGAGGCTGAGGTGGGCAGATGGCTTGAGGTCAGGAGTTCAAGACCAGCCTGGCCTGCATGGTGAAACCATATCTCTGCTAAATATACAAAAATTAGCCGTATGTGCTGGCGCATGCCTGTGGTCCCAGCTACTCGGGAGGCTGAGGCAGGAGAATCACTTGAACCCAGGAGGCGGAGGTTGCAGTGAGCCAAGATTGCACCACTGCACTCCAGCCTAAGTCTATTTCTAGTACCTGGAACAGTTTGTTCATTTGTTCATTCATTCATTGATTCATTCAACAAATGTTTAATGAGCATCCACCAAGGGCCCAGCGTTGTTTTAGGCACTGGGAATTCAGCATGCAACAAAACAAAGTTCCATTTCTATCTTCATAGTTACTATAAATTACATTTCCAGTGGCAGGAGAGGAGACAAAGCATAAAGAAATGGAAAAAATACTGATAATATGGGGCCAGGTGCAGTGGCTCACACCTGTAATCCTAACACTTTGGGAGGCAGAGGCAGGCGGATCACAAGGTCAGGAGTTCGACACCAGCCTGGCCAATATGGTGAAACCCTGTCTCTAATAAAAATACAAAAAAATTTAGCTGAGCTTGGTGGTGGGCGCCTGTAGTCCCAGCTACTCGGGAGGCTGAGGCAGGAGAATTGCTTGAACCCGGGAGGCAGAGGTTGCAGTGCGCCAAGATCGTGCCACTGTACTCCAGCCTGGGTGACACAGTGAGACTCCATCTCAAAAACAAACAAAAAACTGATAATATGAATGCTATGAAGAAAAATTCATCAGGTAAGGAGTGGTAGCATGAGAATGATCAGGGGTTGCTGTTTTATATGGATTGGTAAGGCATCTCTGATAAGGTGACATTTGAGCCAAGATCTGAAGAAAGTAAGGCGGCAACCTAAGCATATACCTGGCAGAAAGAAGAGCATTCCAGGCAGAGGAGATAAGTGCAAAGCCCTAAGGTGAGAACATGCTTGGCATAATCAAGCAAAAGGAAGCAGCCCAGAGCAGGTAGAACAGAATCAACTATGGGGAGAGTAGTATGAGATGGCTATTGCAGAAGCAGATCATATAGGGGTTAGTAGCCATGGTAAGGACTTTGAGATGGGGAGCGATTGCAAGAATTTGAACAGAGGAGTAACATGATCTGGTTTGAGTTTTAAATGCATCCTTCTAGCTTCTGTTTAGAGTGGGAGAAAAAAATGAAATGCTACAAGGAGACATAAACAGGAAGATCAGTTAGGAGTATCAGAGGTTAAGTGGCAATATCACCCAGGCAGCAGAGTCTGAAGTTCAGGAGAAAGATTGGGGTTAAAGCTGTATTTTCTTTTTCTTTTTATTTATTTATTTATTTTTTGAGACAGAGTCTTGCTCTGTCATTCAGGCTGGAGTGCAGTGGCTTGATCTCGGCTCACTTCAACCTCCACCTCTCAGGTTCAAGTGATTCTCCCACCTCAGCCTCCCGAGTAGCTGGGACTACAGGCGGGCACCACCATTCCCAGTTAATTTTTATATTTTTAGTAGAGATGGGGTTTTACCACGTTGGCCAGGCTGGTCTCAAAACTCCTGACCTCAGGTGATCTGCCTGCCTCCGCCTCCCAAAGTGCTGGGATTACAGGCGTGAGCCACCACTCCTGGCCTTAAAGCTGTATTTTCAAATCATCAGGTTGTAGATGATATTTAAGAGGCTGTATGAGGTCACCTGGGAAGGTCTAGCACAATTTCATTTTATTAAAGTATGTTTCTCTTCTTCTCAGCTTGCCTATCTCAGGTTTAGTCTATGGTTTCTTAAGGAATAGTTTCTCCGGTTGTTCATTTAAATGGTTAAAGAAAAAAAAAAACTAAGCAGATTTAAAGAGAGATCTGCACCTTGCTTCCAAGGTTCACATAGTTTGCCCTGTAGGAGTAAAGAGCGTCCTGCCAGCCACAAAGAAGCAAAGTAGGCCTAGGCCTCTGATCCATAAGTAGAGGAATAAGAGTAGGAATTCTTTTTTCATCCTGAAGGCCAGAAAGGGGCTCTAGGCTGGGCATGGTGGCTCATGCCTGTAATCCCTGCAGTTTGGGAGGCCGATGTGGGTGGATTGCTTGAGGGCAGATGTTTGAAACCAGCCTGGGCCACATAGCAAGACCCCATCTGTACAAAAAAGTTTTTTAAATTAGTCAGGCGTGGTGGCACATGCCTGTGATCCCAGATACTCGGGAGGCTGAGGTGGGAGGTTTGCTTGGGCCCAGAAGGTCAAGACTGCAGTGAGCTGTGATTGTGCCGCTGCACTCCAACATGGGCAACACAGAGAGCTCCTGCCTCAAGAAAAAAAGAGAAAGGCTCTGAATACTCTGATTTCTGAATTCTGAAGTAATTTACATTTTAATTTTGGGGGAAGGGCTTGGGGATTCACTTGTAAATCAGAAGCTCCTGGAATAGTTCTTAGAAAAATGAGACAGCAAGATTGAAATTAATTCCGAGGATATACTGTGTGTGTGTTGCTAGAGAAACAGTAGGATTAGTTGCTTGTCTGGCATTTTTCCTTTGCCCTGAGATTTATTTAGCTTTGGGATTTCCCCAGAACCATTTATGGACAAGGAAGAGATTAATCAACCTAAAAATGTCAGGAAAAACCTAATGTCTTATGATTGAGAATGCATATGTAAAAATGTATTTATAAATAGTGGGACTCTATCTGGCCTACTTGGTTAGTAAAAACATGGTTTTAGCAAATGATGTATGGCAGCTGCCTTTTACTGTGTCACTGTATATGCTTCCTGAAGTAGGGTTGTCTTTGCATTTGACTCTGTTTAGTAAGGGGTTGTTATAAACTGCACTGTTTGTGTTTCTGTGTCAGACCTGTTTTAAATGCTTATGTGTAGTGAGAATGAAGAGCTTTTCTCCCTTTGCAGGGATTCAAGAAGTCCTGTCTCACAGGACAGCTTTTAGCCCTCTGCAGAGGCCGAACCTCCGCTTATTCTCTTGGGAGAAAAAGCTCCACCCTCCAAGTGTTGGTCCAACTTTTCCCACTTGTTCTTCTAGAAATTTTCCTGTTTCAGCAGGGCCCGGTGGCTCACGCCTGTAATCCCAGCACTTTGGGAAGCCCAGGCTGGCGGATCACGAGGTCAGGAGATCGAGACCATCCTGGCTAACACAGTGAAACCCCGTCTCTCTAAAAATGCAAAAAATGAGCCGGGCATGGTGGCGGACGCCTGTAGTCCCTCCCAGCTACTCGGGAGGCTGAGGCAGGAGAATGGCGTGAACTCGGGAGGCGGAGCTTGCAGTGAGTCAAGATCTTGCCACTGCACTCCAGCCTGGGCGACAGAGCAAGACTCCATCTCAAAAAAAAAAAGAAAGAAATTTTCCTGTTTTAAATCTCATTCTCTCATCCCCTGAAACTCCTTCTCACTGACCTATACAGCCAGGCCCCTCTACCGCATGGTAACTCTCACCTCTCTTCCCTTGTGCCTGCCCTGCTTGGTGTTTACAATGTCATGAAGGCATTGACTACTATTTCTCCTTAGTCACTGCTGGGCCACGCTTTGTGGATTGACTTGCCTTAATCTTTCCTAGTTAAATCAGTTGTTCTAATCCTTTAATTGTTACTTGTTTTTTTCTGGAATGTCTCACTGAGCTCCATAAACCCAACTGCCAAATATAGGCATCATCCCTGTTCCACAGTGGTGCATTGTCTCCCTCACCACTCCCTCCAGTTCACATCACGGTTAATTCAGTGTTAGATTAGATGGTAACCATACATCTGCCTTGGTTTTTAGTTCTCTCACTCTTGTTCTTAACCTATTAGTTTGTACGTATTTCATATTTTCCGCTGCACAGGTATTTTTCTAAACAATCCTATTTTTTTCTGTTTTCCTCCCAAATTCCCCACCTCTTGGAATCCATGTAAAGGATAAATATCTTCCATATTTGGAGATTTTTGAAGTTAAGATTGTAAACCCATCTCCTTAGGCTTTAATCTTACTGTTCATGAGCTCAAAAGAACACAAGTTGAATCAGGTTTGGTTGCCACTGGGTCTTCTAGGAAAAAATGTAAATGTTAAGACAGTACTTATGAAACAATTCATTATATGGCTCTCCCTCCACCCACCTCCACCACCCACATCCCCACATTATGAATTCGTGCTGAACCATAGCCTCAAGCTTAGACAGCTCAAGATACTGTCTTTTGGGTGTGACATCAGCCCTCAAATTCCACATTTGTGGTCATTTTAAATACATTGGGCATCATGGGACAACATGAACCAGAAAAAAAGATGAAAAAAATACACTGGGCAAGTAATGTTATCCTCTAGTCCAACTGAAGGTCTTCACTTTTGTTAGCTCTGTTCTCCCTGAAAGTTCAAACTTGGTCTTCTAGTTCAAACTTGGTCTTCTGGAAGTTCTTATGTCCTCTTTGAAACCAAAATGTCGTGTGGTCAGGTTTGTTAAGTTCCTCTAGAGGCAACAAGCATTGTGCACTTCTAAATCTTAGGTTTGCAGGACACTAGATTAACAATAAGCATTCACGGTGACTTTCTTTCGCCAGCAGTTTACATTGTTCTTCCCAAGGATTCTAACCTGTGCTAAAAATGGAGGGAAACCATTTTGGCCAGGTGCAGTGGCTCATACCTGTAATTCCAACACTTTGGGAAGCTGAGATGGTAGGATTGCTTGAGCCCAGGAGTTTGGGGCTGCAGTGAGCCAAGATCATGCCACTGTACTTCAGCCTGGATGACAGAGCAAGACCCTGTCTCAGAAAAGAAAAAGAGAGACAGAAACAGTTTCAAGAAAGATGACTCACTCTTTCAAATAGTACACATGAAATAATTGACACCATAGAAGTTAGTGATTAAGTGGGGACTTGGACCAAGGTAGGTAGGCAATGCCAAGTTTTGTTACTACTGTAGGTTGTGGAGGGAGACTGTTAGGTCACTCCCCACCCCAGCCCCTTGCTGTGATTTCAGACCAGTCTCTTCCTTGCTTGTAAGATGGAGGATAGACATAGGATTTTTTTTTTTTTAGAATTCAGTGAGAGATATATGCATACTAGTCCTGGGCTCATAAGTACCCAACAAATTTTAGCCATTATTATTTCTAATAGGAATCCAGGGGGAATAGGGATAAGAAAAGAAAAGGAGACATTATTATAGGCAAGAGAAAACAGGGCGAGCTTCCTAGAAGCTTGAACTAAACCTGAAAGGACCAATAAAGAAGAGTTTTGGGATTCTAGTTCAGAGAAACAGCTTGAGCAATAAGAGGTGTACACAAATGTATTATAAGCCAGGACCACTGAAGAGACCCATCTGACTAAAGGGAAAGGGCATATTTGTGTTAGGAAAGAATAGAAAATAAAGTTGGCTCTCTATAGCAGGGCCTGATTATTTAGGAGAGTTTGGACATGGTGGCAGGCACCTGTGATCTCAGCTACTCAGGAGGCTGAGGCAGGTGTGTAACTGGCAGAGAGCTGGAGTGGCCCACAGTGGTAGCCAAGGTAGACTGAAGAGGAAAGAGACCGAGATCTAAGAGTCCTGCTGATGTAACAGAGTGCTAATCCAGATGTAGGTTGTGAGGGCCTGGTCTAGAATGGAAACAGTGGGATTGTTACAGTAGAAAGGACAGGTTCATTTTTGAAGCAGTGGCTGGATTTGGTGACTTTTGATTGGATATAAAGGACAACACATGAGATATGAGGGCCATTTTGAACTGGTCCGCCATGTTGGATGGTAGCCTCAAGGGTTGAGGACTGAGGAGTTTGTTTTAGGATCACTCACTTAGTGGTGATATATTTTGTTGTTAATTTGTTTGTTGCTCAGCAAACTAGAAGTCACTTCCAGAGAACCCTTTAAACATTCCATCCTGGGAATTCATGGGCTAGTAAATGACTGTTGATGAGAGCCTGAGAATTCTAGGGAAAGCCATGCCTGTTTCCAGCATAGCCCCAGTGTTTTGTTTTGTGACAGAGTTTCTCTCTTGTTGCCCAGGCTGGAGTGCAATGGCATGATCTCAGCTCACTGTACTCCCCGCCTCCTGGGTTCAAGCAATTCTCCTGCCTCAGCCTCCTGAGTAGCTGGGACCACAGGTGCCTGCCACCACACCTGGCTAATTTTTTTTTTTTTTTGAGACGGAGGCTCACTGTGTCGCCCAGGCTGGAGTGCAGTGATGCAGTGTCGGCTCACTGCAACCTCTGCCTCCCAGGTTCAAACAATTCCCCTGCCTTAGCCTCCCAGATAGCTGGGATTGCAGGCACGCACTGCCACGCCCAGCTAATTTTTGTATTTTTAGTAGAGATGGGGTTTCACCATGTTAGCCAGGCTGGTCTCAAACTCCTGACCTCAAGTAATCCACTCGCCTTGGCCTCCCAAAGTGATGGGATTACAGGCGTGAGCCACCAAGCCTGGTTAGTTTTTGTATTTTTAGCAGAGATGGGGATTCACTATGTTGGCCAGGCTGGTCTCTAACTCCTGACCTCAGGTGATCTACCTACCTCAGCTTCCCAAAGTGCTGGGATTACAGGTGTGAGCCACCACAGCTGACCTGTTTTGTTTTTGAGACAGGGTATTGCTCTGTCACCCAGGCTGGAGTGCAGTGGTACAATCTCAGCTCACCGCAACCTCTGCCTCCCAGGCTCAAGCAATCCTCCCACCTCAGCCTTGTGAATAGTTGGGAGCAGTGGTGCTTAGTTAAGCAATGTGATCTTGGATAAATTGTCTAGCTCATTTGTGCCTCATTCTCCTAAACTACAAAATATGTGAGTCTTAACAGCATTTAAATAATGACGATTATGGGATTTTTTTTCTCAGCACAAATAACAGTGATAATTCTGGGATTTAAATGAGTTAATGCACTTAGAACAATGCACTGTAAGTGTTAACCGTTAATGTTATTAATGTACTAAACACTACGTTTTAACTATTAATATTATTGCCACTCTTTTTAAGTGAAAACTGAAAAAAATAAAACAGGAGCATGTATCTTTTGCTCAGGGCATGTGAAGGAACGGCTTTGTATCTTCTAAGATGTATCTTACTTAGCTCAATATCATAGAAACGAATCAGACCCTACTGACGCCAAACTCGCAAACAGACAATTGGCTGGGTTGCTCTCAGAATTTCTGGTCCTTCCCTAAGAGTGCTTCAGTTTTTGCTATATTCTATGCAGGTGATTTTCTATGATAGCGACTGGAACCCCACTGTGGACCAGCAGGCCATGGACAGGGCCCACCGCTTAGGGCAGACAAAGCAGGTTACTGTGTACCGGCTCATCTGTAAAGGCACCATTGAAGAACGCATTCTGCAAAGAGCCAAGGAGAAGAGTGAGGTAAGCACAAGAGAAAGAAATTCCTACACTGGTGGAGCAAACAGAAAGTCCAACCACATTGACTGCATTGAGACTATTTTAAAACTCTCTTGCCTTTCATTGGTCCTGACGAAACTACAATTTCTTCTGAATAGAAAATAAAATCAGGTCCCATGCAATAGCAATTTTGACTTCCCTGGCCATGCCTCATTCCCTTTCCCCTAGAATGGTTTCCATAGCCTGGATCCAGCTGTTGTTCATGTGGAGACTGACACCGGTAATGGCCTCTCGCATTCAGTGGAAGAAGGATGGACATTTTTTAGTTCCTATCCTAGTACTCTCAGCTTATCTGCCTCTGAATTGTATGCCAAATTTGTTATTTTTTGTTTTTTTCATCCTGATTCAGTAGCCTTAGATTTTCTAGTTAGCAGTTCCAAGCAAAGAAGTTATCATTTTCCTTCTGTCGGACAAATAATCTGGATGAGCCAATCAGATGAACTGAAATGAAAAGGGAGAAAAGAAGAAATAGGAAACCAGAGGCCTCCCCTGAGGAGTGGGTTGAGAACGATGTGTATCTTTTTCTGGATATTTGCCATAAGGGAATGGATGCCTGGAGGTGACATTTTGATCTGCTTTGGTGTAGATTCAGCGGATGGTGATTTCAGGTGGGAACTTCAAACCAGATACCTTGAAACCCAAAGAGGTGGTTAGTCTTCTTCTAGACGACGAAGAGTTGGAGAAGAAACGTATGTACTCTAAACCTCTATACACTCCCCTCACGTATCTGAGAATGGAAGAGGTACTTGGCTGTGTGCCAAGGGTAGGCAAAGCCAGAGGCTGTATTTAGGGAAAGTATTTTTGTGCTCATATTTTATATAAAAACCCAAACAAGAATGTGTTTGTAGGCCAGGCATGGTGGCTCACGCCTCTAATCTCAGCATTTCGGGAGGCCAAAGTGGGCAGATCACCTGAGGTCAGGAGTTTGAGTTTGAGACCAGCCTGGCCAACATTGTGAAACCCCACCTCTACTAAAAATACAAAAAATTAGTTGGGCATGGTAGCGGGCACCTGTAATTCCAGCACTTTGGGAAGCTAAAGCAGAAGAATTGCTTGAACCCAGGAGGTGGAGATTGCAGTGAGCCGAGATCATGCCATTGCACTCCAGCCCGGGCAATAAGAGTGAAACTCCATCTTTTAAAAACAAACAAAAACAAAAAACACAAGACGGCTCACACCTGTAATCCCAGCACTTTGGGAGGCCGAGGCAGGTGGATCACGAGGTCAGGAGTTCCAAGACTAGCCTGGCCAACCTGGTGAAGCCCCGTCTCTACTAAAAATACAAATATTAGTCGGGCGTGGTGGTGGGCACGTGTAATCCCAGCTACTCGGGAGGCTGAGGCAGGAGAATCCCTTGAAGCTAGGAGGCAGAGGTTGCAGTGAGCCAAGATCGTGCCATTGCACTCCAGCCTGGACAACAAGAGCAAGATTCCATCTCAAAAAAAAAAAAAAAAAAAAAAAAAGCATTGTGGAGTAGAAGGCAAAATTTGTGTGTATTTTAAAGGTAAATGTGGCTTCAAATAATGTAGCTTGCACAAGGAAGGCAGCTGACTCCTTAGCAGTAGTGAATTTGCTCTTCTGCCCAGAAAAATGTTTTTATGGAAAAGTTGGAGAAGCACGCAGCTGTAACCATACAAACCCTCCTCCCATGTGTTTTCTGGCTTTTGAGAGCATTGGGTTTCAGATTCATCCTGTGAGCCTCTGAAGCCTTCCACAGCATTAGAGCAGAAAGTAAGTTCACATTTGCCAGCACCTTCTAAAACCTTTCAGAACTCTACAGCCATGCTCAATGTGTGCAAAGCAGAGATTAAAAGGCTGAAATGAAAAAGGGAAAAAGAATAACATGAGGAAAGGCCTATAATAATTTTTTTTTAGACAGAGTTTTGCTGTGTTGCCCAGACTGGAGTACAGTGTCACAATCCTGGCTCACCACAACCTCCACTTCCTGGGCTCAGGCAGTCCTCCTGACTCAGCCTCTGGGGTAGCTGGGACCCAGGCGCGTACCACTGTGCCTGGCTAATTTTTGTATTTTTATAGAGATGGGGTTTCACTATGTTGGCCCGGCTGGTCTCAAGCTCCTGGGCTTGAGCCATCAGCCTGCCCCAGCCTCCCAAAGTGCTGGGATTACAGACGTGAGTCACCACACCGAGCCAGCCCATAATGCTTAAAATAAGAGTGTGATTTAAACCCAAAATTGAGAATCCAAGTTAGAAAACCACTGGTTATCTGCCTTAAACAGATAGAAGTGATACTTGGAAAATAAACATCAGGGGATATGGCCACCTTAATTAAGAGAGTGAGGATTATGATTACCACAGGTACTTCATCAGGTCTTAATTCATTTTCTTGATAGTGAGGCTGCGGCAGGAAGAGAAACGGCAACAGGAGGAAACCAACCGAGTGAAAGAGCGCAAGCGGAAGCGGGAAAAGTATGCAGAGAAGGTATTTCCAGCCTGGAATGGTGGATAGGGGCTAATGGGGCCTGGGGTACTTACCAAAAAGGCTTTGGGGTACATGGCTTCTCATCTTGGTTACTGGTTGCTATCAAGCTCCAGCTGTGTATGATCAGCTACATTTCTGGGCTGACTCACGCTTTGCTCAGGAGAAATGTGGCCTTGGTAGATCTGTACTCTCCACACAAACTCACCCTTACGGTGGTCACAGTTTAATTATGGAAACCATTTGTCAGGGCTGTTACAAAGCGTGGAAGGCTAAAATGTGACTAAGATGGGCATTACTTATAAGGCTCCATAGAATCTTAGAAGGGGCCTAAGAGGTCATGAGATCCACAAACCTACCATAATTCTGCTAGTGTACCACTCAGTGTCATCTGTCACTAGAAAAATAAACCCCCGGTTTATTTCTAAATGTCTGTTCATCTGTTTTTCTCTAGTTCACACCAAGGATTTGAACTGTCTTAAAAATTTGTCTTAAAAACAGATATGTAGAAAATATATTGAAAGCATTGGCCCTCTCTTTTGTGGGACTGCATTCAGTCAGCCTCAATAAGTGCTGGATGTGCCAGCGGCTGGTGAGGCTCTTCGGCCCATTAGGATCAGGGTTGGTGTGGCTCTGGTTCAGTGTGACTGCCCCAACTTTAAACTCTATTATTGTGGCAGATATTCATAAGCTCTTTTTTTTTTTTTTCTTTTGAGCTGGGGTCCAATTTCTGGGCTCAAGTAATCCTCCCACCTCAGCCTAAGTAGTTGGAATTACAGGCATGTGCCACAGTACTCGACTGAAATACACACAAACTCCTGTTAAGCTATCCCTTCTTCCTTATGCAGTTTTTCTTCCGTAAAAATATGCTAATTGAGAAGTTTATAAACTAAAGAATAAAAGTTCTGTTATCCTTTTCTTCCCAAATCCCGCTTTTCTTTTGGGGTGCATCCTCACACGTTTTCCATATTTATCCGTGTGTTCCCAGAAGAAAAAAGAAGATGAATTGGATGGGAAAAGGAGAAAAGAGGGTGTGAACCTGGTGATCCCATTTGTTCCCTCGGCTGATAACTCCAACCTCTCTGCTGACGGAGATGACTCCTTCATTAGCGTGGACTCAGCCATGCCAAGCCCTTTCAGTGAGGTGAGGCTCCTTTTAGATGCCTGCATCACAGCCGTAAGGAGTGTCCTGACCGTGTAGCAGGGACACACTGCTGGGCAGTCTTTGCTTCTCCTGGAGTTCTCCAGCCTTGTTGAAGTAGGTTGCACATGAGGTCTGTAAGGAGAAAAACAAATGAGGACAGGTTGGTTTCTCAGAAGCCAAAGCAGCCTCAACTGTGAAGCATGTTCCTAGCTGGGTGCAAGGCCATGGGCGGTGAGCACAGGGGGTCGTAATGATCTTAACCCTTCCTCTTCTAGATCTCCATCAGCAGTGAGCTGCACACTGGCTCCATTCCCCTGGACGAGAGCAGCAGTGACATGCTGGTCATTGTGGATGACCCAGCCTCCTCAGCCCCTCAGTCTCGAGCTACCAACTCTCCCGCATCCATAACAGGCTCCGTCTCAGATACCGTGAATGGTAATTGCTGCTGTCTTGTACAGCTTGGGCCTGGTCCACTGCCCAGCACTGGTTTGGTTGTGGGTAAGGTCCTGATTCCTTCTAGGATAATGGTATTTTTATTCTTTCAATAGCTTTGTCAAGTGAAATGAGAAAACGAGGTTTAGGGAAAGCAAAATAAGTAACTTTATAAAGATTTAAAACTTTTCTAGTCATCCCCGACTTTCAGATTCACCATTATTTTTGCTGATTTTTAATTAATGTTAGCTTTTCTGGGCCTTTCCTCACTTTGCTGTGTGGGGTCTAGTGTTGCTGCCATTTCTTGGGGAGCTCTGGGTTCAAAACTCGAGGGTAAAATTTGACTCTCCAAGGCAAGAGCACATTAGAGTGTGCAGATGAGTCCCAGGTAGCAAGTCGCTTCCCTTTGTAATGGACAAATTTAAAGAGGAAACTCAGGAGTAATGTAACTGCTCTTCAGAATGAAAAGCAGCTTGAGGAGTTAGGATGTTTTCATTGTTTAGAATTCTTAGTATTCTGTGTGACTCAGTGGTCTAGCCATCATTAAGTGGAGACATAGACCTCCTCATGGGTCCTAAAACAAATGCCCTAAGAGCTCGCTTTCCCTGTCAGGAGAAGGTGATGTTAACATCTTGGAGATTGACTTTTTTTTTTTTTCTTTCCCTTTTGGCCCATTTGTTCCCACAGGAATTTCCATTCAGGAAATGCCAGCTGCAGGACGTGGTCACTCAGCCCGAAGCCGAGGCCGCCCCAAAGGTTCAGGAAGCACAGCCAAAGGAGCAGGGAAGGGCCGGAGCCGAAAGTCCACGGCAGGCAGTGCTGCTGCAATGGCAGGAGCCAAAGCCGGGGCTGCAGCGGCCTCTGCAGCTGCCTATGCCGCATACGGGTACAACGTGTCTAAAGGTACAGAAGCCCAGGGTGGCTGCAGACTTTGTTCTGGTCAGAGACAGTCTAGAAATTCTGTCAGTCAGGTAGAACATGTAGGAAACCCTGAAGCCGGGAGCTTTCTTCCTAGAGCCCCAATTGGGGTTCTTCTTCTTTGTAATAAGCACTGTTGACTCACCCCTTGCCCTCCTGACGGTACAGGGCTGTCTGTGGATTGGAAGTAGTTGTAAAAAGGGAGAGCTGAATTGTGAACTGTACTACTTTAAACATTCTGAATTTTTCTTGCTTTGGGGATTTGTTTTCTTCCTAGGCTTTCATTTCTGAGATCCACATTTTAGTAATCCAAATTAGCATAGTTAACGTTCATTCAGCTGTGTGATTTATCACCTAGATATGAGGCACCTGCTGCATGCATAGGCGTATACCACATGGGCCAGGCACAGTGGCTCACACCTGTAATCCCAACACTTTGGGAGACTGAGGCAGGCAGATCACTTGAGGCCAGGAGTTCGAGACCAGCCTGGCCAACATGAGGAAACCCTGTCTCTACCAAAAAACACAAAAAATTAGATGGGCGTGGTGGCTCACGCCTGTAGTCCCAGCTACTTGGGAGGCTGAGGCACGAGAATTGACTGAACCCTGGAGGTGGAGGTTTCAGTGCACTGAGATCAGGTCACTGCACTCCAGCATGGGTGACAGAGCAAGACTCTCTCAAAAACTAAAAAACGTAAAAAGGAGTATTCCACATGGACCTTGCTCCTGAGTGTATAATAGCAATGAGAAGGGGAAGCCATGCATGCAGTACTCTTAACAGCAATCCACGGCAAAATACAGGGGAATGAAAAGAAGGCAGCCACAGCAGTTGTAGGTCAGGAGGAGAGGGAACCATGGTCCTGCTGATAAGTTGCCTGTCTGTATTCAAAAGGGAGGAGAAGAATGAGGAAGGATTTGGACTGGTGACAGAGAGCTGGCAGTGGCCAAGGCATACTGGGGGTCACTGAGCAGCTTAGGTTCCATGGAAGAGGAGCAGTAGGAGTCAAGGTTGTAAACACATGGCGAGGCCTGCTGGGCAGGAGCTTAGCAGATGTGTGACAAGGGGCTGCAGACAGTTTGAGGAAAAAAGTGGCTGTTGTGACCGTGATATGTGAAGGATGATTGTAGCTATAAAGTACAGGACATTTGAGTGTGGTGAGAAAGAGAGAGCCACTTACAGACCTTTCTTCCCATTCAATACGTGGGCTTAGTATGAGCTCATAGTTGTAGCAAGTAAAGGCATACTAGTATAGAAAGTGCTTGGAGTGTAGTAATTGCTCAGTAATTGTTAGTTTACTTGCCTTTTCTCTTACTGCAGAAATCTCAGCTTTCATTTATTGGTTCTTCCAGGAAATATGAAGTATGATAGAGGAAATATGAAGTATAATAGCCTCGCCCAGTGTTTCTTAGCCCTTTGCCAACTTACCACATCCTTGGAAAACAACAGTCATGCCAGTAGTCCAGGCTGCCGTGGCAGGGTCTCACCCATGGCTGGGGCATTGCATATACTCATCAGGGTTTCTCCTCAGAACCTGCACTGTGTAGAGGGCAGAAAGGGTGAGGGAGATAGAGGGGGTAGAGCAGCACAAGAAAAACCAACAGTGCTTGGCAACTGGAAATGGAAATCAAGGGAAAGGAGTGGTTCAGAGAGTACCCGTGGTTCCACTGTGGATGAGGAGAGAGACATGTCTGCCCATCAAGCACTTAGAATTCTTTTTTGGAAAGTAAAACCAGTACATATGAAACAATTGAAGAATCAATGTGTTATCACATGTAAGTGGATTTGGCTTATGTAGGAAAAAGGGAAGTTCACTGTTGCCCAGGGAGTCATCACTCAAGATGGGGGATTTGAGCTGTGCCCTTGAAGTGACACAGGCCTTGGAGAGCAGGGGTGGCCATTGCCAGCGCAAGGAGAACTGTATGAATATAGACACAGGATAGAGAGTGGGCAGCCTTGTACCCTCTGGCCCGACTTACTGGAGAGTAGCAGGAGCATGAAATTGAAAAGGAAACATCTTATCAAACTTGATGTTCCAAGAAAGAAGAAAGGAAAAACCTGTTTGTGCCTAGTAAGTTACAGCTCTCATCCTGTAACTTTGGTGTCTCAGATTGTAAAATGTGTGCTCTATCTAGAGTGTCAAGATGAACATTTTACCATCTGTGGATGAAGTAGTATAGAGAGGGTTGGGTAGGTATCATTTTCTCTTAAAAATCTATTCCTCTTACTGAAAAGACAGTTGACAGGAAGAGCAAGCAAACATGCCAAGAAGTTGTTAGCAAGGAGTGGCAGGGAGGAATTGCCCACCACTTCTCCTCCAGCTCAGACTCTGGTAACCAAGGCCACAGGCTCCAAGGAAGCTTACGCGGGACTGGTGCTTACGTTCTTGTCTCTCTCCGTCCCCACAGGAATCTCCGCCAGCAGTCCTCTGCAGACATCCCTTGTTCGGCCTGCTGGCCTTGCTGACTTTGGACCTTCAAGCGCCTCTTCTCCTTTGAGTTCCCCTTTGAGCAAGGGAAATAATGTTCCTGGGAATCCCAAGAACCTCCACATGACCAGCAGCCTAGCCCCAGACTCTCTGGTCCGGAAACAGGGCAAAGGCACCAACCCCTCTGGAGGACGGTAACCATCTGGGCCCTCCGACTTCCTTCAACCAAACCAGGGCTAGAGTCCTGACCTGCCAGTGGTCTTTGGATGGCTTGCCCCGTGCAGCATCTTGCATCCTGAGTCAGAAGTGGAAATGTCCAGCAGGGGAAGGACAGGCAGGTGGATGGTGTGAGCACTTTTATCATCTGTGTCTCATCAGGAGCATCTGGGGTGCCTGTAGGAGGAAGGCCACAGGGCATGGATCAGCCCCACTGCATCTCAAGTGAACTGTATAGCCAAGTCTTAAACCTCTCACGGGGCAAGCCTGACACAGACCCCCTTTAGATGCTCAGGCATACTGTTTCCATCCCGATTCCACTCTTCGGCTCTGACACGTCCCTTGCAAAGTCTCCGCAGGTGCTGTGAAGAGCCTTCCATGGTAGAGATTTCTCTTAAGAGTGTGATTTCTCATAGGGCTAGTAAGGGAGATTGTATACCTGTTGTCCACAGTCTTCAGGCAGCTCCCCAGGTCTCTGAACCCCAGAGTGTCATCATTGGAGAGAGCAGTGACTGCGAGAGATGGTGGAGGCCGCTAAGCATGGTAGAGGCTAGAGGAAGTCTATCCACAGGCAGTTGTGTTCCCAGCAATTCCTCCCATCCTGCATGGTTCACACCAAGAGAACCTTCAGATCCTACCAGCAACCGTAGCACCTTCCACCCAGGGGACTCCCAGAAGCCAGTAGAGAGACCAGGAGCCACCTCAATCAGCAGGACAGCCTCACTGCCCCTCTTGCAGAGTCCCCTTTGCCCATCCTGAATGCACAGTCTCCCTGCTCATGCCCTTCAGTCCCCTGCTTGGCTGTATGCACTGTCTATATTGCACTGAGAGAGGAAGGGACAGCAGGAGTGAGGTGAAGAGGGCGGAGAGAGGGGGCAGGCTCGGCACCGGCCCTCCCAGCCCGGCCAGCCTGAGCTTGCTGCCCTCCAGTAGAGACAGAGGGGCAGTGTTTGCATGGGAGGTGTTTCTGCCTGTCCCTGCCTGATGTCCCTGGTGGAGCAGGTACCTCCGGGCGGGCAAGCCTCTGATTTGCACACCTGAAAATCGCGGAATTGAGTTTCGATAGATTGATTTTTAAAACTTTTTTGGAGTAGGGGGTATAGGGGAATCATTTAATTTAAATCATTAAGATTCCCCTGCTCAAACCCAGATTCCTGTGTACAGATGCTATTTAGAGGGAATCAGAAAAATGCCAAGCCTTTTCTCTTTGAATGTGCTATTTTTATAACTGAACTTGTACATATGTATAAAGAGAGACACATCTTCCTTTTACTAACTGGATAAAAAAATCTTAAATAAAATGGAGTGAGATAATTTTATGTAAATTGAGGTGTCTGTGGTCTTTGCAGCTGCCCCTCCTTGGAGGCAAACTAGAGCCCTTGGTGGATGTGGCAGGATACAGGGAAAGCAGAGCCCTCGCCTGTGATCAGAGAGGACAGGGGTTGGTGGGACAAGGAGTGGACTGTGGGTGTTTCCTTAGTAGCAGAATTGATTGGGCTTATGAATTTGCCTCTGGCCATCAGAAAGGAAGCTTGACCAACTGTCTGACATGCAGTGGTCAACGCCCTTGTCTCCATGGTGGGCTCTTTATGACTCAGGACTTAGACCCCAGGACTGAGGTGTGGGCGGCTTGGCCTAGGCGCCATTAAGCAGAGCTACATAGTGGTCATCTTAATAGTGGCAGTGTTCTCAAAGTTAGCTGCACTCTTAAGAATCATGAAAGAAAATGGTGAAATACATTCCTAAGGATGCCAGAGACATCCAGGCTGTGAAAACTTACCTTGGTGATAGTTGGGAAAAGAGCCCTAGTTCCCAGCCTGGCCTGGCAGCCAGCGTTTCTCTGACTGGGTGAAACACTGATAAGCTCTTGTATCACTTTTGGGTAGGGCTCATGTGGTTCCCAAGTATGCTGGCTGTGTGGCCTCCCTAGCCTTGCTCACCCTGCACGCTGTTGGTCAGGGTGGGCTGGCTCCTGGGCAGCTGATGCCCACCACAGTCACAAGGATCAGCCTTTCTTCATTGACATCAAGTACATTACTAGATACTCTGGATCTTGTTTATCTTGCTGGTGAACTTGACCAAGGCCTCACACAGAATAAACCAACATCAGAACTAAGCAGCTCTGCCTTTACATGCTATGTAAAGATTTTTCATAAGAAAAGATAGTAATTTGAAACCTGAATTGTCCCTTAAGGCAACGCTTCTCCAGTGTTAATGTGCACACAAATCACCTTGAGATCATAACATGCAAGTTCTGTTTCTGAAGGTCTAGGTTGAGGCTTGAGACTGAGTTTCTTGAGAAGATCCCAGGTGATGGCCATGCTGCTTGCTAGTCCTTGGACTACCCCTGGAATAACAAGGCCCTAGGGTGCCTTCCAGCCCTGCCAAGCAGGAAAAATCTCTGCTCTTTGCTTATATGCCCGCACCCCAGCCAGGAAGCCCGGTGCAGGAAATACTTTATTTTTCCTCTTACCCAGCTTAATACACCTGATGACAGAAAATGAAATCCTAGCATTTCTAGAGAAATTCAATCCCTTATATGTTTTCTCCATTTTTGTTTTGTTTTTTCATTTTTAAACTAACTGTTCATCATTTTCTCCATCACTTCCTGGGTAGCACCTCTGTTGGGCATGTTAGGTATGAGAGAAGGCCTCAGATTTGCTACTGTCCCTCTCCTGTGTGGCCTCCACCAAGATGCAATATGTCATGAAGAGTCTGTGACCCCTGGACTCAGTGTTTCCTGTGCCTGTGTCCTTTTATTGTGACCACCAGACTCCTGGATCAGTCATCTTTCTCAACTAATTCCTAAGCCCCTCTCAGGGGGCATGGAGACCGTTTGGCTGCTCTCCCACGCTTCTCTGAGACTACCAGAGAGTCGCGAAACCCCCAACTGGGGAGGCAGCGTGTTGACCATGGGTGCCCAGTTCAGCCAGCCTCATGGTGCACATTCAGACCACTTAGATGGTGGGGTAGGGAGAAGGCAGGTTGTGTTCTAGAGAAAGCAGAGACGTCCGGTTGTCACGAAATTGTGTGTCCAAGTACTAAGGCGGCCCACTGCCTCATCAAAGGACCCTGAGGAAGCTGGGTGCCTCCCTTATCTGGCCTCTTCCTGCGCCCTCATTTCTTTCTTGCTTCAGGTCCTGGGACTTAGCTGGCTTCCCTTTCCTCTTCAAAACTGCCACCACCCACTCTCTCGCTCCAGTTTCTCCCCCAACCCCCACCCCCGTGGCAAGCTGCTGGGGGATGGACTCCTGGTTCTCTCCTAGCTGCTGCCAGAAGTGAGCATCATGCTTTTCTTTTTTTTAAATTAAGGATTTTCTTGCTCATCACAACAAGGACACCAGGCAAAAACAATACTGTATACAGAGAATTACAAAGCTTGAGATACTTCACAGTCCTCACAGAATCCCTGCCTACAGTTCCTGGCACCTTTGGTGAGAAACAAGGATTCCTGAGGGAGAGGCTCCTGGACTCTTACCTCCTTCCTAGAGAGCTGAGTTCTTTCTTCCAGAAAGGCATATGGAATGTGCATCTGTGAGTGCCCACAAGGCCTCTGCTCTCCTGCCACTTGGGATTTCATTGTTCTGGCACACAAATCTCAAAGATAAATATGTGGCCCAAGGATTGGGGAGGCCCCTCTGGGTCTGACTTGGCAACAGCCTCAGGGGAAGAAGGAAGGGGGCACAGAGGTTCAAAGTTGGAGGTGGTGGGGAGTTTTCTAAGTTTGCTCAGCTGATGCCCCCCTAAAGCAGCTCTGGGAGAGAATGCCCGGCCTCAGCTCAGAATGTTCCACCCTCCTACCACCCCCCCAGCACATCACCACAAACCCCACCCTGAACTAGAGGCCCACCCCCCAAGCTGTTCCTGGCTGCCAGAGAAGAAAGGAGCTCCCCTCCCATTTCCCAGATGAGAGGTCCCAGAAGACCTATGCTGCTCCATGCCTTGCACCCTTGAAGAGATGGTGCCAGTTACCTGGGGATGTCTGAGCAGAGTGGTGGGGAGAGTTCAGGTCCAATGGATTGTCAGTGCAGTTCAGCTTCAGCAGTCTTAGTTTGCCTTCGGCCCGGTGGAATTGGGAAGAGCAGCATAAACTCTTACCTAGAATTTTTCTGAATAGCTAAGTCTTTCAGAGGGCTAACATTTTAACCCGGTATTCTAAGCACCAGAATTTGGCTTGGTTAGAACTCTCTTTTAAGGATACTGTGTCACTGCATGGCTAAACAGAACATACCGAACATACCTTAACCTTTCCTAAGGGCTTGGGGTCATGTGGGCATCTGGTGCTCTCAGGCCCACTGGGACGTACTACTGTTTCCCCTGGATTAAATCATGCCAACAGCTACACTGCCACAAATTGTCTGTGAGACAGGATTTTGCTCTGTCACCCAGGCTGGAGTGCAATGGTGCAATAACAGCTCACTGCAGCCTCGACCTCCCAGGTTCAAGCAATCCTCCCTGATCAGCCTCTACCATAGTGCTGGGGTTCCAGCCACAGTTCTTAAGCTCTGAATAGTACCAGTGCCAGTGCCAGCTGCCTCAGTGTTTTTGTATTTATATGATGAGATAGCTGCTCCTCTTAAAAAATAAAATCTGGGCTGGGCGCGGTGGCTCACGCCTGTAATCCCAGCACTTTGGGATGCCAGGGCGGGTGGATCACAAGGTCAGGAGATTGAGACCATCCTGGCTAACAGGGTAAAACCCTGTCTCTACTAAAAATACAAAAAATTAGCTGGGCGTGGTGGTGGGCGCCTGTAGTCCCAGCTACTCAGGAGGCTGAGGCAGGAGAATGGCATGAACCCGGGAGGCAGAGCTTGCAGTGAGCTGAGATTGCGCCACTGCACTCCAGCCTGGGCGACAGAGCAAGACTCCGTCTCAAAAAAAATAAAAATAAAATCTTTTTTTCCCCCAAACACTGATCTTAACACCCCTTCTTCTAATGTACCTTTTCTAAATTGTTGGGGGCTTGGAAATCATTTAACTAACTCAGAACTTCTGAGCTAACAAAAAGAACTTCAGAGGAGGATTGTAGGATGTCCTAGGAATTAAGTGACTGAGCTTCAGTGCATGCTTTCCACGGATGCCTGTGGCCCTCTGCTGGGCCGCAGTACCACAGTTCTGGTTAAGTAAAGTAACATGTTCTAGATAAGGGTGTTCCGGTTTGAACCAGTTCAATAAAGTTTGTTGATTTTACTCCTTTTTTTCATTC
This sequence comes from Homo sapiens, assembly GCF_000001405.40. Taxonomy (NCBI): domain Eukaryota; kingdom Metazoa; phylum Chordata; class Mammalia; order Primates; family Hominidae; genus Homo; species Homo sapiens. The sequence goes on along the minus strand of NC_000015.10, from coordinate 40,974,998 downwards.
TTTGAAAAAAAAAAAAAGTATAGATCACCTTGCACATCTAGGAAAAGTTCTGCCAAGGGGTCTAGGTAGTAGACTGGTGCATGCTCCCTCTCGGACTCCATCTGCAGGCAGAGTAAGTCAGTATAGTCCATCACCGGATTTTAGTAGGAGCAGTGAAAATGAAATGGGCAAGCTCAAAAGCCAGTGTCTTTGCACTTCATCTCCACTACCCATGCCTCATCTTTATTGGACTAGGCTGGTCATCCCTAGGGAGTAATTTGGACTAGGCTGGTCATCCCTAGGGAGTAATTGCAGTGTCTGTCCACTGGTTGGGCCATAAGCCCTCTGACCAATTAATATCATTGTTCATATTGGTTAGGGTAACACATGATGCTGTAACAGACCCCAAAATGCTTAAATATCTTATTTAATGGCTTAAATAAGATATAAATTCTTATCTCTCACATGTAAGAGTTTGAATTTGGATCTGCTCTACACGAACATTGAAGGTCCCACATTCTTTCCATCTTGTTTCTCTGCTGTTTTGATGCTTTTGTCCTCATCAGCATGGTCATTACTGGTTTATAGAAATGTCCTATGGGGCCGGACACAGTGGCTCACACCTGTAATCCCAGCACTTTGGGAGGCTGAGGCAGGCGGATCACTTGAGGTCAGGAGTTCGAGACCAGCCTTGCCAACATGGTGAAACCCCATCTCTACTAAAAATACAAAAATTAGATGGGCATGGTGGCGGGCACCTGTAATCCCACCTACTCAGGAGGCTGAGGCAGGAGAATCAGTTGAATGCAGAAAGCGGAAGTTGCAGTGAGCCAAGATTGTGCCACTGTACTCCAGCCTGGGCAACAGAGCAAGACTCCATCTCAAAAAAAAAAAAAAGAAAATGAAATGTTCTATGGGAGGGGAAGACTGGGGAGGGGATCCACCTACTGTATTGCCTTAAGACTTAGACCCTTAAGTGGCTCACACACTATCAGAGAGAACTTTAGACCTAAGAACCTATCTAACTCCAAAGGAGGCTGCCATGTAATTAGGGAAGAAGAGAACAGATTTGAATGGACAGCTAATAGTCCGGACACAACACTCCAATGGAAAGTGGGCTAAAACACTATAGATTTATTTTTTAAAGCACTTTGTGCCAAGCACTGTACATAAATAGAAAATATACACACATGCAAATGGGTAATAGCCATGGGAAATGTTCAGCCATATTAGGGCTCTACAGAGAGACAACCAATAGGATATAGATATATGAGAGGGGACATACTGGGGGAATAGGCTCACATGATTATAGAGACTGGAAAGTCCCACGATAGGTGGTGTGCAAGATGGAGAACCAGGGAAGCTGGCAGCATGGTTCATCCAAGTCTGAAAGCCTTAGAACCAGGGAAGCCAGTGCTGTAACTCTCAGTCTGAACCTGAAGACCTGAAAGCCTAGGGAGCCTCTGGTGCAAGTCCCAGAGTCCAAATCCCAGAGAACCCGGAGCCCTGATGTCCAGCGGCAGGAGAAGGAGGGTGTCCCCACTTTAGAAAAGAGGGAATTTGCCTTTCCTCTGCCTTTTTGTTCTACGTGGGCCCCATACTATAATCCAGTCAAGTTGACACCTAAAATTAACCATCACATCAACCTCATTAATAAATGCAAAATAAAACAAGGAGATTCCTAGCATTTCCTGTCATACTGGGTGAAATTTGTTTTCACATAATTGCTAAAGTTGGCTAAGCTATAATAAATGAAACATTGTAGCTTAATCTTCAAGAGTCGTGTGTGTGTGTGTGTGTGTGTGTGTGCCCTCTGCATATGTGGCATGAAGCATGGCTCTAGACTGGGGGCCACCCTCTGCGCCTTGGAAGAGGTGGTCCTAGGGCTGTCCCTTTACCTCCAGTGACACCTGCCCCTAGTGGGCCTCATCCAACATCCAGACCTCAAAGTTGACCTCAAGGAGAATGATCTGGACCACCACAACCCCAGCTTTATTGCCAATGAACCCCTCAATGATCGGCACGGTGGGGGCTGAGGGCCAGGAGCAATGAGCACCTGGCTGGCTGGACCACACCTGCAGAGATCAATGAGTGAGGCCCAGCCTGGACAAGTATCTGCGAGTAAGTTAGAGGTGGCTATGGAAAACGTTCCAAAACTATCAAACATTTTATACCCATGTACTAAAACACAGGACTACATTTTCTTCCTATTATTTTTATAGAAAGTGATATTGCAATATCATTATCACTCAAAAAGGCAAAGAATGTGTGTAGCTCTTCACAAAAAAATAAGTGATGAGGATATAGAGAAATTGGAGTCATTCATTGCTGGCGGGGACATAAAATAGTGCAGGTACTTTGGAAACAGTTTGGCAATTGCTCAAAAAGTTAAACATATAGTTACTAAGATTTTGTCTACTTGGCTGAGCCACACAATGTGCAGATATTTGGTCAAACATTCTGGGTGTGTCTGTGAGCATGTTCTTGGACAAGATTAACATTTACATCTGTGGGCCGAGTGAAGTGGATTGCCCTCCCTAATGTGGGCAGGCCTCATCCAATCAGTTGAAGGCCTGAATAGAACAAAAAGCCTGCCCTTCCCTCCCCTAGTGAGAGAGAACTCCTCCTACATGACTGAGATGATGGCTTCTTCCTGCCTTCAGACTTGCACTGAAACATTGGCTCTTTCTGGATTTCAAGCCTGCTGGCGTCTGGACTAGAACTGCACCCATCAGCTCTCCTGAATCTCCAGCTTGCTCATTATAAGAAATCTCTGCTTCATAATCTACATCCTATTGGTTTTGTTTCTCTAGAGAACTTTTATTAAGATAGTTTGTCATGTGACCCACGAATTCCATTCCTAGGTACATACCCAGGAGAAATAGAAATGAAAAAACATCCACACATAAACCTGTACACAGGCCGGGCACGGTGGCTCATGCCTGTAATCCCAGCACTTTGGGAGGCTGAGGTGGGTGGATCATCTAAGGTCAGGAGTTTGAGACCAGCCTGGTCAACATGGTGAAACCCTGTCTGCACTAAAAACGCAAAAATTAGCCAGGCATGGTGGTGGATACCTATAATTCCCAACTACTCGGGAGGCTGAGGCAGGAGAATCGCTTGAACCCAGGAGGCAGAGGGTGCACTGAGCTGAGATCGCACCACTGCACACCAGCCTGGGTGACAGAGCAAGACTCTGTATCAAAAAAAAAAAGAAAAAGAAACCTATAACACAAATGTTCAGAGCAGGATTATTCACAACAGTTAAAAAAATAGAAACAACTGAACATCCATTAACTGATGAATGGATAAAATGTGATATGTCCATACAATGCAATACTATTTAGCAATAGAAAGGAATGAACTTGATATATGCTACGACGTGAATGAAACTTGAAAACAATTTCTGCCAGATCTCAGAAAAAAAAAATGAAAGAATTCACACAAACGACCATTGTATGATTATGAAATGTCCAGAACAGGAAAATCTATAGAAACGGAAAATATATTCATGGTTACCTAGGGATGAGGGGACTGAGTGGTATGAGAGCTAAGGGGAATAGGGTTTCTTTTTGGTCTGATGAAAGAAAATGTCCTAAAAATGATAGTGATGAAAGCTGCATAGTTCTGTGAATATATAGTAAAAGCCATTGAATTGTACACTTTAATGGGTAATTTGTATGGTAGGGTAATTTCATTTCAATAAAGTTGCTAAGAAAAAGAAAATGCAGCCAGAAATGTAGTGAAAAAGTAGGTTGAACAACATGGAATTGCTCTCTCACCATATGACTATTTTTACTTACAAATGTGGCAGTTTCAAATGTTTCAACCTATTGGTAATTAAAACCAATGATGTTAAGATTTTTTAGGCTTTTTTTTTTTTTTTTTTTTTTTTTTGGAGACAGGGTCTTGCTGTGTCACCCAGGCTGTAGTGCAGTGGTGTGATCAGGGCTCACTGCACCCTTGACTTTCAGGGTTCAAGTGATCCTCCTACCTCAGCCCCTCAAGCAGCTGGGACTACAGGTGTGCACCACTATGCCCAGCTAATTTTTTTTTTTTAACTTTGGTAGAGACAGGGTCTCACTATGTTGTCCAGGCTGGTCAACTCCTGAGCTCAAGCAATCATCCCACCTCGCCCTCCCAAAGTACTGAGATTACAGGCATGAGCCACCATATGCCTGGCCAAGGTATCTTTAAATTTTCTATTATTCTAAATACTCACTTTTGTACTTAATTCACTTTTGTACTTTTGTACTTAATTTCTTTATTCTTTTTCTTAAAGAAGGCTTCCGCAAATTGCATGAGTTTTAGGCCTCAAACACCCAGATCCCAGGGTGGGAATGTGAAGAGACAGAACCTTTTATAGGACAATTTCACAATGTGTATTAAGAATTTTTAGGCCGGCCAGGCGCAGTGGCTCACGCTGGTAATCCCAGCACTTTGGGAGGCCGAGGCGGGCGGATCACAAGGTCAGGAGATAGAGACCATCCTCGCTAACACGGTGAAACCCCGTCTCTACTAAAAATACGAAAAATTAGCCAGGCGTGGCAGCGTGTGCCTGTAGCCCGCTACTCGGGAGGCTGAGGCAGGAGAATTGCTTGAACCGGAAGGCGGAGGTTGCAGTGAGCCGATATTGGGCCACTGGACTCCAGCCTGGGCATCAGAGCGAGACTCCATCTCAAAAGAAAAAAAAAAAAAAAATTTATGCCGGACGCAGTGGCTCACGCCTGTAATCCCAGCACTTTGGGAGGCCGAGGCGGGTGGATCACCTGAGGTCGAGAGTTAAGACCAGCCTGACCAACATGGAGAAACTCCATCTCTACTAAAAATACAAAATTAGCCAGGCGTGGTGACGCATGCCTGTAATCCCAGCTACTCAAGAGGCTGAGGCAGGAGAATCTCTTGAACCCGGGAGGCGGAGGTTGCGGTGAGCAGCGATCGCGCCATTGCACTCCAGCCTGGGCAACGAGAGAAACTCCATCTCAAAAAAAAAAAAAAATTTTTAAAACATCCCTGCTGTTGTTCCAGCCATTCTATTTTCAGGGATCCCTACACAAGGGTGCCAGAGGGCAGGGCCTCTCAACTTTAATGTGAGAACTGTCTCCTGGGACTCTTATTAAAAATGCAGACTGATCTGCTAGGTCTGGGAGTCATATCCAGTAAGCTCCCAGGTGATGTGGAGGCTGCTGGTCTACAGGCCCTCTCTGAGTAGCCAGAGGATGTTCTTTGGTTATCTCCTCAAAATTTCCCCCCACCCCCGACATCACGCAACAGCCACCCTTACGTCTTGCCACAGTTGCCCGCTCAAGGACAGACAGGGAACCCAGACCCAAGGCAGTCAGGGCTAGCTTCCCTCCCTCATCCCTAACCTTTCATCAGGTGGCCCAGTCAGAGCAAAACAGGCCACTCCCATGGTCATGAACAGAAAAGTTTATCACCCAAGGGCTGCAGAGGAGCCAGCCTGAGGGCACCACTGCCAACAGAGAAGGGCAAACTCCAGGGAAATGGAGCAGGATCCCTGACTGAGCCTTACCCAAAGCTCCCTTCCTCTTAACTGTTGGGTTTCACCACTGACTCCTGTTTGCTTCATGCTTGTTTGAACTCGGTTTTCCGTTACATGCAACTTGGACGAAAAGTCCGTGACAGCATAATTGAACCTAGCAAAAAATTGAGACAACCCAAAAGCCTCACAACATAGGACTGGTGAAATAAATGTTTGCATATCTATATGATAGAATGATTAGGTGGTCATTAAAAATCATTCTCAAGAATATTTGGTATCATGGGAAAATGCTCAGAATATACTCTTAGGAGAAAAGTAGGGCACAAAGAGGGAGCACTAGAAGGAAGTCAGCTTTCCTAGATGGTGGAATTATGAATGATTTCTAAGTTCTTTTATGTCATTTTATTTCTGTATTTCTAGCATATCCTACTTCTCATATTCCTTTCTATTTCTAGTACATATGAACAGCCTATTCCAGAATACCCTTTATCTCATTTTTAAATTTCTCCAAGCATAATGGATACCTCTTATCGTGATACAATCTACAGCTCAAGTGTTGTCTTTTGAGACAGGGATGTCACTCTGTCACCCAGGCTGAAGTGCAGTGACATGATCACGACTCACTGTAACCTTGACCTCCCAGGCTCAAGAGATCCTCCTACCTGAGCCTCTTGAGTAGCTGGAACTACAAGGGTGCGACATCATACCTGGCTAATTTAAAAAAAAAAAAAAAAACGTAGAGATGGGATCTGTGTTGCCCAGGCTGATCTTGAACTTGTGAGCTCAAGCCATCCTCCTGCCTCAGCCTCTCAAAGTGCTGGAACTACAGGTGTGAGCCACTGTGCCCGGCCCAGCTCAAGTGTTCTTTTAAAAACCTGTCACTGAGCCAGGCACAGTGGCTTTTCCCTGTAATCCTAGATACTTGGGGGGCTGAGGTGGAAGCATTGCTTGAGGCCAGGAGTTCAGGACCAGCCTGGACAACAATAGCAAGACCCGGCATGTAAACAAACAAAAAACACTTCTGTCACTGTTCTTCCAAGTCCTTAGTGGTTTCCTGCTGGGCTCAACAAAGGCTGCAGAACTAATGGGATCCTCAGGCCTTGCAACTTTAGCCTGCGACCCTGCTATCTAACATTTTTTTTTCTCTTGGAATGTGCCAGGCTCAGTGCTCCCTCAGGGATGTGATGCACATGGTTCAATTTTTAAATTTTTTTTTCTTGAGACAGGGTTTCACTCTGTCGCCTAGGCTGGAGTACAGCGGCATGATCTTGGCTCGCTGCAGCCTCAATCTCCCAGGCTCAAGTGATCCTCCCACCTCAGACTTCTGAGTAACTGAGACTATAGGTGCCTTCCACCATGCCCAGCTGATTTTTTTTTTTTTTTTTTTTTTTTTTTTTAAGAGACAGGGTTTTGCCATGTTGCCCAGGCTGGTCCTTGAACTCCTGGACTCAAGTGATCCTCCTACCTCTGCCTCCCAAAGTACGTGAATTATAGGTGTGAGCCACCATGCCTGATTTTTAAATTCTTTATAACATTCTGTATTTTCCAAATTTGCTACTTGATCATGTGCTATTTTATAATCAGTGCTATTAAGAGAAAGTTTATATTTTTAGGGAAAATTAAGAAAACTCAAAAACAAGAAATGACTTCAATCAGAACTTTTTAAAAAATTTTTTTTTGTAAAGCTAAGGTCTCACTGTATTGCTCAAACTGGTCTCAAACTCACGGGCTCAAGTGATCCTCCTATCTTGGCCTCCCAAAGTGCTGGGATTACAGGAGTGAGACACCAGTTAAAACTTTCTTATAGTGTGTCTCCCTATTTCAATTCAGTTCATGTGATAAAATAACATGGCCAGGCACGGCGGCTCATGCCTGTAACCCCAGCACTTTGGGAGGCTGAGGTAGGCTGATCACTGGAGGTGAGGAGTTCCAGAACAGCCTGCCCAACATGGTGAAATCCCGTCTCTACTAAAAATACAAAAAAATTAGCCGGGCATGGCGGCAGCACCTGTAATCCCAGGTACACAGGAGGCTGAGGCAGAAGAATAGCTTGAACCTGGGAGGCAGAGGTTGCAGTAAGCTGAGATCATGCCACTGCACTCCAGCCTGGGCCAGAGAGCAAGACTCCATCTCAAAAAATAATATAACACTAAACAAAGATAACATGGTAACCCCCGCTACCCCTGAATGTTTGCAAGGAGACTTTGGAGAAGCTGTACTTCAGACTAAGGAATGACTCCAAAGGCTGCAATTTAAGGCGCCATGGGGAAATATTTTAAAGCAGGTATGTCTTTGTTATGCCTCAGATGCTGAGCTTTGATAATCACTTGCACCGGTTTGTAAGGCTGATGTTTTGGTTTATCTGGGCATAGGACCAGCTTTTCTCTCGGTAGAGAAGGGAGCCCCTCTTCACCGCCCATCACCAAAGTGAGCACCTCTTTACCCTCTGAGTGTTATTTGTGGACCTTCTCTTTTTGGCATAAAAGCTTTTTGTCAGATCTATTTTTTTACTTCTCTACTTATGAATACATGATAAACTTGCACAGTTCAAAATTAAAAACATACAAAAGGGCATAAAAAGAAAGTCTCTCTCCCATCCCATCCCCTGGAGCCCGGTTCCCCTCCTGGGAGGCAAATTATGTTGACAGTTTAAGATTCCTTCCAGACACATTTACATGCTTTTTAAAAAACAGGATTACACTCACGTTATATGTCTAATTTTGTATGCTTTTTGTCCCACTTAACACTACAGTAATAACATTAATAGTTATGTAAAGAGATTAAAATGTTTCTTAACATTAGCAAATACTCTTCATAAACATTCATGACTGCAAATATGCCGTCCAAGGGAGATGAACCATTTTATTGTTTACTGCTGGACAAATAGTTTTCTCCTCTTAAATTCTCCGATTCTGTCCAAGATGAAACTATCTACATGAGTTCAACTAGAGACTGCAGTTTAGTTTAGACCCAGATCAGCCATTTGCTCCCTGGGGACACAGGGCTCTGGGGTCAGGAGGTGGCCCAGCGCCAAGCCAGAAGGATAAGCAGGTGGTCCCTGGTCTACATGGCCTGCAGGGGCTGGCTGTGTGGTCCAGGCCAGTAGAGCAGATATATTTAACTGGGTCAGATGCTGCTGACTGTGTCATGACCCAGGAGGATTGTGCTGTTGGTAAACAAACCAGAATGGCCTGGCTGCAGCCAGCCCTCCTTCCTCCGCCTGCTGACCCGCCAGGGGGTGTGAGAAGTGGAGGAGAGCATGACCAGGGAGACGGCTCAGACACAGGGGCCCCTGCAAGGCATCTCGCCCAGGAAGGATTGGGAAGTGGCCTTGTCTCACTGCCCTTAGTTGTTTTTTTCCTTATTTCCCTCCTGCCGCAGCCCGCGCGGCATTTCTGCTCCCTGCCTCCTCCCACACTTCCCTCTGTCCCTCCAACCCAGTCTACCTTATTTGCCCTGCTAAGTAAGTGCAGTTCATTCATTCATTCCATTCAACTCATTTAGCATTTATTTATTGAGCAAATAAATCTTTCAAGGGCCTAAGACAAGCCAGGCTTTGAGCTGGCCACCAAGAATACAACACTAGGCCAGGTGCAATGGTTCACACGCCTGTAATCCCAGCACTTTGGGAGGCTGAGGCAGGCGGATCACCTGAGGCCAGGAGTTTGAGATCAGCCTGGCCAACATGGTGAAACCCCGTCTCTACTAAAAATACAAAACACCTGGGCATGGTGGTGTGCACCTGTAATCCCAGCTACTTGGGAGGCTGAGGCAGGATCGCTTGAACCTGGGAGGCGGAGGTTGCAGTGAGCTGAGATTGTGTCACTGCACTCCAGCCTGCCTGGGCAACAGATAGAGACTCCATCTCAAAAAACAAACAAAAAAACAGGAACATGCCAGCTCCTGCCTTACTGGAGCTTAACTCTAGTGAGATGAGAAATCAGCCAATAACTAATTGGGTATTGGTGAAAAATAATACTATCAAGAGCAATAATAACCAGGCTGGGTGGGTGGCTCCTGCCTATAAATCCAGCATTTTGGAAGGCCAAGATGGGAGGATCATTTGAGCCCGGGGTTTTGAGAGCAGCCTAGGCAACCTATGGAGACCCTGTCGCCAAGTAATTAAGTAAATAAGAAAAACAACCACCACCACCAACATTCACATAGTGCCTTAGCGTATGGAGTGTTTTCACCTGAAAGCATACCTAATCCCAAGAATCTGAGAGGTAGCTAATGATTGTCAGTCCTGCTCTACAGGTGAGAAAATTGCAGCTTTGGGAGATTAAGTAACCTGGCCAAGGACTTACACCTGGTAAGTGGAGCCCCAGCTCTTGAACCCAGTTCCTCCGACTCCGAGCCCATATCCTTCGTGCAGAAAGATGAGCTACTGGAACTGGACGAGAAAAAGTTTCCGGTCCAGCTCTTCATTTTGCATTTGAGGAGACAGAGGTCCAGAGAGTGTAAAAATGCCTTGACTAAAACACACCGCTGAAAACAGACTGGAAGCTCCAGACTCCCAGCCCAGGACTCTTTCTTTGCATCTAAACAGTCCGATGCCCTGACCCAGGGGGCAAGCCCTGGTGCCTGCGGAGGTGTGGGATGGTCACGGTAGGTCAGTCTCCTCCCTGAGCTGCATCCCCAGCTAGCCCGCCCCGCTCTGCATAGTTCCTCTTCTGAGGTAACAGTCCAGAGCACCCCTCTGAGGTCCCCTCATCACTGCCTGCCTCCTGCTGGGTGAGAAGACTTTCAGTCAACCAACACGACGTAGGTACCTACTATGTGTACGCTCCGCTGGGATACATTAGGACCTTGGTCCCTGCCCTCTCGGGCTCACAGTCAGGATAAGGAGGAATCGACGAGAACATGATACAATAGAAGCTGCAAGAGAAACAACACGGGTGGCAGAGATGCATGGCAGGGCCCCAAAGCCAGATCTAGGTGGTCAGGGGTAGGGAAGCTTCAGGGAAGGCTTCTCAGAGAAGGTGACATCTCAGCTGAGCCCTGAAGCCTGAGTGACAAATTAGCTAGGCTAGAGCTGGTAGGGATGAGATTTTAGAATGAGGGAATGGAGGAGGGTTCGAGCTCCAAGGTGAGAGGGTCCCTGCCTGTGGCGGGGAAGCGGGGGGGGGGGTGGGTCCCAGGTTTCTGCCCCACCAGCTCCTATCAGTGCATACCACGTTGCTTGGGCTGCAGCTGGCCTGTGAGCAGGAACTGGGTCTCCCTCTGGAAACCCCCATAGGCGAGGGCCTGCTCCTATGGAAGGCATCCCACGTGGGCAGCTTGTCATCAGCTTTCACCACCCATGGGCTCCCCCGTCCTTCCTGCCAGAGCCCCTTCCCTTCTCCTGCCACCCTCTGCCTGGCATAGGACACGACTGGGCCCCATGAGTGGCTGTGCCTGGCTGGACGTGACTGGCTGGGGGAAAGCTGCAAGTGGGTACATTACTTACCTGAGTCCCCTTCCTACCCCAGTCACCAACACCATTAGGCTGTACCCAGGAAAGCCAAGCTCCTTTCCTGTGGGGACAGGGAGAGAGATGGCGGATGTGGGGGCGCCACTCCATGAAAGATGCACAAACGCCCCTCTAGCTTAGCACTGCAGGTGGGGGAACTAGCAAGAGGCAGCCCCTTCCCCTGGTATGCATTTAGGGCCCTGGCCTCTCACAGATCAAAGAAGAAAAAAAACCGATCCAAAATGGAGGGGGGGGGGGCCAGCAGCGTGGTCTGCGCTGCCGCAATCAGGCACCCACCAGGGGCGCCATGCCCGGCTGGTCTGCCCTTGCCCATGTGGCTTCCAGCCCCACATTCCTGTGCTTTGCACATAAACCTTCAGATTGAATAATAGCCTGGGGAGCCAAGCTGGCACTTACCCTTGAATATGATTAGGTTTTTATGGGGTCTTTCCCTCCAAGGTGACATACGACGTTACATTCAGGGAGTCATTGCCCATGGGAACATTTCCCACAGGTCCTCTGAGCTCCTCCTAGGGCCCCGGAACTGTGCTCCATGCTGGGGTAAACCGTTCCTGCCCTCGGGGGTGTTCCAGTTAGTAAGGACAGACCTGCAAGTAGATGAAGCCAATAACACCTGCTGGGCACAGAACAGATCTGGGCAGAAACGGCAGGGAGGGTACCAGGCGGCCATATGAAGCCAGGGCGTGTGCTGAGGGGTGTGAAAGGGTGGACAAGCTTGTTAGAGGAGCATCTCGGTCAGGATAGCAACAGGAGAAAAGGCTGTGATCACACGTAGCATGAGGCAGAAGGGGTCGCAGGTGGCTGGAGTCTGTGGAGAGTAGGGCCCACGTTGTCCATGTGGAGGGGGCTTAGCCAGACCTACATTTTACGTTATGTGGAAAATGAATATACAGAGCACAGAACGGGATGATAGATAGGTTTAGACATCATAACGCTAGCCCAGGAAAAGAGTAGGGTGAGGATGGTAGAAGTAGGGCAGGTACCGCACATCCTCGGGACAGGTGAGATGACAAGTTTTTAAGGTTGAGGATGGAGCTCAGCCCCAGGTTCCTGGCTCAGCTGGGAGGCGACTATCAGGGCTGGAGTGGGCTTCTGGGCATGGGCACCCCAGGGCTGACGCTTCCTGGGAAGCGGATGGTCCAAGTGTGTCCCGAATTGGTGGGTTCTTGGTCTCACTAACTTCAAGAATGAAGCCCCGGACCCTCACGGTGAGTGTTACAGCTTTTCAGGTGGCCCGTCTGGAGTCTGTCCCTCCTGATGTTCAGATGTATTCGGAGTTTTTTCCTTCTGGTGGGTTTGTGGTCTCCCTGGCTCAGGAGTGAAGCTGCAGACCTTCGCGGTGAGTGTTATAGCTCTATAAGGTAGCACTTCGGGAGTTGTTTGTTCTTTCCAGTGGGCTCGTGGTCTCAGGAGTGAAGCTGCAGATCTTCCCTGTGAATGTTACAGCTTATAGAAGCAGCGTAGACCCAAAAAGCGAGCTACAGTAGCAAGAGTTATTACATACAGCGAAAGAACAAAGTTTCCACAATCCGGAAGGGGACCCGAGCGAGTTACTAATGCAAGCTCGGGCAGCCTGCTTTTATTCTCTTATCTGGCCCCACCCACATCTTGCTGATTGGTAGAGCCGAGTGGCCTGTTTTGTCAGGGCGCTGATTGGTGCGTTTACAATCCCTGAGCTAGATACAAAGGTTCTCCACCTCCCCATCAGATTACTTAGATACAGAGTTTCCACACACAGGTTCTCCAAGGCCCCACTAGAGCAGCTAGATACAGAGTGTCAATTGGTGCATTCACAAACCTTGAGCTAAACACAGTGTGCTGATTGGTGTGTTTACAAACCTTGAGCTAGATACAGAGTGTAGATTGGTGCACTCACAAACCTTGAGCTAAACACAGAGTGCTGATTGGTGTATTTACAATCCCTGAGCTAGACATAAAGACTCTCCACGTCCCCACGACTCAGGAGCCCAGCTGGCTTCACCTAGTGGATCCCGCACCGGGGCTGCAGGTGGAGCTGCCTGCCAGTCCCGGTGCCGTGCGCCCGCACTCCTCAGCCCTTGGATGGTCGATGGGACTGGGCGCCGTGGAGCAGGGGGCGGCGCTCGTCGGGGAGGCTCGGGCTGCACAGGAACCCACGGAGTGGGTGGGAGGCTGAGGCATGGCGGGCTGCAGGTCCCGAGCCCTGCCCCGCGGGAAGAGAGCTAAGGCTCGGTGAGAAATAGAGCACAGCGCTGGTGGGCTGGCACTGCTGGGGGACCCAGTACACCCTCCGCAGCTGCTGGCCCGGGTGCTAAGTCCCTCATTGCCCGGGGCCAGCAGGGCTGGCCGACTGCTCCGAGTGCGGGGCCTGCCAAGCCCACGCCCACCCGGAACTCCAGCTGGCCCGCAAGCGCCGCACGCAGCCCCGGTTCCCGCTCGCGCCTCTCCCTCCACACCTCCCTGCAAGCTGAGGGAGTGGGCTCCGGCCTTGGCCAGCCCAGAAAGGGGCTCCCACAGTGCAGTGGTGGGCTGAAGGGCTCCTCAAATGCTGCCAAAGTGGGAGCCCAGGCAGAGGAGGTGCCGAGAGCAAGCGAAGGCTCTGAGGACTGCCAGCACGCTGTCACCTCTCACAGGCAGAGGCCTAGCAAGGGGCAGGACCCAGGATGGAGCCAAAATGGGGACGGCAGTGCCAGGCCGAGGAACAGAGGCACAGGGGGTTAGAGCCAGGAGTGCGCAGCACAGAGTCCCAGGCGAAGGAGGAGAGGCAGGAAGGATCAGCTAGGGTGGTGGGGCGGGGCAGGGGCGCGGAAAATACCCCAGGAGTTCCCTGGGGTGATGGTGCCACCAGGAAGGGCTGAGGACCTGGCTGAGCCTTCAGGGCGTGTCCAGCTCTCCTCACGCCCAAGGAAATGCCTGAGGCAAGGGTGAGGCCAGGGCAGGCTGAGGAGGAAGGACAGGCCTGCAGGGGACTCTCCACAGGCAGCAAGAGGAAGGATAGAGGACGGTGGCCTTCCCTGGCTGCCAACCCGGGCTTTGTGACCTAAGCCGGGCCCCAGCCGCTGGGCTGGTGGTGAAGGGTAGAGGACAGGCTCCTGCAGGCTCTGGCCAAGCCCGTCTGACAGCCACCAGCTCCACTAATAAAGTGACCCTGCTGTGTCCCAATTCTCTACAGCTATCATGTAATTTAGTGTCCAAACTGAGACACTTTTGAGAGTCAAAGTCATAATTACTCCAGAACAACAGAGTAAACTAGGGCTGACCTGGCCATGCTGGGGTCCACGGTCGCCCTACCCTCAGGGAGCAGCAGGGCCCTCTGCTCACACTCCGGCCATCTGGGACACGCCCCGTGATCATTGCCTCCCCTCTCCTGGCCTCAGCCCTGGAGCATCCGATCCCTCTTCGGATCCAGGCCTGGGGAACGGGGGGTCTCCCCCATTTGTGGTCCTTCTTCCCACACCTTCTGCTTCTCCAACTGACATTTCCCTCTTCAAGGGCATGACAGCCCCCAGAGGAATGGGGTCCTTTCTGTAGCCCAGTGGGGGACAACCTGGAGAGAATCCCACCAGCCCTAGAAAGGTACACGAAGGCTACATCGTCCTGCACAGTCCCTGTCCCCTGCTGATGAGAGACCCCCACCCTCTTGGCAAAATCCTGGGATCCCCAGTCTCCTCCCTCCTGCTTGCCTCTATCTCCAGTGGGCTGCCAGGAGGCAGATCCACCACCGTCCCAGCTCCTGCCTTTCCTCCAGGCCTCGCCAACACCTGCCCGGAACATCTCAGCAGACTCCCACCACGTCTTGCGCCAGCAACCCATCTTTCTCTGGCTACAAGTACAAGCCTCCGGGCCTGAACAAGACACTAGTCTACCTTAAAGCAGACAAAACAAAGAAAAAGAACAAAACAAACAAGAGACCCTGCGGTGGGAAGGAAAACGTGAAAAAAACACAAGCATCACTACAGAAGTCAACTTCTCTAAAAAAGAATCTCTAATATTTCCTCCACCATCGGACCCCAGAGCAGCTTCCTGCCTCCTCCCCAGCGCCCCAGAGCGTCAGCCACTCGGCGTGGCCCTTTCTCCTTTGCCGGAATGCCCCTTCTACCCACTGGATTTCTACCGCTTCTCTAAGGCCCCCAGAGCCAGCCAGCCTTGCCCACCCCTGAGCTCCGGTTACCCTTCCCAGGCCAGGTGCGGGGGTGGTTGTGTTTGTCTGCTGCCGACAGCAGTGGGAGGCCAAGGGGCCTGGGCTGTTGTAGATTCAATAAAAAGCAATGAATCGGCCGATCCTTCCCACCGACTCCTGGCTCTCCAGGAGCATGCCCTAGAGGCACAGATAGGATGATTCTGCAGCCCCTGCTAACTCTGAAATTCCCTAATGCTGCGGCCTAAGGCTGGAAACCCAAACATCACCCTGCTCAAGTCTTTCCCAACTGAAAAGGAAAAGAAACAATCAGAAAACCTTTTTTTTTGTTTGTTTTTTAAGACAGAGTCTTGCTCTGTCGCCTAGGCGGAGTGCAGTGGCGCGATCTTGGCTCACTGCAACCTCCACCTCCTGGGTTCAAGTGATTCTCCTGCCTCAGCCTCCCAAGTAGTTGGTACTACGGGTGCCCACCACCACGCCTGGCTAATTTTTGTATTTTTTAGTAGAGACTGGGTTTCACCATGTTGTCCAGGCTGATCTTGAACTCCTGACCTCAAGTGATCTGCCCGCTTTTGGCCTCCCAAAGTGCTGGGATTACAGGCATGAGCCACCGCACTACTACAGTAAATGTTAATAACTATATCCGACATAAACAAAAGCTCTTGGGGTCCTCCACAATTTTTCATTTGTGAAGGGGTCCTGAGACCCCCGCAACTCCTGTGCCCTCAGTTATCCCTGTTTCTCTCTCTTCTTAGCAACCATGTTTCCTGAAAGCTGCTTCCCCTCCCACTGGCCCCTCAGCCCTGCCTTGTGGCTTTCCATACTGTTCCTGAAATTGCTCTCACTGAAGCCACAAGGGACCCCCCCTGGCATTTCATCCAGTGGACACTCTTCTGTCCTCGTTTCTCTTGACATCTTGGCCATCTTGGCAACATGACCATGTTGTGCACCTCCTGGAGACACCTTCCACCCTGGCTCTCCTCACCCTGCCCTCTCCTCGTTCTCCGCCTACCTCTCCAGCGCTTGTTCCCGACACCTCTTCTTGCTTTGCTCAGACCACCGCGGCTGGGGTCCTCAGGGCCTGGCCGGGCCCTGTTCTCCTCTCCTCCCCTACCAGGGCTTTAAGCCCAGTCTCCACATGTATGGTTCCCAAGTCTCTAACTCCAGCCCAGCTTTCTCTCCTGACTCCCACACCAACATATCCAGCTGCCCTGAACATCCCCGTAGAAGTCATTCCTCCCCTCACAGGCACCCCTAACTTAAACGCAAGGCTATCTACCCCCGACTCTTTCCAGATCTGCCACTGTCCCAGGAGCCCCAGCCCTACTGTCTCTACCCTCCTTTCACTCTGCTCATCAAACCAGCCACCAAATGCTGTCAACCTCACCCCTAAACAATTCTGCAATCCCTCCACTGTCCATTCCCACTGGCACACCTCAGCTTGGGCACCCTACAGCTCCCTCTGGCCTCTCTCCTCCAATCTGACTTCAGCCAGTGTTCTCTCTTAAGCACATCTCTGCCCTTCTCAGAATCCACCAGAGGCCCCCACTGACCCAGGAGGAATGCCACCCCGCAGCATGGCACAGCGCAATTCACCAGGCCGGCAGTCCTGCCACCTGTCTGGCTCGTGTCTCCTGTCCGGGCCACTCTGTTCCAGCTGGTCTGAGCTTGCCTCCCCTCAGGCACGTGTTGTTCCCTTACTCTCTGTTCCTCAGAGGCCCCTTCTCAGGTTCCCTCTCCAAGAAAGCCAAGAAGGCCTTCCCTGACTGCCCTGCTCAAGTCAGAAGCCCTTTCTGGGTGCTCAAGGCCCTCTTCTCCCATTCCACGCTGAATGGTCACCATCAGTTTCTAGACTCCAAGTTCCTTGAGGAGGAGGAGTTCTTTACCGCTGTATCCCCGTGCCTGGAATGGTGCATGGCACACAGTGGGAGCTTAAGGAAATACTTGCTGATCGAATGGCTTGATGGGTGAAAGCCCCCTACGTGCAGCTGGCAAGCAGCCCTCCCCACCATCAGCTCCCAGGATGGAGCAGGGCTGTGCTCTGGCTGTCTGGCAAGAGGCCCAGGAAACACAGGAGGCAGCTGCCCAGGGCTCCCTGCCACCTGCTGCCTCCTCCTTTTGTGTTGCCCTCACCAGGCACCCAGAAGAAGCTGGCTGGACTCCACACTCTTCCCATCAATGGCCAAGACACAAGGCCGCCAAGACATGAGCACACGGCCCAGGCATGGCACCCTCCCCAGCCACAACGGCTGCACAACCTGATCGGAGTTGACCCTGCTGGAGACACCCAGACCAATCCAGGACACCAGCCGCAAGAACAGCAGCAACACATACCACCCAGCCTGCCCCATACATCATCCCACGGCATCGTCCCCTCACAGTGAACTTGTACCCAGGGGGCTGAAGGCTTTTTCCGAGGTGACTGGGCAATGAGGAGGAGGCTGGGTTGGACTCTCAAGGCACTTTTTTTTTTTTTAATTTCCTTTGTATTTTTTATAGAGATGGGGTCTCACTGTGTTGTCCAGGCTGGTCTCGAATTCCTGGGCTCAAGTGATTCTCCCACCTTGGCCTCCCAAAGTACTGGGATTACAGGCATGAGCCACCACACCCAGCCCTTGGCCTCAAGCTCTTCTGCTGCTAGAGCCTGTCATTTTGGGTCTGCCCCATTCTGCAAGTTCAGGGATTGAGTAGCACTAAGAGGCCACTCCTGATGAGGAGCTCAGGCCCAGGCTGAGATCCTGGAGCTGTGATCTGTCCCCAAGGGCTAGACAAGAACATCTGGGGACAGGCAGGGGGTAAACTTGGGGCCCGCATTCCAGTGTGGGTAAACCAGGGCAGGTGATGGCAATGGGGAAGGCACAGGCAACACCACACTCCCGGAGGCAACAGTGAGCACTCAGACTCTGAAAGTAAAAGGGACACCAGGTCCTCCAGGCTACAGGTCCCTGCCATTAGCCTTGCCTTAGAAGTTGTCATCACCCTACCCTAACCCACGTGCTCCTTTAGCAGGACACCAGGGTTCTGGCCTAGCTGTTAGGAAGAGGCAGCCGCTGGCCCTGCAGCTGGAGGAAGAGCTGGTCTGAGCTCCAAGCCTGCCAGCCTCCTTGGGGCAGCTGGGCAGGATGAGACAGAGTCCAGGTTGGTGGCAAGGACACTGCTCACAGGGCTGCCAAGTAGAGCATGAGCTGAATTCTGCACAACTCAGGGGGTACTATTTGCATGCGTAAGGCATGAACTGTACCCATGAGAGTGATGTCACCTGCTAATTCTGCCTGCCCAGCTGCCCCTCCTGGGAAGAGAGGGAAGGAGAGGAAGAGGGAGCCCTTTCCCCTCTTAGGAGCCTTCCAGGGCATCACCACCTCACTTGCCCCAAACCCCCATCTGAGAAAGAACCACATTCCGGCACAGCACAGATAAAGAGATAGTTTTATGGGTAACAGTATGGGACAGACTGGGAAGGTTGCCAGGGCCTGTAGTGATGAGCTTCCCAGGAATAGACCAACACACAGGCAGGAGTGGCCCAGACAGACAAGTAGATAGACAGACAGACAGAGGGACAAGAAAACAACCAAGTGGGTAAGAGGCCCAGGCCAGGCTCAGCAGCTGTGTCCAGGCATCAGCTCCAGCTCTGCTCTGGGGAACTGGTGGAGGAGAAGGGCTGGCCGGGGCCTCAGTCCTTACAGGGCTCCTTCTCCTCATGCCCTACTATCCCTCATCCAGCCTGCTGGGATCCTTGGCAGGTGGAATTCCCAGGGCTATGGATGGCTGGGCTGAGTGAGCAGAGGATCGAGGCTCTTGGAGACTCCCTGGGGAGGTGGAGGCCTGGGTGGTGTGGGGTTAGCAGCAGCACTGGGGGGAATCTGGTCAAGTTCCAGGATGGGGCCACTGCTCAGCAGGGCCCCTGTGTCCAGGGCAGGCCCTCCACCTGCCCACCACACCAACATGGTGCAATAAATAAAGTTTCAAGTAGTAAGTCAGTGTCAAGCAGGAGAGCTGCAGGCTGGCAGACAGGCAGGGACTGAGAAAGAGAAGCCTCCAGCCACCCACCATATCTGCTCAGTGGGCTCAAGCGGTCGCAAGTCTGTCTTGTGCACTGGAGTGGGTGTCTGGCCCTGATGTCCACATGAGCACTCCCCGCAGGGGCTCAGCCCCTCACACCAGCGCCAGAGCCTGCTCGGTGGGGCAGAAGCAGGGCAACATGGTGCCCACAGCGTCCACGATGGCTGCCAGGTGCTCGTCCTGCGCCTGAGGCCCACAGAGCTGCATGAAGTCTGCCAGACGCAGCAAGTATTCAAGGTTGTGGCCGGAGAAGCCCCGGCAGGCCAGGATCTGCGTGGCAATGGCCTCTTCAGGCGCAGGGCCCAGGTAACCAGGGTTCTGTGGGGTGGCCACATAGGCCAATGCCTTCAGTGGTTGGTCAGGAGCATCTTGGGGATAGAAGGTGACCTCCTTGGTATCGTAGCCACCAAGCACTGCCTCTCGCACATTCAGGTACTTCAGGGCCTTGCTTACCTGCTCCCCTTGCACTTGGTATGCCACGCCCCAAGTGCAGCCCTGGGAAGAAATAGGGACACCCGGGGTCAGTCATGACAGCTCCTTGCTGCTCCCTCTCCTATCCTAACATGCCACCCCCACCCAGGACTGTGCTCTATAAGGGAGGCTGTGGTCGGCTGATGAGCCATCTGGTGGCAGTACCTCAAGCCCTTGTACTCTCTTTGTTAAGAACAGTTGAAAGGCCAGGCGTGGTGGCTCATGCTTGTAATCCCAACACTTTGAGAGGCCAAGGCAGGTGGATCACTTCAGGTCAGGTGTTCGAGACCGGCCTGGCCAAAATGGTGAAACCCCATCTCTACTAAAAATACAAAAATTAGCCAGGCATGGTGGCGTACGCCTGTAACCCAGCTACTCGGGAGGGTGAGGCAGTAGAATCGTTTGAACCCAGGAGGTGGAGGTTGCAGTGACTTCAGCCTGGGTGACAAGGGTAAGACTCCGTCTTAAAAAAAAAAAAAAAGGCATAGTTGAGGCCAGGTGCAGTAGCTCATGCCTGTAATCCCAGCATTTTGGGAGGCTGAGGGTGGGCAGATCACTTGAGATCAGGAGTTCCAGACCAGCCTGGCCAATATGGTGAAACTCCGTCTCTACTAAAAATACAAAAATTAGCTGAGTGTGGTAGCGCATGCCTGTAATCCCAGCTACTCGGGAGGCTGAGGTGGGAGAATCGCTTGAATCTGGAAGGCAGATGTTGCAGTGAGCCAAGATTGCATCACTGCACTCCAGCCTGGGCAACAGAGCAAGACTCTGTCTCAAAAACAAACAAACAAAACAACAACAACAACAACAAAAAAAAAAAACAGTTGACAAAGTGGTCTAGTACCAGGGAAGACAGGATTCCTCCTCAAAGTGTGGTCCAGGATGTGGTGGCATCACCTGTAAGCTAGTTAGGAATGCTGTGTCTCAGGACCCATTCTCATGCTACTGAACTAAAATCTGCATTCTAACAAGATCCTCATGTGATTTGGTGAGAAGCACTGAGCTAGAACACGTTTCTACTCTGCCAGAGAAGCATCAGACAGAGCTAGCCTGCAGCCAAGAGCCTATGAGCTCTCTCTGCTGGTCCCCCTTCACACTGGGCCAGGGTTCCCCTTCATGATTCGGGCACTTACCTCATGATCTTCAAGGAGCGTCACCACACGGCCAGGCTAGGGAGGGAAGAAATATTTTGAAATAGACAAGTTAGAAATCAGCTCTGCCATCAGCAAGGAAACCTTTATCAATCCCGCTGACCCGGGCCTCCAAGTGCCCCACTCTGCATGCTGAGTCCCATTCATGCAGGGGAAGGTGGGGGAGCGATGCACGGATGTAGGAGAAACGTCCAGAAACACTGACATGTCAGTGGTCCCAGTTGGTGATCAACACAGGGATCCACAGGTTCACAGACTCCAGCCATCACAGTGATGCACTGGGCACATACATTTAAATGAGCCACAAACCCCAGACACAGGTTTACACATTTCTTTCTATTGGCCCAGAGAGCCCCGGACATTCCAGGGCACTGGCGCCCAGTATCCCGCCCCCAACCCCCTCACTCCCCTGGGCACGGTTGGATGCTCACCATCTTGTCGCTGCCCCGATGGAAGGTGTCTCCCTGCCAGAAACGGCGGCTGTAGCCGCGCACGAAGCCCACACGGCTGTCGCTGTAGGCGAAGTCGGGCCTCCACACCAGGGAGCCGTACCCGAAAATCCACAGCGCTTGAGGGTCGCCGTCGTTTCGGGGGAACTGAGCGGACGGCGTAGGGGACTGCGAGGTGGGCGGGGTGTTCGGGGCTGCAGACTCCTGCTTCATGGTGCCTGGCACAGGGATAGGCCCAGGCGGCCTCCGGGGCTGGTCTCCGGCGTGGGCACGGAAAGACCGACGGACGCACACACCTGGCCTGGCACCGCTCGGTAGCTCCAGCTGAGCGCCCCCCATGGAGGCGCCCTTTAAACCTTCTTGCCGGGAGACCACGCCCACCGCGGCCAGCTGCCGCGGTGATTGGGGTGGGGCAAATCCCCTTTTGGCCAATCAACTTCGGATTCTGCTTCTCACTTAACCGCGCCGCGGGCCCAGCGCGCCCGCTGATTGGTTCAGCTCCACCTCTGTGGCAAACCTGGCAGGAGTGATGCAACGGCAGGGGAGGTTTCTCCAGCGCCGGCATGCAGCAAGGGCGCCTCGGATTGCGTCAGGCGGCGGGCAGGGGGCACCCGCCGGGCCCAGGGCGGGCACCGGGCGGGCGTCTCCCCAGCCGCCCCCTCATGACCTGGGCCCCTTGGAGGTACGGCGAGCGAGTCCCAGGCGGTGTCAGCCCAGCCTTGCCGCTAGTGCATCTGGCCGAGTCCCTGCCAGCCTAGGCGGCACAGACTCAGTCCCAAGTCGAGTCCAGGGCACGTCCAGAAGGAGCGCTCTGGGCGTCGTAAACTTCCGTCTCTGGGGCCCCTCCTGAGATCATGCACTGCGGGAAAGCTGTCGGAGGCACCGTCCGCATTCCGCTCAAGTGCCTCACGCCGTTGGCCATTGTGAGCAAATGGAGAAACTGGGCCACGGGGCTGCAGGGGGTTCTGCAGAGACTGCGGGGCTGAGTTAGGTAGGCCAGGCGCCCGGAGCTTGCAGGCCTCACATGGGCTACGCCCCGGACCAGGTGTGGGACCCCTCGAGCCCAGGTAGGCTCGGGGAAGAGCCTGTTAGAGCGCTTGGACCGACCGGCAGTCACTTTGGAGGTGGTGGCTGCACCTGCGGAGAAAGGCTATAAAGATGCAAAAGCCAGGCTAGTCTTGCCCCCAAGGCGATGGGTTTAATTCTTCCTGGACGTGAGATTTTGCAGCAATGATTAATCCATAGGCACAAGGTTCCGGGAGCAGCGGGCAAGGAGGGCCCAGTGAGGCCCCCACAAGACTATGGCCAGCTACTGGTCTTCTCCCTCGGCTTCTGGCCTCCCAGCCGAGTCCACAGGCCGCCGGGGGTTGACCCAATACGCAGCAAGGGACTGCCCTCAGGGGATGTCACTGACTGTAAAAGGGAAACAGAGGCAGCTGAAGGCCTTCTCTCTAAACTGGCCAGGAGATGGCTGGCAGGGGCAATGTGCAACATGGCTTCTCATTCGATTCTAATTCAATATTTAAACTAAACGTGATCTTCACACTTCACATATTCATTCCGAAGGTGTCGCAGATATAAGTGGGAAACTTGCACAACAGTGTGTATAGTACAAAGCTATTTCTTTAAAAACAAAAAGTATTCGTGTAATAAATAATCTGGAAGAATATACCTAAACAGTTAGCAGAGGCTGGCACCAGAGGAGGACTTTCAGTATCAAACTTAAACAGTAATGAAAAAGTCTGGATTTTTACAGGGAGCATGAATTACTTTTCCAATCAGGAAAAAAAAAAAATTACCAGCAAATGGTCCTTTCTGGTTATTCCTTTCTTTTTCGCTTTCTCTCCATTTCCCACATTCAGTCTCCCTCTTCTCTTCTATCCTGTCCCCTTTCGTTCATATGAGCACCTCCTTTGTTGGTAGCTTCTTAGAAGAATGTCCTCTTTTCCACTCACCAGCTGTGGGTTGTAGTCCGGGAAGTGGGAAACTGGTATCCACATATTGCTGAAGTATCTGAATTGGCACAAACAACCCTTTGAGAAAGCAGCTTGGTGATACAAGTCAAGAATCACAAAATATCCCTGCCCTTTGACCCAATACTCCTTCAGGAAATTATTCAAAATACGGGAAAAGCCATATGCCTGAAGATTTTCAATGCATTGTTACTTTTTTTTTTTTTTTTTTTTTTTTTTTTTTTTTTTGAGGTGGAGTCTCTCTCTGTTGCCCAGGCTGGAGTGCAGTGGCACAATCTCGGCTCACTGCAACCTCCGCCTCCCAGGTTCAAGCGATTCTCCTGCCTGAGCCTCCCGAGTAGCTGGGACTACAGGCACCTGCCACCACGCCTGGATAATTTTTGTATTTTTAGTAGACACGAGGTTTCGCCATATTGGCCAGGCTGATCTCAAACTCCTGATTTTGTGATCCGCCCACCTTGGCCTCCCAAAGTGCTGAGATTACAGGCGTGAGCCACCACGCCCGACCTTTACATATTATAGCAAAAACAAAAGAAGAAAAACTACTTAAATATCCAAAATTAGCTAAATGTTTAAGGAAATTATGTCAATTTACCATTCACATGACAGAAAAATGTGCACATACACACACACACAAACACAAAGAAAACAACCTAAATACCCAGCAATAGATAATTAGTTACATAAATATGATATAGTCCATTAAATTTGTGCAGACATTAGAAACAATATGTATGTTGGGCCGGGTGCAGTGGCTCACGCCAGTAGTCTTAGCACTATGGGAGGCCAAGGTGGGCAGACTGCCTGAGCTCAGGAGTTCGAGACCAGCCTGGGCAACATGGTGAAACCCCGTCTCTTCTAAAAATACAAAAAAAATTAGCCGGGCATGGTGGCAGGTGCCTGAAATCCCAGTTACTCGGGAGGCTGAGGCAGGAGAATTACTTCAACCCAGGAGGCAGAGGTTGCAGTGAGCCAAGATCCCACCACTGCAGTCCAGCCTGGGCAACAGAGCACGAGTTTGTCTCGGGAAACAAACAAACAAAACAAACAAAAAAAACGTAGTAAACATGTGTATGATTGCATATTAAGGCAAAAATGCAAAATATAAATTTTCACATGAACTATGATTAAAACTTAAAAACAGTAACAATAAAGATAGGGAGGCAGCAAATACTAGTGTGTTGGGATTGTGAGCAATTCTTTCCTCTATTTTCCAAGTTTTATGAAAAGTAATTTTTAAATAATAATAAGTTAATTTTTGCTGGGCGTGGTGGTTCACACCTGTAATCTCAGCACTTTGGGAGGCCAAGCAGGAGGATCACTTGAGCTCAGGAGTTTGAGACCAGCCTGGGAAACATAATGAAACCTCATCTCTACAAAAAAATTTTTAAAAATTAGCCGGGCTTAGCAACATGCACCTGTAGTCCCAGCTACTCAGGAGACCGAGGCAGGAGGGTTGCTTGAGCCCAGGAGGTCGAGGCTGTAGTGAGCCATGATTGTGCCACTGCTCTCTAACCTGGGCAACAGAGCAAGATCCTGTCTAAAAAAAAAAAAAAAAGTTACTTTTAAAGAGTCATTAGTGGTTTTCTGGAGGGGGAGGGATGGATAGCATACCTGAAACATTTAGGGAACATTTTCATGATGCCCGTTCTCAGACCTCCTCCCACCCTGACCAAAGTCCCAGTGTTTCATAACTCTTTTGGCAATGTCCTCAATAACCTGATCTTGCTCCTGGCAGAGTCAGACACTCCCTCCTCTACACTCCCACAACACTTTACGCCACTGCAGTTTACTTATCTGTCCCTTCCAACTCGTGCTTACAACAGAAACACTCATTTATTATGTGTATAACATGTGCCAGGCAATTTGCTAAACGCCTTTACATCATCCATTCTAATTACACATTTCTTCACTACTTTGTGAGGTAAATATCATTTCACAGATAAGCATGCAGGAAAGCTAGGTAAACCCTGTTGGTGACGTGGCAGAAAGTAGTGGAGCCTGGATCTGAAGGCAGCTGGGCCAGCTCCAGAGCCTCCTTGCTGGGAATCGTTTGCGTCCTGCCTCTCACTCACCTGAGCACTTCCCCAGAGTATGGTTCATGGTTGAAGGCCCAAGAGAACCAACACAAGCCAGGCATGTGGAAGATCCTCCACAAATATAGGTAGAATAAGTGAGGCTATTGCTTGGAAAAGGCCAGGGCTATATCCCATGTCCTGTGTAACACAAGTTCAACCTTGACCCTCAAAATAGGAATCTCCACAGAAGCTGGCCCAGGGGATCTGCAATGTCTCCCTGGGAACATGTCTTTCCTGTTCCCATTCCTTGCTTATTCTTGCCAACAACATCTGTCTCTTTTCCTCCCAGCAGGACACTCCCAGGCAGCAAACCACTCACTTAGCTGGTTCCTCTCTGTAACTTCAACGGCAAACCCTTCCCGTCTTTCCTTCTAACGCCCCACAGGAAGGGGCCGCCGATGTCATACCCACAGAGGTGCCAGTTTATGAGCAGCGATGGGCCCAGGCATCACCTCCACCTTGCAGAGTCGCACATGATGTGCACGTGATGTGCACGTGGTGGTTTCCTTTTTTAGATCTTTCCCAAATTAACGTTTCCTTGTTGTTCCCCTCCAGGTGGCTACCTCTCATCTCCTGAGGATCTGTTCCTTCTCTCTTCTCTTACCAGAGATTGGCATCACCTCCTGGTGTTAGTCAGCATGTTTATCTGAAACAGTGGAAGGCTGTTGTAGGAGCTAGGGAATGATGCTAATTCATATGCTAAAGGATGAAGTTGCCTTATAAAGCTGCTGATTTCTGAAGGATGAAAAACCTTCCCAGAGGCCTGAGTGCGCTGTGTGCCGGAGCTTGTGGCATCAATGGGCCTGCTGTGTCCAAAGAAAGAGGCTGAGGCAGCCGAGCTCCGGCCTGAAGCACCTGGACCAGACGACAAAGAGGTCGGCTTCCTTAGTCCGGAGGACTGTCCGGACTGTGAGCAAGAGGAAGCTACAGCCCACGAGGGCCACCCGCAGCCTGACACCTTCAGCAGTAAACAAGATAAAATAACTTCTTCAAGATAAGCCTGAGTATTAGGTGTAAAAGTTGGTGTCCGAACCAGGGCCTGTAATGACCTTTCTTATAGTCTAGAATAAACGAAGACAAGGGAGATTTCGATGAAGAAGTCATTCAAGATGGAGTCAGAGTGTTCATCGAAAAGAAAGCACAACTAACACTTTTAGGAACAGAAAGACCATGCTGAAGACAAACTATCCAGTGAGTTTGTGTTCAATAACCCAAACATCAAAGGAACATGTGGCCGTGGAGAAAGCTTTACTATTTGACATCTCAGGACGCCTCTGACCATAAGCTCTGGGAAAGCTCCTGGAAGCCCTGGGGCTCACAAATAAATCATATGATTGTCACGTGCTTAATGTGTGCCTGCCTTGTGAGGAAAATATAAGTGATGCATTTTGGAAATGTGCTAGATTCCAGAAGAAATGATATTTGTAGTCTCTGTAAGGGACAGAAAATGAGAAGCCATCACTCTCTTTGGACCATTTAACTCTCTTGCATCCTTTGTTTTAGAACCAGTTTCATTAAAGTTGTCTTCCTGGGCCCCTGTTTCTCCATGTCCTGAGCAGTGTGCACTCATTAGGTCTCTGTTGGATGGCCTGAACGTGCATCTCCCTCGACATTTCTCCCAACCAGATTGGGGACTCCTACAATTCAGTGACAGGACGTCCTGACTGCTGGTAGTAACATGGTGGTGCCTTGTTTTTCCACCCAAACTTAACACAATCTGTTTACATTTTTATCAAAACTTTCTTTTTGTTGTTGTTTTTTCTTTTTTATCAAAAATTTCATTGTCAGATGCCTCACTGCATACCCTTTAATAGTACCGGGCAAAGATTTCTTTGAACTATAGTACAGAATAGTTCTGAGTGATGGTATCAAAAGGTGAGAAAGACTTCATCCATCTCTTTTTTAATCCATTTCTTTTGCCACCCTATATGTCTGCTCAAAGATGGGATCTCAAGCTGACTTTTAGTTGAGGGGTCTCTTAAAAGCCATCTAGGCCACCTCTCTCAATTCTGTACACAAGGAAGCAAAACCCCAGGGAAGGCAAAGGGCTCCTGTCCGCTCCCACTCCACAGGCTCGGGGAGAGCAGGAACTCTACCCCCAACTCCCCTTCCTTGTAGATGACACATGTGCTCTGCCCTCCAAGGCAATCAGTGAAGGCAAATGGTCTGGCTTGTCTGGTCAACATTTTGATATAATTTCTTTACAGTTTTATGGAGATCAGCTGGGTGCGGTGGCTCACGCCTGTCATCCCAGCACTCTGGGTGGATCACTTGAGGCCAGGAGTTTGAGACCAGCCTGGCCAACATGGTGAAACCCTGTCTCTACTAAAAAATACAAAAAACAAAAATTAGCCAGGCATGGTGGTGGAGGTTGCAATGAGCTGAGATCACTCTACTGTACTCCAGCCTGGGCAACAGAGTGAGACTCCATCCCAAAATAAATAAATAAATAATATATACATATATGTGTGTGTGTGTGTGTGTGTATATATATATATATATGTACACACACATATACATATGTATATATACACATAAATAAAATTTTATGGAGATCATATATTTTTATTTTATTTTGAATAGGAAAAATATTTTAAAACCCTTTTATGTGAGTTACTTTCTTGTTTCTTTAACCTTTGAAACAATGGTTTGTAGCAGAGAAGACATTGTAGCAACCTAGAATTATGCTTTTGGAATGTGGTCCTAATTGTGAAGGAGAACATGGGGATCTTTTCTTAAAACGCTACTATGCATACACTTTCTGCGTGCTTTTTTTGAAAGCTGGTTCTCATGGAAATCAAGTAGCTGAGTTCCATTATTTTTGTTTTACCTACTAAAGTAGCTGGCACAAAAATGCACCAAAACTGCCGGGTATGGTGGCTCACACCTGTAATCTCAGCACTTTGGGAGGCCGAGGCAGGCGGATCACCTGAGGTTAGGAGTTCAAGACCAGCCTGGCCAAGATGTTGAAATCCCATCTCTACTAAAAACACAAAAATTAGCTGGGCATGGTTGCACATGCCTGTAATCCCAGCTAGCTACTCAGGAGGCTGAGGCAGGAGAATCACTTGAACCTGGGAGGCAGAGGTTGCAGTGAGCCAAGATCGTGCCATTGCACTCCAGCCTGGGTGAGAGAGCGAGACTCAATCTCAAAAAAAAAAAAAAAAAAAAAACCAGAGGAAAAAAAAATGCACCAAAACCTAAAGCAGCAGTTTTATGTAAACATTCAAGAGTTTGCATCATTAATATAATTGTTGAGCCACTTATAATTTGGGCAAAACTGTACGTACGTAGAGATTCAGTTGTCAATTTTAAAAATGTGGTCTCTCTGTGATCATAAAAAAAAAGAAGAAAAGAAAAGCCTTCCCAGACATTGCCTCTAAGTTCACCTTGCTCAGATTTGAGCTCAGCTCCACCACGTACCAGCTGAGTGACCCTAGGCACGGTGTCTTTAGTTCTTGGTTTTCTCAACTGTAAAGAGGGAATAGGTAATAGAATTGACCTTGCAGGGTCTGAAAAAGATTGAAAGAAATAATACCGTAGGCAGTACCCGTCACATAGGAACACTCAGCAAATGTTGACTTCTTATTCTCTTTACTTCAGACAATTTCACTTTCCGTTTCATTCAAGGCAGAGCCATAAGTGAACCTCTCATTCTGAAATAGCTCAGAACAAAGTCAGGAGGGAGTGATCAAGGTAAGCATTTTAGGATCAGTAGAGGAAATCTCCAGCTATCTCACTCTCCATCCTCGCCATGCAATTCACAGATTGTTCTAGCAAGTAGGGTGCCAAAGAAATGTGGAGTGTTTTGAGACAGGGTCTTGCTCTGTCATCCAGGCAACTGAAGTGTCTCAATCTCGGCTCACTGCAGCCTCAACCTCCCGGGCTCAAGTGATTCTCCCATCTCAGCCTCCTGAGTAGCTGGGACTACAGGCACGTGCCACCATCCAGCTAATTTTTGTTGTTGTTGTTAGAGACTGGGTTTTGTCATGTTTCCCAGGCTGGTCTCAAACTTCTGCGCTCAAGTGATCCGTCCACCTTGGCCTTCCAAAGTGATGGGATTACAGGTGTGAGCCACTGCATCCGGCTGTGTTTTTTGTTTGTTTGACACAGGGTCTCACTCTGTCCCCCAGGCAGGAGTGTAGTGGCACGATCATGGCTTACTGCAGCCTTGATCTCCTGGGTTCAAGCGATCCTCTCACTTCAGCCTCCCAAGTGGCTGAGACCTGCAGGTATGCACCACCATGCCCAGTTAATTGTTTTTGTTTGTTTTTGAGACAGGATCTAGCTCTGTCACCCAGGCTGGAGTGCAATGGCACAATCTCAGCTCACTGCAGCCTCTGTCTCCCAGGCTCAAGCAATCCTCTCACCTCAGCCTACTGATTAGCTGGGACTACAGGTGCATCCCACAACACCCGGCTAATTGTTTTGTATTTTTATAGAGATGGGGTCTCCCCATGTTGCCCAGGCTGGTCTTGAACTCCTGGCCTCAAGCGATCCACCTGCCTTGGCCTCCCAAAGTGCTGGGATTATAGGTGTGAGCCATCGTGCCCAGCCAAGGCATGTTTCTAAGAGACAGAATGGGTAATGGTCTTACCCAAGCACACTATTAGCAGAACAAACATCCTATTGACAGAACAAACAGTTGCTTGAGCCAAGAGAGATTTTCTGTGTATGCATAGGGTGAAGGTGCTAAAATAAATAAATTAGTAAATAATCCACCATCTATGAGGAACCATACCTCCCACGGACCTCTGAGAGGTAAGTGTGTCTGCAGGTCTTCAGGTCTTGTGCGAAGAGGACCTAGGTCCCACCGACATTCTGGCCAAAGGAGGGGCAGATGGAGTAGTGGATCCCTGCATACAGTCCTCCTCAGAAGAGGGAGAGACAGTCCCAGGCAGCTGTTCTGCAGGGCGTACCAGCCAAACCCAGGGCCAAGTGGGGAAGGCTGCTTGGCCATTGGTCCACGAAAGCAGGGACTGTAAAGATTCACTCATATCCTAGCAAAAGGGTGCCTGGGATGGCGGAAAAACCTGGCTTTCTGCCCATTTTCTAGCCTCCAAGGAGGTGGAGAGGTCCGGCTGACCAGGCACCTCTGGGGTGGCCGGTATTCCAGTTATCCAGAGCTCAGTCCTCGTCTACCTGGAAGGAAAGAAGCTGGGGTTCCAACAGAGGACTGGTGGGTGGTGCTCCCAATTCCAAGGAGACAGAAAAGTACAATTTGTGGGGACAGGAAGCAACCCATTGCAGGGCTGAGGAGAAGCTGTAGTGGGGAGCATTTCAGTGGGGCGACAGGGCTGTAAAGAGAGGAGATCCACAGGGTTGGGGTGAGCCTCAGATCTCATGGAAATGCTGTGGTGTAGTGGGACCTGGCTCTAGAAGAGAAGCCTCAGAAAACCTACATTGTGGAGAAGTCAAGGTGCTCACAAGGGGCCTGGGTGGTGGTGTAGATTCTGCGGCCCACAGGGAGCCAAGGCAGTGAAGCCCTTTAAATGAATGAGAGCAACTGGGATCCCTTCTTCCCTAGGGCCCACTGCTAATAGAATGGAGAATGTCCAGGGCCTTTCAGATCTCCTCTACCAGAGAGACAGAAGAGGAAGCGCTGAGGATGGCAGTTGCTGGTATAGGAATGAAACGGAACAGACTGGGCTTAGTACCATGAGCCTTGCCCCAACACCTGCCACTGTGGGAAAAGGACAGCAATCCTCCAACAAGTCAAATGGCCAGTGCCGGTGTGCAAAACCCCAAGCCTCACCAGGAGGAGGGGTCACTAGAGACAGACAGGCTAGCCATGCCTGGCAGGGCTGTGGCTCTACCCTGCAGGGGGTGCCATGACACGGGGCACTTCTGCGCCAGAGCCGACCTGTTGCTAAATCCGGATTCCTGTGATGCTGGTTACCATCATGAGGGTCTGGCTGTAGACTCACTTGGCTTCTTGGGCCCTGCGTCCTGGCCTCAGAGAAACTTTGGGGATGAAGGAAATAAGCTGAGCCCACTCTTGACCAGAGTGTTAAGGGGTACCATGCCCCAGAGACCAGAGAAAGGTGGTAAAAAGTCACTTGTGGCAGATCTCCAAAGGGAAGGTGACTCTTAAGGACTTGGGGGTCCTGCTGCCCCTTCCCACAGCAAGGGCCTCCCTTCTACCTCTGCCTACATCAGAGGAGGTTGACGTAGATTAGTGATGCTCCTGGAAGGCAGGAGCACATGGAAGTGATGGTGACGGAAACCTGTGATCTCAGCTGCCTTGCTTGGTCCTAGGGCTACTGCTGGTGTAACAGTAGGTAGTAGACAGGCATAAGCAGCAAAGGAGAGGGCCCTCGACCCCCATCAGGAATCTCAGGCAACCGTCAGGTGATGGTCAGGTGGTTGTTACCCTGTCTCTCTAAAATAACAATTGTTGCAGCCCGCACCGGGGAAAGGCAGTCTCTGAATAGAGAGGAACACCTGAAACTGATCAGCAGCTTCCCGACAAGATCTCAGGAGGTGGGCAAGTGGGCTCAAGCGATTACACTAGGAGGCAAAATGGCGGAGCTCAAGTGGTATCTGACCTTCCTCTAGGAATGCTCGAGTATTGAGGGAAAAATGCCTCAGGTGAGCATGTGCACAACTCCAGTAAGCACACTGCACACGCGACCCCTCCCAAGAGCTGGCAGGCCTCAGGCATGCGGACCGCCCATCCTCAGGGAAGAACCAGGGAGGGGGGATGCACGCCAACATAGAAAACCCCAAATCAGAGTTCAAACGCGCACTTGAATCTCTCAAGTCGCCCACTTGACCCTCTTCCAAGTGTACTTTACTTCCTTTTGTTCCTGCTCTAATACGTTGTAATAAACTTTCACTCCTGCTCTAAAAATTGCCCCAGTCTCTCCTTCTGCCTTATGCCCCTTGGTGGAACTCTTTCTTCTCAGGAGGCAAGAACTGAGGTTGCCGCAGACCCCCACGGACTGGATGCTGCTAACACTGGGACTATCCTGCTAGACCCCAACCTCCCTAGGTCCCACCCCGCTGATGCGGGCCGGAGCAGTGGGAGCTCCAGAAAGTGGCTCACTTAGAGATGCGTGAGGAGGATTAACCCACCAGCAGAGGTTACAACACTGCTCACAAACGCTTCCATACATCCTCATTTCAACCCCCCTAGCAACGCCTAACAGGCATTACCCGCAGAGAGGTTAAGGATAAGCAGCTAGATAGTTAGCAGGGAGGTTAAGGATAAGCAGCTAGATAGTTAGCGGCCCTGGGCAGACAGCAAGTCCTGCCTCCAATGCTAATCAGTGTTGAAGGAATGAAGTAGATGGACTTGTCCCAGAGCACCCGGCAATGAGGGGTGGCGCTGGAAGGGAGCTCCAGCCCCATAACTCACACCGGTGTCCGGCCCTCCTCGACCCCATTCTCTTCCCTTGAGGATGTCTCTGGACCAGGATGGCCGGAGGCCTGTTGGGTGGCGAGGGGGACTGGCTGCTGCGACGGCGGGGGCAGGGGAAAGGGCCTGTTCCCCAGGACACTGGGAGGATATTTGGGGGAAAGCCCCGCACTGGGTTCTCCCCATTTTGCCCGCTCGGCTTAGGGGCTCGGAGCCCGGAGGGAGCTCGGGCGTCTGGCCGCCCCCTGCCGCCTTCGTCCCATCGGCCCCGAACGGAGAAAGGGCGGCCCCAGAGAGCCTCCCGGGGTCGGCGGCCCCTCCCGCGCGCAGCCCCGACGGCCGCGCAGCGCCCTCTAGTGCCGGGCAGCGGGGCCCGCGCGGTCCAGCCCGCCTGCCCGCCCGCGGCTCCGCTTCCCGCGGCCGCGGCCGGAGCGAGATTGGGGAGGCAGGAGGCGGAGCCGAGCGGGCGGGGGAGCCTCCGAGAAGCTCGCGGCCTTCGGCGGCTTCCCGGCCCGGGAAGTGAGCCGGGTCGGCTGCCGCAAACAGGAAGTCGGGCTGTAACAAAGAGCGCGGGGGGCGGGGAGCCGCGGGAGCTGCGGGGCACGGCGGCGGCAGGTGGAGGGCTGACCCGGGCGGGCAGGCGCACCTGCCCCTTCCGCCGCCGCGCAGGCCTCGGGGCGCCCTGGGCGCGAGGGAGGGCGCAGCCGCCCAGGGAAGGCCGCTGGGACCTCGCAGGCGCATCCCCGCCCGAGGAAGGGACAGTCACAGTTCCCCCAGTGAATCATTTCCACCCCCTTCCCGGAATGCAGCAAGCCACGTGGGGCGGAGGGCTGGGGCCGCTGATCCTGTGGATCCAGAGGGAGAGGCTGGGAGAGCTGCGGCGAGGGAAGCTACGGAGAGCTCTGTGGGTCCCAGTCAAGAGATGGAGCATCCACACCACCGTGGTTTAGTCTGGTGGCCTTTTCTAGCCTGGGATGGGGGAGGTGGGAGCCACTGTCCTTTTTTCCCTACCCCCTGACCAGGCTGACCCTGGCCCTGAGGCAGGAGAGGAACCCTGGCTGAGCAAGCAGGATAAAGTCATTTCTCCTTCTGCACAACCCCTCCCTGACTCTACCAGCCGAGGGGCCCTGGAAAAGCAGCTGTCCTCAGGTCACCGTGGGGTCAAATTGATTCTCCAGGCAGGGCACTGGCTCCAGGCTGTTAAGGAACTACTAAACTCCGAATTCCCTGGTGAAATACCCATGCAAATTAAAGGTGGGCATTTGCTAACCTGTGGAAGGCACCTCACAGTGAGTCTAGAACCATTATCTGGCCTCCTTTCTGCCAAGCCTAGGAAATCTCCTGTACCCCAGGACACTCAAGTGATCATGAGGGTCTTGGGTGCCTTACCTATCAGAAGGGGCTGGACTCTCAGGAAATCCTGGGGAGAAGGGGCTTCCTCCGCTGTGGCCTGTTTACACCCCAAGTGCCTGCCCAGCTTGTGGGATGTTGTTAAAGGTGGAGCCTGGCATGAGCTGCAGGTCGGAGCTGCCCAGACCAAGTTCCCCACGGGTCCCCACTTTCCCCAGAAAGCCAGCTTTTTTGGTGGGCTCTCCAGCTCCCCATCTAGTGCATCAGAGCAGCTGTGAGCTTTGCCAGCCAACTCCTCTCCGGGGCTCTTCTCTGCGAGTCTGGCAGCCTGTGCAGCCCGTCACAGCCTGGTGTTGTGGACGTGCAGGGCTGCGGGTGTCCTACCTGTCCCCCACATGGGAGCCTCGTCATCTTGCCTTCGTGTCCCAGCCCAGTTCCCCCCTCCCGTACACCCCTAGGGCCTGGGAGCTGCTTTCCTGTTTCATTTTGGGCAGGAAGAGTGAGGTCGTGTTGTTCTTCCCCCTGCTGCCGGCTCAGGCTGTGGGAACGGTTCCCTGAATGCTTTCCTGTTTGATACCCTGTGTGTACAGTGAAGGGAACAGGGAGCGATGAGTGAGGCGTGGAGCGTGTGCGTGCTCCTGTGTCTCTGGCATAAGCACCCAGGTCTGGGGTGGGCATGGTGTGTCTGTGTCAAGGAGAGAGGAAAAAAGGGAGGGCAAGTAGCACTCCAAACCCTTGGACTCCATTAGGAGCAGGGCATCTAATGGGTCTATTTTGCTTTACTGTGGACAGGCTGAGAGCTGGGAGCATCTGCTCAGCTTTTTGTCAGTGGCTCATTTTTTCATAATTTGCTCTCCATGGAGGAGCATATTTTCGGCTATAGAGAGGGCTGTGGCACCCTAGGGACTATCCTGTGCCTTAGAGGAAGCTAGGCATGAAACTCCTAGTGAGACTGGAAACCCCCTCATTAGTGCCTCAGCAAGAGAAACCTGGACTCAGGGAAGGCTACCTCCTCCTCCCCTTTCTCCCTGTCTTTGCAGTCTTCAATAAATTCTAGCAGCCCTGGGCAGACAAGGTGCTCAGACTCTCAGCGCTCTTGTCTGCTACAAAGAGGAAAAACAAGGCAAACCTCCCTCCTGCCCTGTCTCCTGAGACCTGTACCCTGCTGGGGCTAAGAAAAGAGCCAGGCACCCTGCAACAGCAGGAGGAAGGACTCAGATGTCACCAGGGTGCAGAGGCCCTATCCCATCCACCGACGAGAGAATGCTTTTTTTTTTTTTTTTTTTTTTGAGATGGAGTCTCGCTCTGTCGCCCAGGCTGGAGTGCAGTTGCGCTATCTTGGCTCACTGCAAGCTCCACCTCCTGGGTTCATGCCATTCTCCTGCCTCAGCCTCCCGAGTAGCTGGGACTACAGGCACCCGCCACCACACTGGGCTAATTTTTTGTATTTTTAGTAGAGACGGGGTTTCACCCTATTAGCCAGGATGGTCTCGATCTCTTGACCTCGTGATCTGCCCGCCTTGACCTCCCAAAGTGCTGGGATTATAGGCGTGAGCCACCGCTCCCGGCCAAGAGAATCCTTTTGAATATGAGAAAAACAGGCAGAACTAGGGAGCCCCATAAGCTTTTTCAGGCTTGAAGAGAGGAAGGAAGAAGTGATTCAGGTCAGGAGGAACATGCCCCAGGAATGGTGAGGGCATAAAGAGGGAAGGGGGCACTGTACCAACTCAAAGTCAGCAGGCAAGGAAGGCTGGCTGAGGCTGGGGACTAGATGGGTGAGGCTCGGCTCCTCAACGAATGGAAGAAGACAAGGGCCTGGGGTACGACATGCCAAATCCAAGTGTCTGCACGGGTCCCAGGGGTTCCGGCGGGGCACATGGCAGCAGTAGAAGGGAGTTTAGAGTTTTTTGGGTGAGAGGGCAGGGGTACCATCACAAAGACAGGACCCAATAAGTAATAAACTCCTGTACACATCTGTTTCATATTATAAATACACATTATATACAAAATAATGTTATAA
This sequence comes from Homo sapiens, assembly GCF_000001405.40. NCBI lineage: Eukaryota > Metazoa > Chordata > Mammalia > Primates > Hominidae > Homo > Homo sapiens. The sequence continues at coordinate 40,939,015 of NC_000015.10, read as the reverse complement.
AATGTAGAAAGGTCAGTGCTTCTGATTCTTAAATTATTGAAATACTAGACTCCAAAATAAACTACAAAAAAAAAAAAAAAAACAAAATAAAAACTCATATTATTGATTTCTGAAGACCAGCTTTGAGGGTGGTCTGGGGCAGTAGTGGACCAGAGCCCAGGCTCGAGGTTGTGGAGATGGGCTTGAGGGAGGAAAGGGCCCAGGCGGCCGCAGCACCTGATTTCCCCCTCAGTGGAATTTCCAACACACTGCCCTGAGTGCCCCAGTTAGGCCTGGCACCCTTGGCTGGTGGGAGGGGCAGGCCCTCTGCCTGTCTGCTTACAGAAGCCCAGGGCCAGAGGGTGGTGGAAGCCGGGTAGACGGACATTCTTGCCCAAAGGGCCTAGACCAGAGAGCCAGGCCTGCATACAGTAGTTGGAGGCATGGGGCAGAAAGCACTCCCCTCCCTCGAGCACTCACCTCACCTCCAGGGCAAACCCCAGCAAGAGACGCACCCAGTGGTTTTCCAGCCCACAGGAGGCCCTGCCCTCATTGGCCCCCTCTCTCCTTTCTGATTTGGGCCCAACTGTCGCCGTGGAGCCTGGGCCAAAGGCACTTTTGGAAACACGGATGCCAGTGGAGGCCACAGCAGCTCCGGGCCCCATGGGGCTACTGCCACTCTCTCTGGAAAACAGGCCGGAGCCCCGGAAGGAGCCCCCTGAAGGCCACTACTGGCAGGGCAGTGCCCAGTGGCATCTCTCTTCTCTTCTGTTCCTCTGGTTGGTGCAGCTGCCAATCTGATGCCAGACAGACACCCAAAGGTGTGGAAGGGTATTGCATCTCTTGGCAAGTTCACAGTCTGTCCGGTTCCTGCCATTCCCTCCTCCTCCTGAGAGCAGCACGTTGCATATGAAAAACGTCCCATCCAGGATGCAATGTAAACAATGCAGAAGGAAGGTCCAGCCGCGGGGCTGAGCAGGGATGTCCAGGTAGGCTCCTGCCTTATACCTGGGAGCAAGCGGAAGGCAGGGAAACAGGTTACCCTGGGCATGCGCACTCCCTCCAGGCCCTCCCTGGGCCTCCCTGGGAGAAGGCGATGGGGCAGGCAGGGGCTAAGGGCAGGTGGGGCAGTCCTCCCCAGTCTTCGGCCCAACACACACACGGGCCTGGGAGCTTGCGCTCATGAGGTCAATGGAGGAAGCCAGTGGGAAGGGGCAGGAAGGGCACAAGGGGTGAGGGGCCCCCTCACCCATCAGAGGCTGGCCAGCAGTGCCGTGGCTGCCCAACCCAGCACCAATACAGCAGGAAAGGACCAGACCAGGCTTGCCGCCATGGTTCCTGTTTCACACCCTTAGTGGCAATGAGGCCAGCAGGGACCCAAGAGTCCACTGAACTTGGCCTGCCAAGGCAGGGTTCTGACCTACCCTTCAGGAATGGCCCATGGGTCAAGAGTGACCAGGCCACTTTCCCTCCCACAAAAGGCAGAAGGAAAGGCGAGCCCAGCACTCACCTCCGTGGCAATGACACATTCATTCCTCTCCTCTGATATCAAACACACAGACTGGTACATGGAGTCCCTGGGGGAGCATATCGCTGATATCCGACACTCTGGCTTTTCACTGAGGGAACACAAGACAGGCGTGTAAGGGAGGGACGGGGAGAGGCTTGGGGGGAGGGAGGACCCTGGAGAGCCAAAGGGCATCTGCAGGGTGGTTCTTGGGGAAGACACAGGGGCTGGACGTGCCCAGTGCTGGGCTGCTGCAGGGGGGCACTTAGGAAAAGGCCCCTAAGAGAGTCACAGGCCTCCCAACCTCACCAGAAGGGTCTGAGCCCTGCATAAAGCCAGTGCTGCCACTAGAGGCAAGCCACACTGTGGAAAGACGGAAGTCACAAGAGACACCCTAGGGACACTTGACATGTGTGAATGAACAAATGAATGAATGGGAGGGAAGGACAAAGGACCCCTGACAGAAATCCTACTGGAGGATCTTCCTGTCAGTAACAAAACCTCAGCTGCTTAACTGCTTCCCGCCTGGCCTAAGAGGAGCCTAGGCAGAACCATGTCGGGGCCGGTGGCCAGGCCCTGGGCTTCTGGGTGCCACTCACCTGTGTAACCGCAGTGGCGCCTTCTCTCCTAAGCTCTTGTCACTGTGGGGAAACTTTCCTGGCATGGTCCCCCGCCCCAGGGGCCCTGGGGCCAGATTATAGTCCAATGTGTGGTTTTGCTGTTTGCCACAGTTGGACTTGTCCAGGCCACAGTCCACTTCCAGCTCCTTCTTCTGGTTTGTGTTTTTAAGCTGGGCGGCAGGAATCAGGTTGTCCTTCTGGAAGTCCGACAAGTTGTTCATGGCTTCCCTGCTGCCGTCGTCCGGCCGTCGAAGCCGCAGCTGCCGCACAGCCACTGCCACCATGCCCAGCAGTACCAGCAGCACTGCCAGCCCCACACCCAGCGAGACGGCCACCCAGGGGAAGCTGGGCGGCAAGCCCACGGGGAACTCGCAGCGGCTGCCCACAAAGCCATAAGGGCAGTTGCACACAAAGGTGTCTGTGGAGAGGTCGGTGTAGCAGGTGGCCCTGTTGAAGCAGGGACTCGAGGCACAGGCATCGATGGATGTCCGCACCTCACAGCGTCGGCCAGAGAAGCCGGCAGGGCAGGTGCACATGAGCCCATTCTCCAGGTCATGGCAAGTGCCACCGTGGGCGCAAGGGTTACGGGCACAGTCGCTGACGTGGAGTTCACAGTAGGTGCCCGTGAATCCAGGACGGCAGCGGCACATGCGGCTTGGACCTCGGTTCAGGCACTGTCCCCCTGTGAGGACGCATGAGACACAAGTCAGTGATAGCCTGGGAGCTCCCTGGGGCAGGGGGTGGGAGCCCCATTCCAGGAACACGTTCGGGCCCTTCTACCTCCACCTGCAGAGCCCACTACAAAGAGAACTGCACAGAGTCAGGAGACCTGGAGTTTAGCATGACCTTGATTCTCTCGGCCTCAGTGGGCTCATGTATAAAAATGACTAGCATCTTACAGAACTTTAACGTAGAATCAGACAGATAGGCTTGAGTTGGGACCTCAGCTGTCACTCTGTGGCCTGAGATCTGGCACTTGCTGCTTAACCGTGTCTCTAAGCCTCAGTTTCCCCATTTGTTAGACTGGAGTAGAATGCTAGCCCCTTCATAGGATAGCCGGGAAGGTACATGAAGGCAAGAGCCCATGTTTGGTATATAGTTAATGCTCGGATAAGTACAATCATGACTGTTTTACTTCATCTTCACAACCACATGAAGGACAGAGGACAGGTATTATAGTTTCCCATTCAGTGATGAAGAAATGGCAGTGCCAGAGGCTTCAGTGAGAGAGCAGACTCCCTCTCAGCCCTTCCCACCCCTCTCCAGCTCCTGAGCGCTGCCTGCCTGCCTGCCTCACAGAGGGTCACCTGGGAGCCAGATAGACAAGGATTACCAACAGGCTTTGTGCCTCAAAAGGTGCAAACATTCAAGATGCCTCATGCTACCTCATGCTCTACCTGGGCACGGGGCAAGATGAGGCCTCCAGGAGCAGGGCTCTGACTGAATCACTGCCTCCTTTGAGGAGAAACATGAAGCCTCCAACATCCCTCTCTCCAGCTCAGGACTTCCTGGGGAGGGTCAGAGGCCACCCCAGCCAGGACGGGGTTCTGACATGGGAATAGGAATGGAAGCTATGCAGGGTGCATACCACCCCTGCTCCTAAGGCCTGCGTGCAACTAACCAGCTCCGCTTCCACAGCCCCCCAGCTGATCAAGCAAGCTCTTCGCCCTCCAGAGCAGATGGGGGGCCAGAGTGGCAGACAATGCCTCGCTCCTCTCCTGACCCTCCCTCACCAGAAGTCTCTCTCAGCCCCAGGGCCAGTCCACCAGGTTAGCAGGGCAGCAGCACGCACCGTTGGCACAGGGGTTGCTGGTGCACCTGTCCACTTTCTTCTCGCAGTTGGAGCCGGTGAAGTTGGGGGGACATTCACAAGCATAGTTGGCCCCCTGGTTGCGCTCCCGGCAGGAGCCCCCATTGAAGCAGGGGGAGTCGGCGCAGCTCAAGGTGCTGTGTTCACAATGCAGGCCATAGTAGCCCGGAGGACACAGGCAGTGGTAGCCATCCTCCTGGTCCTGGAGAGAGACCATAAAGGGGCCAAAGTCAGACCCTGGGGGGCAGGGATGTGTGACTGAAGGCTGGGCTCCACCTGCCCACAATGCCTGTCCATGGCTGTACATCCACTAACTGCCTAGGTTAGGGATGCCCAGACACCACCTGACACCTCTGTCTTCCTGCGCTGGTCTGGGCCTCACCTTACAGCTGCCTCCATTGCGACAGGGGTTGCTGTCACACTCGCTGAGCTCCAGCTCACAGTCCACACCAGTGTAGCCTGGGCGACAGGTGCAGGTGTAGCTTCGCTGCCCACTGTTGGAGCACGTTGCCCCATTCTTGCATGGGGAGTGGTGGGTGCAGTAGTTGAGATCTGCAGAAACAGGAACCAAGCAGCTGAGCAGGGCCAGGGAATGCACTCACCTCCAGGCTCCTTGCAGTCCATGTTTGCCCCCATGTTTGGCTCAAAGACACCTCAACTCAAAGTCTCCCAGGCCCAAACATCCTTCCTCCACCACCAATAAAATCTTTTTTCTTTCTCTTTCTTTCTTTCTTTCTCTCTCTTTCTCTTTCTTTCCTTCTTTTTTTTTTTTTTTTAACAGAGTCTCACTCTGTCGCCCAGGCTGGAGTGCAGTGATGTGATATAGGCTCACTACAACCTTCGCCTTCCGGGTTCAAGCGATTCTCATACCTCAACCTTCTAAGTAGCTGGGATTACAGGCATGCGCCACTGTGCCCGATTAATATTTGTATTTTTACAGGGGTTTCACCAGGATGGCCAGGATGGTCTCGAACTCCTGACTTCAAGTGATCCACCTACCTCGGCCTCCCAAAGTGCTGGGATTACAGGCCATCGCACCCAGCCTAAAATCATGTTTCTTTTTTTTTTTTTTTTTTTTTTTTTTGAGACGGAGTCTTGCTCTGTCACTCAGGCTGGAGTGCAGTGGCACGACCTCGGCTCACTGCAAGCTCTACTTCGCCATTCTCCTGCCTCAGCCTTCCCAGCAGCTGGGGCTACAGGTGCCTGCCACCACACCTGGCTAACTTTTGTATTTTTAATACAGACAGGGTTTCACTGTGTTAGCCAGGATGAAAATCATGTTTCTTAAAGCACCTTGAATCACATATGACCAGTGCAGTCAACCAAAAGTGAAACAACACAACTGGAACTGGAAGACGTCCTGCCAGGGAAACTCACAAACTGCCAACCCAAGTAGGATGAAGATAAGGAAGAAGAGCAGAGGGCAAGGCCACATGTCGGGGAGGAAGTCAGAAAAGGCTTCATGGAGGAGGGGCAGCTGAGATAAGCCTGGAAGGAGGGATAAAATTTCAACAGGTAGAAATGGTAGAGGAGAGATGAGAGCCACCATAGGCAGTAATCGGGCATTTTTTAAAGGAAGAGGTGTTACAAGGGTATTTTGAAATATAAGTATTTGTTTTTTTATTTGGGAAGGACAGGGAGGGAGAACCAGACAGAGTAAATATATGGCCTGCAAGTGCTGTGTTTGCATATGATGAGTATATGACTGTGTCACCTGGGAGCAAATATGGTGGAGAGGGAAGAGAATGAGCAGGAACCAGGTGTGTGAGTGTTGGGGTGGGGATGGTAGTAAAGGGACAGACACACACACACACACACACACACACACACAACACAGGGACTGAATCCCAAGCCCCTTGTTGACAGCAAGTCAGGGCCTAGGCAATTTCTTTCCACCCTGGCAAGCTCTCTGCCCACCCTACCCAGGCCTGCGCCGGTGTCTCTGGGCAGCAGGTGCACCCATTTGATCCTGAAAATGGGAGCTGCAGCTGGCTGCAGCTGGCTAGCAGGATGCAAGAAAAAAGGCTTCCTCCTCCCCCAAGGTTGGGGCTGAAAGGCCCCTGTATAGCCAGAGAGTGACTACCCCTAAACACCAGGTAGAGACCGCATGGGTTCAGGCAGGTGGTAACTAGGTAAGAGCAGGGGAGGCCGTTTGTGCCCACACCGAAAAGTCGGTTAGATGCCACTCCGCCCAGAGGCCCAGCTCACCCACAGCCTCAGGTGGCCGGTGGGCACACCCCACCGGACAGCTGTTTAGGGGAGAGCTGCTCAAACAGCCCTGGAAGGTAAGCAAACACTCAGGGGGTTAATAGGTAACTACGGGGTTGAAAGAGGAACTGAGCCTGCCATCCCTCTCTCTTTGGCTTTGCTAGGATTTATGAGTGCAACCTCCAGGCTGCCGACCTTGTCACCCCCCTGGGTTTTTCAGCCACCCTGGCTCCACCACCCCCTGCCGCCGCACCTGGAGAAGGACCCACCGCCTCATTCTGGGCCAGTTGTAAAGATCCTTAAAAGACCCAAGATCCTTGGAAGATCATGGGAAAGCCAAGTCTGCAGTCACCAAGTAAGAAGGATCCAGGTGACGAATCGGATTTCCACCCCCCAGCCCCATATCTCTTGCACCCTCTGCACCCTCTCTTCACCCTGACTCACCTTGGTCACAAAACAGGCCTCCCCAGCCCTCATCACAAGTACATTGCCAGGGAGTGCTGCAGGTGCCGTGGCGACAGCCATTGTGGGGGATGCATTCGTTACACAGCCGGCCCTGCCAGCCTGGGCGGCAGCTGGGGAACAAGAGAGAGGCAGAGTGAGGTGAGAGGCCTTGGCCAAGGGAGGGCTCCCACTCACCACTTCCTGTCCCCTACTCACAGGCACTCTGCTGGCTTGCTGCAGTAGCCATTCTGTTCATGACAGCCCGAAAGACAGATAGCTAAGGGAAGAACACAGAGCTGGGTGAGGCTGGGATACCAAGGACTCTTAAGCCCCATTCTCACCTGCTGGCCCTGGGGATCCCCTAGCTCTCCTGGGCCCTCTTCCTACTCCTGGCCTCCCAGAGGAGCCCCGAGTGTCTTAAAGTGAAATAATGGCACAGGGAAGGAGAAGCCAAACTGGATGGAATGTCATGATGGGGTTCTTGTGGGCTTTGGCATGATGGGAGGAGCACTGGGAAGAGACAGGAGGTCTGAGGTCAAGCCCACCCTCAGCATCCCTGAGGCCCAGCTAGTAGGAGGCCCAGACCCACTCTTCAAGGGAGGCAAGCTGTGACCAAGAAGCTCCACTGTGTTTCCTCAGGGGACCCTCCCCTTCCACACAGGTGGGAGCTTGACTGCTTACGCTGTTGGCAATATTCCCCAGTCCAACCGGGCAGGCAGGACAAGTTGCCATCTGGCTGGCACACATAGTGGCCGAAGTGGTCATTGCGCTTCTTGCACAGGCGGGAGCAGTTGTCTCCATAGTAGTTGTCACTGCAGATGACCCGGTAAGAGTAGCGCAGCCTTGTGAGGGTGCTGGTTTGCTCATCCAATAACCAGTTCTGACCCACAGCTAGGGAGCCCTGGATGGCGATCTTGCTGATGAGTGCATCTGGTGGCAAGGCCTCTGAGGGGGCAGAGGGTCGGGTCAGGGAAGGGTCGCCAGTCCCCAAGGGTGCCAGTGACGGCTGGCCAATGTCCTTCTTGGCTGTGATGATGGTGATCAGCCAACCAATCAGCCCAGTTATCCAGATGACCCCCGCCTGCCAGCAAGAACAGGCCAGAGGGACCCAAAGCCCCGCTACGTAGCTGCCCTACGTGTGTGCATGTGCAGGGGGCCTGATAGTATTCAAAAAGGGGACAATAGAAGGATGTTAAGATATCCCAGGGTCTTGGAGGCAGATAGGGAGGGGAAAGAGGAAAAGAGGTCAAAATGGAAAAAAGAGAAAAAGAAAGAAAAGCTCCCCAGGCTAGAGAGGACCCTGGGAGCAGGGGGTCCTTTGGTGCCCATTCAGGGGTTCTGCCTCCAGAGGTGGGTAATGGTTTTCTTTTTTCCTTTTCAAAGTGAGAATTGTTGTGCTGCTGAAATATCCTTTTCCTCTGTGTCAGAACAACATCCCAAAGCCATTATTCCCTTTCCAAAGGAGCGGAATTCGCGAAAGGTGTAAAATACAGGAAGGGGCCCGTCAGCGGCGCTGGCAGCTTCAGCCTTTCTCACCGCCGTACTCCCCGCGTTCCCACGCCAAAAATAACCCGCAGGAAACGCAATTGTGCTCTGAGTCCAGGCAGCGAGCGGAATCCGAGCGTCCAGCGCGGGGCGCAGCTCCAGGCCAAGCTAAGCGTCCTGCCTCCCACCCCCAAGCCCGCACTTCCCCCGCCTAGAACAGATTAACTCTTTCGGCGCTGCGCCGTGTCGCCCCCCTGTGGTGGCGGAGCGAGCTACTCACCTGGCCGCAGGTCGTCTCCTGGCGCGTGCCAAGCTTCGATGATGAGCGAGAAGGTACCCTGGGAAAGGGGGTGGGGGGACGGAGAGATGGCGAGATGAGCAAGCGGGGAGAGGTGGGGGTGCCTTGCGGCAGCCTGTTTAATTAATCTAATTGCAGGATTCAGTTACTGCGCCCGGGTCAACATAACGGGGCTGTGCACAGTGTAGCGCTTGAGCAGGGAAGGCGAGAGGAGAACCCCCGGTAGAGGGAGGGTTGAGAGACGGGAGAGTGTAAGGGAGAGCCACTGGAGGAGGGGGTGGTAGGGTACCGCCCCAGAGTGGTAGGTAATGAAAATCGTGTCCCAAGAGCTGGGGACGGGAGGACATAAACTGGGAAGACGGAGACTGGTGAGAGCCTTTTCTGGGATCAGTCTCAGGAGAGAGTCGGGAAGAGCCAGGAAAGAATGCATCCTGGGCTTTTTGGGGGTGGGGGTGTGTGTACAAGGAAATCTGGGGAGGGGGCTTTGGTCCCAGGGCGCCTCCTCTCTCGGCTTCTGCGACCTCCCAGTGCGCCCAGGCTGTGCTCACCGGCCAGGTGAAATTGAAGGGCAGTTGGAGAGGGTTGCGCCCCCCGCCGCTACTGTCGTCCCGGACAGCGAAGGAGTTGGTGCCCAATACCGGCGTGGAGACGGTCCCGAAGGTGCAGGGTCCGGGCGAGACGACCGCCTGGAAGTGCTTAAGGCAGACGCGGAAGAAAGTCCGGCAGCCGGGCTCGCAAGGCCGCCCACTGGCCAGTACGCCGCGCTCGTTGATGAACTCCTGCAGCTGCAGCTGGAAGACGCCGGAGCCGGCCGCGCGCTATTGCACAGGGACCGAGGGAAGGAGGGAGGGGACCGGTCAGCTCAGCTGGTGCCCGGGGCTGAGGCCCAGAGCGCGGCAGAGGGGACGGAGAGGGCGCGGGACGTGTTACCTGCTGCCAAAGTGCCACCAGCAGCAGTAGCGCCCAGCCAGAGGCGCTCCGGGACGCTGCCGCCATCCCCTCGGGCGTCGCTCTCTCCACCCGCGGGCCCTCAATCTGGCTCTGTTCGCGACGCCGCTTTCCCGCGCGTCCGCCAGCCGGCGGGGTCCCTGAAAAGAGGCGCTCCTCTCGGGACGCTGCTCCCCTTTGGCCTTCTCGCTGGCTCCGCTGCAGCTGCCGCTGTAGGTAATCCAGGTGACTACGGCTGGGCGGCGACCGCGCCGAGGACGCGTCTTCTGTCTAATCCTGGGGCTGCAAGCGGGCTAGTGCCGGTGTACGCTGCACCAAGGCGGCTGGGGCTGCGGCTCTTGGCCTCGTGTTCCCGGCCTGCGCGCAGCGCCGCTACTGAAACCTGCGCGCTGGGGGCCTTCCTTATATATATTGGCTCCTCTCCTCGCCGCCTGTCACTCAGACTCATGGTCATTCTCCCCTCCCCTCCCGGCCTCTAGCTGCTACAGTCCCAGCGCCGCCCGGAGGGGGCCTCCGCCCCCGCCGCTCCCCCCTCCCCGTCAGCCAGTCGGGCGCAGGTCCCCGCCCCTCCGTGCCGCTCCCAACCTCTAGGTCCCCCAGCTCTGCGCGTGCCGAGGTGACCAGTCCTCCGTGATGGCGGGGTTAAGGGCTGAGACCCTGGCCGCCGGAGGATAGAGGGGTTGCCCGGTAATGGGGCAGGAGGTGAGTGGGTGGTTCGGGGATGGTCTTGGGGGCGGAGACACTAGGCAGTCCCTGTAGGCTGTGCATCCGCAGCAGGCGCTAGTTACCTAGTGTTCCAAAGCAGGTAAAAAGAACTTAAGCCCGGAATGCAAAAACCAGCGCTAGGGAAATCCGATCTCCTTTTCCTTCCTGGAGCTTCTGGAGCCCTTGTCTCAACGGCCCCCAACCTATGAGTGCCCACCCACCACGCGTCCCCAGCGCAGCAGGGAAGCCAGCAGAAGCGTTAACCTCTCTGTGGCCACTCTGAGCAAGGCTAGGGGCTAAGGGTCTAAGGCTCGGGGCCCTCTCTGTGCACCTGTTGGGCGTCTCCCTCTCTAGCTAAGGGGGGGCGTGCCCAGCGCGTGCCTTCTCCCTTCTGCCCCCTGCCAGGGCTTGGCGCGTGCCAGAGACCCAGACGCGCGGTCCCTGAGGTGGGGGAGGGCGGGGCGTGGTCCCGGAGGTAGGAGGGGGGCGCGTCCTCAGCTGTATGGTAATGAGGTTCTGGCCCCGCCTCCAGCGCGTCCCCTCACCTGAGTCCAGCTTCAGTTCCTGCGCCCACTGCCTCCCCCCACCCCAGCAGCCCCAAGCCCCCGGCCGCGCCCTGTCGCTCAGCTGGGGCAAGGAGGAACTCTCCTGACGCCAGAGTTGGCTCAGGCCACTGGAGAATCAAGGTGAGGGACTGAGGCCGGGTCGGCCCGGGTCCTCGCCTCATAAGGCGGGATGTGGGGTGGAACTGGAGGCTTGCGGAGCTGTTTGAGTTTCAGGCGGCTTCCCAAGTCTCGCCCGAGAGGGTCCCCTGGGTGGCCCCACTCCTCCAAGCGGCAGCAGCGCAGCTGCTTTCTCGGAACCCGGCGTGATCCCCGGAGACCGCAGACCGGGGAGGGCCGGCTTCTCCCAGTCTCAGGGGTGCCGGGGAGCTCTCTCTTTGCGACGCCGAGGGCAGCGGGGGCCCTGTGGCTTCAGCTGTCAGCCCGCCCGCGAGGTGATGGCTGTAGTCGGGCGGTAAGATCAGCGCGGGGGGGGAGCCGGGACGCGGCGCGAACCCGGGGGAGGCGGTAAGGGTGGGGGAGCGGCGAGAAGCCCAACAGCTGCCAATGCCGAGCATGGTCTGATTTTTTTTTTTGAGTTGGGTGGTGGTGGTGGAGGACTGGGGGACGGGTGTGGTGGGGGGGGGAAGGATGAGAAACAAGAGGTTGGGAGCGTGGGTTGGGGGAGGGGCGAGGTGAGGAGACGGGCTCCGGGGTCCCCCACGCACGGCCACCCCTCCCAGCCACCATCTGGCGCGAGCGGGTTGGCGTGGGGAACCGAGGTGGGGCGGGGCGGCAGATGGGCCCAGGCTGCGCTCGGGAGTTAATGTAGGTTATGGGCAGGCGGAGTCCCAGGCCCGAGGGAGGGGGAGTCCGGGGCGTGCCTCCCGGCGATCCTGGCAAGTGGGCTCCCAGATCTTCTCTCCGCCTATACCCTATGGATCCCTGGACTTGCCTCTCTAAGATGCCAGCGGGTGCCCCTTGCTCCCCTCCAAGCTGGCATCCAGCCCTACCTAGCCCTGTCCTCTCTCAACTCCAAATCCTGGCCCAGGAGTTAATAAAAACATCCTCCTTTTCTGGCGCTGGTCCTGCTTACCTGACCCTCAAGGGAGACATCTAGTCCCACACAAGGCATCTCTCCCAATACTGGAAAATCTGGAACACTCTCTACCCTCATACACGCCCAGACTAATGTGCCCAAATGTACTTTGCAAATTATCAAGGACCAAACAAAAGTTGGGATTATTATCTTCAGAGAGGCAGCACCCAGGAGATCCCAGAGATCTAGAAAGGCTCTGACCAGAAGAGGAAAGGGTTAAATTCTCAGCATCAAAAGACATTCATGAAACACCTATTTGCGGAGGCGCTGTCCCAGAAGCTCATTCCCGGGCTAGGACACTGCCACCCTTGGCCCTGGGTACCTACGAGCGCTCCCACACGCTGCGGTCGAGCTTTGCCCACATTTGCTGAGCAGGAGAGGGTCATGCTGCGGGTGGGGAGCCCAGTGCGAAGGCCGCAAGTGTTTCTGTCAGCCCAAAACTGGGGCTGCGCCTTCCTTCTTCTCCCACTCGGGACTTTCGGACTTGCGGGCGGAAGAACGCTACACGCGTGGTCCTGGGATGGGAGGCCACCGATCACCGTGGGGCTGGACCCCCATCGAAGTCGGCTGCCCCCGCCCCTGACGCAGACCCTCCACAACAGCATGGAAAGGGTGCACAGATAGACCCAGAGTCCGAAAGACCACTGACCCTCCGCAGGCCCAGGGTTCCTCAATTCGACCCGCACCCTCAACACTCCCCAACGTCGGAAGCGGGCGCAGGGTCGAGGCCTGGCTTCATGAAAGGCCCACCGCCTCTGCCCCTAGAGGCCTTCTGCTTCTGCTGTCCCCCTACGCTTGGCCATTGCGCATAGTCCTCCAGCCATAAGAACCGGCACTGAGGACCGGGAAGCGCTAAGGTCGCCTTCCAGCGGTGTCCCCAAGCTGACCCCAGGTTATTGGGGCGCAACAGGAGCCTCGTAGAGCCTCGGGACTCCTCCCCCGCAGCGTAGCCTCTGTGCCCTCCCCACGGCCGCAGGCGCAGCTCCGAGACCTTCAGCGCGGTTTTGCCTCTCCTCTCCCCAACCCCCTCTCAGGGGACGGCGCTCTTCGCGGGGCACACTGCACCCGGGTAGGAGCGCGGTGGGGGCCGGGCCACCGTGCCTGCTGGGCAGACCAGGGGCGGGGAAGCAGGCCTGGCTTGGGCGGGGCGCTTAAGCCTTGAGGGGCGCCGCTGCGGTCGCTGCGGAGAAGGGGCCACGTGCAGGGAGCGGCGGCCGGGGAGCTGCACAGAAGGCGTGGAGATTTGCAAACTGTTGCTGCCACATGGCTGCTCCATTCGATCCATTCACATTGAAATGAGGCCGGCGCGTGCCTCATCTGCCGCAGGGCGCTGCCACGCGTCAGCCCGGCCCGCCGCGTGCCAACTGGGGCAGTGGGACTGGCAGAGCCTGGCAGCCGTGGGGGCGCAGCCCGGGGCCTGAGGCCAGGAGGGTGTTGGGGGAGGGAGTCGAGCTACCCTAGCCATTCAGGCGCCGCAGTTTCAAGGACCTTGGCCCTACAATTGGGAGTGAGCTGGCGAGAAAGGCCCAGGACCGACGGGTTTCAGAGGGGGGCCGGGATCGATGCCGCCGCTCCCCGCAGATGCGCCCCGGCAGGGCTACTCTCCATCTGCCGCTGCTCGCACCTGCCGGTCAATAAATCGATTTTACAATTTAATGCAGCAGCTTCCCGCCCGCCTGGGACAGATGCCGCAGCAGAACCACCTCCGCCCTCGCCCCTCCCCTCGAGGGGCGCCAGCGGTTAGGGACGGGATTCCCGCTCAGCAGGCGGTGCCCCGCGTGGCCTCCTTCACCTCTCTCTGGAGCCCCCACAAGGAACCGCCTGCTGAGGGTTTTTCCCGCGGGACAGAGTGGGTTCCCCATAGAACAGGCCTGAGACTGGAGAGAGGAGTGAGGAAGGTGATGACTTGGTGGTGGCCTTGAGAACTCATCTGGGGGCTTCAAGGGAGGAACAGGATGCAGTGACTGATGATAAGAAGGGCCCCGGTGAGAAGGAAGGGGTAGGGCATGGGCGCTGAGGGACACCGAACTCTGAAGAATCTTGGTCAGGGGGACTGAGCAGAGATGGGGAGGAGGCAGGAGGAACGAGTCTCTCCCCACCCTCCAGGTGAGTCTGGTGAATAAGCCTGACATGGACCTGCTTCTTGGCACTTCCTAACCATGTGGTCTTGGGCTTGTAACCTAACTCTAGCTCTACACTCAGTTTTCTCATCTGTGCAATGGGATAATAATAATAGGGATGGCCGGTGTGGTGGCTCATGCCTATAAGCCCAGCATTTTGGGAGGCTGAGGAGGGCAGATCACTTGAGGTCAGGAGTTCGAGACCAGCCTGGCCAACATGGTGAAACCCTGTCTCTACCAAAAAAAAATACAAAAAGTAGCCAGGCATGGTGGTGTTTGCCTGTAATCCCAGCTACTCAAGAGGCTGAGGGAGGAGAATTGCTTGAAGCTGGGAGGCGGAGTTTGCAGTGGGCAGAGATCATGCCACTGCACTCCAGCCTGGGCGACTGAATGAGACTCTGTCTCTAATAATAATAATAATAATAATAATAATAATAATAATAATAATAACCTTGGAGCCTTGGAGAGTGGCTGAGGGACTGTATCAGATTATGCATTCATGGGACCCAATAAACAGTCATTTCCTTTCCCCCAGGTGACATCCAGACAGTCAGGGGCAGACTTAGAGTGGAGGGGAGCTCCCTGACTGCAAATGAGTTCCAGAAGGAAATGAAGGAAAAAGGAGAACCGCAGACAAATGCTCATAAGGGATGAGGCATGAGGAGCAGAGGGTGGGGAAAAAAGAGAGGAAAGCTAGGTGGGGCTCGGAAGGGATCCGGACCCTGTGGAAAAAGCCAACTGTTGGAGGTCCTGTTTGTGGCAAGAGGGTGTGACAAAGTTCTTGACTGGAGGGAGAAGACTGGAGCTTTGAGAATGGGTTTGGGGAAGATATGAAGGTTTGGAGGAACTAACTGCTCACAGTCTTGGCCTTCGGAAACCAAGACGGCACTCCTGCCAGGGCCAAGTGTAGGTTTCAAATTGTAACCCCTCCTCCTTCATGGTGGCAGTTCAGAGCTGAGACCTGTGGCAGGAAAGAGGGGCATCTTCTGCCCTGGTCCTTGAAGCTCCTGGCAGATCAGCCCTCTCTGTGTCACCAAGACAGCACACTGACCGGGCTGGACCATCCACTGGCTGATGGCTCATGACTGATGACCCAAATGTGCCAAGGAAGGGATGTCCAAGTGGTTGGGACCCTTGGCAGGAGACAGAGTCCCTGCTCTTGCTTCTCACAAGACCAGGAGGGCCTCCCCTCTCCTCCTCCCATGTTCCCCAGGAGCCCGAGGGCCTAGGCTAGTTGCAGACTGTCTCCCTTGCCTTCTCAGAAGCCCCAGTGCAGGAGATGCCTGGGACTGCGGTAACTGGTATGGACTGGGCCCTCTTCTTCTGGAGGAGAACAGCTTGGGTCTGCGGAGACCATGGGCCCAAGAGAAGAGAAGCTGAGGGTTCGCCACATGAGAAGCATCTTCTAACCATGACTCATGGCCGGCAGACATTCTCTCCAGGCCTTCTGGGTGCTGGTCAGCAGGAGAGAAAGAAGAGGGGGCAGAGTGAAGACCTGCCAGCTGGAGAAGCCTAGATAGGCCTGGCTGCAAGGGCTAGAGTTACGGTGACCCGGCAGCTGCCCCAGCTTCATTTGCCAAACCCAGGGAATGCCTGGAAAGCTAGGGCCAGGAGCCACGCAGTGGGTATTTCCAGCCACGGAGCAGGCCAGGGTTTAGGGCAGCCTCCGCAGCAACTTTCCCAGAGCCCCCGGCTTCCCCTTCCCTAGCTCCTTCCTGTCCCTACCCTAGCCAGCAAGCAGGGAGGCTCAGGGGAAGGGAGGGAAGGCTCAGGGCAGCCTTGCATGAAGACCCCCGGGTGGGAGGCCTGGCCCGAGCCTGCCCTTGCCTCCCCACCTGGATCCTATAGGGCTCAGAGGCCTCTAAGAGGTCTTGTAGGGTCAGAGAATGGAGGGCACAGGGCGAAGCCTTGCTGGGAGTCACTGGGGCAAAAGAGAACTTGTGCTGAAGGACATGGTGGGGTGGGGGGCAGAGCCTGAGCTGAAAGCAGGGGTTCAGCCACCCTCTTGGACCTGCCTCCCTACCCTGAGGTTTTGCTTCCCCTGTAAAAGCTTCCTTACCTGCTCATCCTCCACCCTGGCCGTGCTCACCTCACTGTCCTCTCCTCTTGCCCCCTCTCAGGATACTGGTTGCCCATCCCTGAAACCTATTTCCTCTGTGACCTTTGCCAGCTGGGAAGCTCTCCCAGCCCCACCTTCCCCCTCAGCCTCACACCCCTCCTCTGGCTCTGGCCTTCCATTAGCATCCAGGCCCATGATTTCCCCAATCCCTTGGCGTCCCCAGGTCCTTGCGTGTCCTCTGCCTTCCCCCTACTGAGTGACAATTCATCTCCTGGAAGAAACCCTGACCTTTCCTCATTTCTCCACATAGCCTCTGATCTCTGATCCCAGCTGCCACCCAGGACTTGAAGCAAGCACGAGGCGGGGATGGGGCCACACCTCACTCTCTCCCGCTGGGGCAACCTGGGAGTGGGCTGTACTCAGATCGGCCCTGCTCCCCCGCAGACTCCCTGGAAAGAAGGGTCAATCCTGAACCAGGAAGTACTGTTTCAAATACTCTCAGACACAGAGGAAGAAACGGGGAGAGTCGGGGGACAGGTGCCAACTGTGAACAACGGCCTGAGCAGGCAGGCCACTGTTCCCTGGAGAAGGCTGGGGAGGAATCCCACTGCCATGGTCAAGTAGGTGCTGGGTCTTAAGCAGAGGATGATGACCGGCTGTCTCCTTCTCCCACCACAGTCAGAATGAGAGGAAACAGGCTTCAACTGTGGCAGGAAGGATTTAGGTTAGACGTATGGGAGAACTTCCTGTGACCGAGTGTCTATACAGTGGATCCCAGCTGTCAATCCAGGTTGAACTCTCCCCTGAACTGATGAGAATTGCACGTTGATGCTTGCTAATGAGTAACCTGCCTTGCCTGTGATTAGCAAAGAAACCCCAGGCCAGAGAATTCTCCTCGTGTCTAGACTTTCCCCAGGGAAGAAGTCCAGAGAGACCTGGAGGCACCAGGAGCTAGGCTCCCTGGGAGACCCAAGGAGTTTTCTGGACAATGTTTAGACCACTGTGAGCCAAACTCACTTTGTTTCTCCTGCCCCCACCCCTCTGGGTGCCACTCTCAGAAAATCAAGCCCAGTGGAGCTGTCCAGCCACACAAACTGCAGCAAAGGGGCAGGCTGGATTTAAGATCTGGGAGCTCATAGAGAATCTCCCAAGTGACAATGTAGTCAGGGTGTTTAGCACCAGGGGTTTCAGTAACAGCCTCCACCAACTCTGTATGTTTAGAAATAGACAGGCATCAGTCAGGCGCAGTGGCTCACGCCTGTAATCCCAGCACTTTGGGAGGCCGAGGCAGATGGATCACCTGAAGTCAGGACTTCAAGACCAGCCTGGCCAACATGGCGAAACCTCATCTCTACTAAAAACACAAAAATTAGCTGGGCGTGGTGGCAGGCGCCTGTAATCCCAGCTACTCGGGAGGCTGAGGCAGGACAATCGCTTGAACCCGGAAGGCAGAGGTTGCAGTGAGCCGAGATCAAGCCATTGCACTCTAACCTGGGTGACAAGAGCGAAACTCTGTCTCAATAACAATAAAAATAAAAATAAAAAAATAAATAGGCATCAACCAGGCATGGTGGCTCATACCTGTAATCCCAGCACTTTGGGAGGCCGAGGTGGGCAAATCATTGAGCCCAGGAGTTTGAAGACCAGCCTAGCCAACATGACAAAACCCCATGTCTACTAAAAATAATAGTTAAAAAAACTTAGCTGGGTATGGTGGTGGGCGCCTATAATCCCAGCTACTTGGGAGGCTGAGGCAGGAGAATCCCTTGAACCATTGAGGCGGAGGTTTCAGCGAGCCGAGATCGTGTCATTTCATTCTAGCCTGGGCAACAGAGCAAGACTCTGTCTCAAAAAGAAAAAAAAAGAAATAGGCATCCACACTTGGGCCCACTTGCCCCAGTCTCATGAGTCCTGCTTGGGCAGCGTGAACACTGCTATTGTTGGAGCCATTGTGGCTGCTGAGATCCCTGTGCTTCCCAGTGCTTCTCCTGCTTCCCCTCCTCTCCTCCTGTGGCTTAACCCCCACCCCCTTACTATAGTCTTTCTCCAGGTGAGGAGGAAACTGGGGAGACCTGGGACAAGTCTATCAAAACCATCACCAAGAGAAGAGAAGGCATGCAAAAGGTGCATTCTATCTGGGGCATGGCCCTATGGGCCCCATGGTTAGTGTTCCCAGGACCCCTGTGTGTGTGTGATGTGCATGTGCAGAGTTTGGGTCCATCAGCCACTCAGTTGTGGATGAGGTCTACCATGTGCCTAGCACTGGGCTCAGGTTAGTAAGGCCACACAGGAACATAAAATTCAGCCCTTGTTGCTCACAGCAGCTGGAAATTAGATAGAAGCACATGAAAAGGAGTGTGATGACCTGTGGAACCAGGCTTCAGAGAGCAACTGGGGCCCCGAGGGTCACAGGAGGCTTTGTAGGGGAGGAGGGATGACACTGGGCCTGGAAAAAGAACAGAATTTAGATAAAGAGAAGGGGGTGGGGGCACGGGCGCGGTGGCTCACACCTGTAATCCTAGCACTTTGGGAGGCCAAGGCGGGCTCATTGCCTGAGCTCAGGAGACCAGCCTGGGCAACATGGTGAAACCCCGTCTTTACTAAAACTACAAAAATTAGCAAGGCGTGGTGGCGGGCGCCTATAATCCCAGCTACTTGGGAGGCTGAGGCATGAGAATTGCTTGAACCTGGGAGGCAGAGGTTACAGTGAGCCAAGATCGTGCCATTGCACTCCAGCCTGGGTGAGAAAGCGAGACTCCATCTCAAAAAAAAAAAAAAAAAAAAAAAAGGACAAGAGAATGAAGAGAGGCAAAGGATCTGGGTGCAAATGAACCAAGTATGGCTGGGGCAGAGACTTCACCTATGGAGGGTGGACATGAAGTTACATAGCTATGGCATGGAAACCCACCAGACAGATGAATTTGGATTTGATTGATAGGTACTAGGGAGCCTGTGGGTTCTTGAGCAGAGGAGAGTGCCGTCTGCATGCTTTCTGGCAGTGGTATGCAGGGTAGTCTGGAGCAGGGAGGTACAGAAAGAAGGCCAGAGGCAGCTAGGAACATTTCTATATCTGTGGCTGGTGACCAGGTGAGCACTTATTTCTGAGTCCTGTCCCTGAGTTGGCAGCTCCTATGCATAGATGGTGGGGCACCTGAGAATGCCAGAGGCCTGATGACTGGCTGAGATAGACTCCACATTTTCCCTGAAAGCAGCTTCTCTCTCCTCTCACCCTCTGCTTTCCAGATAGTCCCCTGCAAACATGAGACTGGCATCAGGGCTTCCCGGGCAACCATACTGAAAGTGGAGGCAGCTTCAGCCATGCTGCTGGGCTGGCCAGCCCTCTCCCCTGCCTCCTTGCTCTCCTGGCCAGCCCTCTCCCCTGCCTTCTTTCCCCTTAGAAGCCCGAGGCCCTTCCTGGCAGCCCAGACTTGCCTGGAAGAGGAGAAAGGTTGGATCGGGCCTGGAAAGCAAAAAGGGAGTCCAGAGGTACCTTGGGGGAATGACTTGGGGCCCTATGTCTAGAAGCTCAGGGTGAGGTGAGCTCTGAAGGGCACTTGGACCAACACCATATTCAATAACTAATGACTCGAATACCTCTGGGGACAGGACTCTCACCCCCTCTCCAGGCTGTCCCATGCTCTTTAGATGGTTCTGGTTATAGAAAGTGCAGCCTCTTGTGGATCTGAAAGTCCTGACACATGCTTGGCACTGGGCTGATGGTTTGAGAGGGCTTTGGTCTAGGCCTTGCGGAGGGAATTCCAGAATGGCACTGCAAGAGGGAGGGTCCACTAGCCCCTTGGGCCTGGGATGGCTCTGCTGGGTCCTGTGGACAGCCTGCTTGGTCCCCTAGGCTGGGCCACGAGAACCTTCCAGCTCAAGCTGGGGGTGGAGCAGCCAGGGTGAGGCCGCCAGGTCAGCCCTTCTCACCCTCACCAGGGAGACCAGACCCAGGTCAGACTCAGGTCTCCCAGGCTGAGATCATCACCCTCCAGCCTCCGTGGCAGCTCCCACCCCTAGCTGAGTTCACTGCTCTGGCCGGCTGGGGGACATTGTTGTCTCCTGGGCCCCTCCCTGGGCTCAATGAGCTGTTTGTTGGCAACGTCCGGCGAGGGTAAGGGGAGGGTGGGCACAAGGCGCCCGCACACAATGGGGATTCCGTCCATTCTGAGGTGGCTGCGGGAACCAGGCTGGCTTTGTCCCGTGGACCCTCATTCCCACCATTTAGCAGAGCCGGAACTTCAGGCGGAAGGCCCCGTATAAGAACAACAATGTCGTCACCCTGTCTGGGGGGGAGGGTGCTGCAGGCCAGGCATACTAGGGGCCCAGGGGACTCACAGCCTGAGGCAGCGCGAGGGGCACTTGGGATAGGTCCTGGGGCGGAGGCTGTGCCCCAAATAGGAGGCAGACACAGGCAGGCAGATGAGTGCCCTCCTGCCCGGCCAGTCCATTAAGGAAGTGGGCTCCTGGCATCCCCAGCCATGCTCAGCTCCTCTGCATGCACAGAAGAGCCCTAAGGTGCAGAGGGGACCGGCGCAGCCCATGAGCCTTGCTGGGTGGTGTGCAACAGCGAGGCTAGGTTGGGGGCAGCCTGACCCTCCTGCATCCAGCCTGGGCAAAGATCTCTGCCCAACACTGGGCCCGAGCCTGTTTCTGGGCCCCTAGGCTCGCCAGCCTGCCCCTCTGGAAGTGGTGCTGGCCGCTCAGACAACAAGTGTTTATTTTCCAGTGGGGAGGCAGGACATCACAGCGTTTCCCTCCTGCCTGGTGCTGCAGCGGTTCTCACAGTCTGGGCACTGGTGACATCACCAGCCTTTCCTCCTCAGCCCTGGCCTCCTTGCCTCCCCCTCCCCACCCCATGCCCTGGCCAGGCTATGCAGCCCTGAAGCTCCTGCTTCCGGCATGGGCACTTCTGAGCGGGTACTCATAGAGGGCGTGGGAGCAGCGAACTGGACCAGCCTCTCATCCGCTCACTGCCCCCGGCATTCAGGCCAAATCTGGGGATAGCCCCTCTGTGCTTACCTCCACCAGAGCAGTTGGTGTCCCACCCAGATCACACTCTTAGTTCCATGCTGGCCCTTTAAGGGTCTTGGGAAGCCAGAACAACAGGAAATCCAAACGGCCTCATTAGGCAGCTCGGAGCTCAGCACAGTAATTAGTGCCCTGAAAACAAAACAAGGAAAAGCAGGTGGTGGTGCCCCCCCTCAATCTATTTGCCCCCCCGACCCCGCCCCAGCGTGGCCTGTTAGTACCCACAGCTAGGCAGCTGGGAGTGGGCCCCCTCCCTCATAAGCCCCCTCACTCCAAGCTCCTGAAGCTATTGCCCACTGCCCAGGCCAAGGGTTAGAGCCTAAGCTCGTAAGGAGCGGCCGCAGCTTGAGAGAAGCCCCAGGGACGTGCACTGGGCTTCCCCGCTCCGCAGCCAGGTGGCTACTGGGCCACAGCATCCTCCACCTGTTTGGAAAATACTGTGATGGCGAAAGGGCTGTGTTGGGCTCCTCTAGGGGGAAAGGGGAGACCCCTGGGAATCCTAGGGCAAGAAGCCCCCCTCAAGAGGAGAAAAAAGCCTGCTCTGCGGTCCTGCTTCTCAGGCTTTGGTGAACCTCCAGGTGGGCAAGATCACTTGAGCAGAGGGGGTGGTAACCCACAGGACCTCTAGGCAGACCCTAGGGACTTGCAAGCCCCCTCAGCTAGTAACAGCGCGGCCAAGAACCAAAAGGGATCTTAGTGAGCTCTCCTCTATGGCCAGCTTGCAGGTCCAGGTTCATTCCATCCCCTCTCTCGTCCAACATGGCTTTTTTTTTAATATATATACAGGCTCTCATTCTGTCACCCATGCTAGAGTGCAGTGGCACAATCGTAGCTCACTGTAGCCTCCACCTCCCAGGCTTAGGTGATCTTCCCACCTCAGCCTCCCAGGTAGCTGGGACTACAGGTGCCCACCACCACACCCAGCTAATTTTTTGTATTTTTAGTAGAGATGGGGTTTTGCCATGTTGCTCAGGTTGGTCTCGAACTCCCAGGCTCACGCAATCTGCCTCCCTCGGCATTCCAAAGTGCTGGGATTACAGGTGTGAGCCACCGCGCCTGGGCTTCTCCAACATTTGATGCAATTGAAACTCATTCTGTCCCTGACCCCTAAGATGTCTCCCTCTATCT
Source organism: Homo sapiens (assembly GCF_000001405.40). Classification (NCBI taxonomy): domain Eukaryota; kingdom Metazoa; phylum Chordata; class Mammalia; order Primates; family Hominidae; genus Homo; species Homo sapiens. The sequence goes on along the minus strand of NC_000015.10, from coordinate 40,917,035 downwards.
GTAATGCCAGGGAAGGGACATTCTATGCTCTACTTAAGTAACAAATATTCACTTAACATATTTCACTTAACAATATTCCCTCCGCCATGGCAGTGGGGAGTTCCTGGAGAGGTTGCGGGGAATATAAACGGTACTACCTTGTGGTAGCCCATTACTGTAAGCACTGCCCTTCCCTCTGCCTTGAAAAGGCCTTGGAGAGCAGGAACTATGACTTTCTCTCTCTGCATATCCCCCCACAGACCCAGTGCTTAGTAGGTGACTGGTACATGCTTGTAACCAATCAAAAATGAACCAGAAATCACCTCTCTGACTTCAAGGATTTTACCGTGTCAGCCCACAATTCAGCAAGCAACAGCGTCAGCACCCTGTCAGGGTCCCCCGTGCTTGGGGAAGGTCCCAGCTTCTGTGTTCAGAGCCCAGGCCTCCCTCTGCACCTCCCCAAGGGCCTTGTGCAGAGCAAGGGCTGAGGGCACTGTGAGGGAAGGAGTACCAGGTCCTCCTGAGAACAAAGCTGGCATGACCCTGGGATGTGGGGAGGAGCTGCGCCGGGCTGGCCTAGCTACAGGCTGAGTGAGGACGGTGGCCAGCCTATGGCCACTGAGTGGGACTGTAATTAAACTGCGGGTAGGTTTCTGGTCACACTCCTGTTGGCCGAGAACAAAGGCCCCAGCATCACTGCCCAGGGGGAAAGAGAAGGAGCAGAAGGAGGGAGCGGGGGTAACCCAGAACCTGCTATTGGGTTGGGCAACTGGCCTCCAGCTGGGTCAGGGAACTCTGTGGGCACCTCGGGCAGCCACCGGCTAGGTGGGCATCTCTGAGGGGCTCCAATCTGAAATGGAGGGGCCAGTTCTGCTGGCAGAGGTGGAGGGGGCCAGCCAGAAAGTGACTGAAGGGTTACAGGGCCATGGAGCAGGAGTTCTCCGCCCGCCCTGGCCATGCACAAGGATCACCTGAGCAGCTCCTGTGGGCACCCTGATAGAACTGTTCTGAGATGAGGCCTTGGAGGCACTGGTATTTTCCAAAAGCTCCCCAGTGACGCAGTGTGCAGCCAGGGTTGAGGGATACTGCTATCTGGAAGCACAGGGCCTCCTGTTCCTCCTCCTGTCCCTTCGCTGAGGCCCACAGTGCTCAGAGGCCACGCCCACTGGACCCAACAGCCCAGTGTCCCGGCACCCACGACTAGGCAGCTGGGATTGGAGCCCCTCCATCATAAGCCCCCCCAGTGCAAGCTCCTGGAGCCGCTGCCCACTGCCACAGTCTCCTGGTAGAGGTGGAGGGGACCAGAGTCTCTGGGCCTTTGGAGAGGTCCTCCTCTTCTTGACCCCCCTCCCTTAGTGGAAAGTTCCTCAGGGAAGCAGCTGTGGGCAGATAAGGCAAGATGCCCCAGGGGCAGGGGGCGGGGGTTGCCTATGGGGCACCCGTGGCCTCATCCACCACCTCCGAAGGGACCCTACTGTCTCACTCTCCAGGCCCCCAGGCCTGGGGTAGCACCTGGGAGAGCAGGCAGGGGACTGGGAGGGAAAAAAGGTAGACCCGGAGCACCTGAGCCAATGGGGCCTGGCCCCAGGCAGGGACGTGCTCTGGTCCTGAATCATTTCCCGGATATAGCTCAACAGCCCAGACTTCAAGGTTTTGGGGGGAAATCTTTTTTCCAAGTTCCTCGATCTGTCATCCCCTTCCCCCCTGGCCGGATAGGACTGGACCAGAGTCCTCTCTCAGCTCCCCCTCAGCCTCCCAGCTTGGGCCGTCTCCACTGATCTCTCCACTGGACATTGTTTCCCGCCTCAGGAAGTCTCTGATGCCCTGCGCTAGATTTTGTTTTCCTTGTTATCGGGACAACTAATATTTTTTCCTGTGCAGAAAAAAAAAAAAAAAGAGATTTTCCCAAGCAGATTACAGCTGTCAGTGATGGGGGGAGGGGGCTGGAGGTTGAGCCCTTCCCCCTCCCCCACTGCCACCCTCAGAGGGCCGAGCTTTTGAATGAAGGAGGAAGCCCTGGACCCAGATCCAGCCAGGCGAGCTGGAGCCAGGGGCAACTCTGGCCTTGGCAGGAAAGTCAGGCCTCTCTCCTCTACCGTCAGGGACCCTGCTCCTGCGAAGATTGTTATCCACGGGCCCACATGTCCAAGGATAGGGAGAGGGTCCTGGGCTTGCCTTCTCTCTAGTGGGGCAGGAAGGGCAGGCTGCCCCCCAGCTGCAGGAGAGAGGTCCCATGGCCCTTGGGAACTGATTCTTCCCAGGCCAGAATTCTGAACGGTCAAGCAGCCCTGTGGGACCAGGATGGCAGAACATGAGTAAAGACACCTAGGAAGGGTGGGAGCACACGCGAGACCCAGCTCCACTAGATGGTGTGACTTTGGGCAATTCCCCAAACCTCTCTGTGCCGTGGGCGCCCCCTGCCCGCCACCATGGACAAATTGATGCCTGCCTCACCTACCTAAACAGCCATGTGGTGAGGATGTAGACGAGAGAAAGATTCTAATTCAATGTCAGGGGTTCTTATGACTCCGTCAGAAGGGTTAATGCAGGTGTCTCAGTACCTATGTGACACAAGTGGGGCCTCCAAGACGAGCAGACCAGAAAGCAGAGGCCATCACCGGGCAGGTTCTGTTAGAATGACACACTCTGGGCCAGCACGTGCATGCACACATACACATGTGCACACACACACTCTCTCTCACACACACTCTCACACACACACACAGTCACACTCAGTCACACACAGTCACACACTCACAGTCGCACACACACTCACACAGTCACACACACTCACAGTCACACACACACACTCACGCAGTCACACACAGTCGTACACTCACACACAGTCACACTCACACAGTCGCGCACACACACACACAGTCACACACAGTCACACACACACAGTCGCACACACAGTCGCACACTCACAGTCACACACACACGCACACACACTCACACACACACACACAGGCTGGGTGTTCTTCCTCGATAAACTCTCACTTTCTACGTTGGGTGCTGCGGTCCTAGGATGGGACAGGCTGCCTGGGCCTTTGGGGTAGGAACTGGCAGCACAACCACCACAGCAACAGGGCCTTGCCTAAGATGACCAAGTTTCTTTTCAAGTTAACAACAACAAATAGAACGGCTTCAGATGTGGGTTACTCGATTGTGGTTGGCAATGGATTAAGAAAATCATTTGCCCCCTCAGGCCCTGGATCCTCTTGTAGGGTGATGGTCTGCTCCGAGAGGCTCTCCTGCCTTCCTCTATCTACACAGTGGGCTCCACAGTGGCCTATATGGGGCCAGTGAGGCATTTGTTGGGGGGATGGGAGGAAATATGATTTCTATTTTGATTTATTTTTTAATTAAAAAACAATTTGGGAGGCTGAGGCAGGTGGAACACCTGAGTTCAGAAGTTTGAGACCAGCCTGCCCAGCCTGGCCAACATGGTGAAACCCAGTCTCTACTAAAAATACAAAAAATTAGCTGGGTGTGGTGGCGGGCGCCTGTAATCTCAGCTACTCGGGAGGCTGAGGCAGGAGAAACGCTTGAACCTGGGAGGCGGAGGTTGCAGTGAGCTGAGACTGCCCCACTGCACTCCAGCCTGGGCAACAAGAGCAAAATTCCATCTCCAAAAAATATATAAATAAATAAAATATTTAATAATAAATAATGTTTTAAAATAAATAATATTTAATATGTGTTTTGACTGTAGTGTATAATCTATGCATAAATATTCACAATCAAAAAAGTTTGGGAGGCCAGACACAGTGGCTCGCGCCTGTAATCTCAGCAATTTGGGAGGCCAAGGCAGGAGAATCTCTTGAGGCCCCAAGTTCAAGACCAGCCTGGGCAACATAGTGAGACCCCCATCTGTTTAAAAAAAAAAAAAAAGTCTGGAGACCACCATCCTGGAAGATCAGTGAGGGCTTTACATCCTATTGGAAGCCAGTTTCAGGCTGGGTGCTGGGGTAGGGGAAGGGAGTGTGGAGGAGGGGCTGGTGCGCTCCAGGTACAGGACCACGCAGCAGTCTGGATATTCCTGGCCACCACTGGTCCCCACGGCCTCCTTCTCCCTGTTCCCCCTTTAGGCCTGCGTAAGTCTCAGGGGTTCTAGGACCCTAGCTGCCAAGCTCCCTGCAAGGGAGAGAGTGGTCCTGGGTGACCGACACACTCCCCTGCCCCTCAGGCTGGCTGATGTGTGGCTCAGTGAGGCTAGGGTCCTTGTAGCTGCCCTGCATTCCATGTCATCCCCAGGAGAAAAGTCCCTGGCGGGAGGCGGCCCTCTGCCGGGAGGCTGTTTCCTCAAGCAGCCAAGGTAAGAAGTGGGGGATTTCCAGCCCAACCCGTGGGGCTGACTTCAGTACTGGGGGCTCCTCTCCTTTCTCATGCAGCCAGGCTGGGGTGAGCACACAAACGCTGGAGTTAGACCTGGTTGTGGGCAAGAGCATGTGGGGGCAGTGGAGTTAGCTAGGCCTGAAAGCCTGCAGCTGCCACGCCCTGCTCAAGAGAACCCCAGGGCTGTACCTGCAACCAACAGAGACCCAGCCCTGGAAGACCCCAACAGGCATCTCAGGGAGGGGACAGGGGTCTGGAAATCCAGCACCATACTTACTCATGGGCTTGTGGGGAATGACTCAAATTGATGAATGCCCCTGCTTAACCCCAGGTTCTGCCCCAGGGCTGCTGGGCGGGCCTGGTGGTAAGCGAAATGGCAGGTCTAAATCTCATCTCACAAGGCAGCATTAATTAGCCAGCACTTCCAAGGATGCTGGAGAGTCAAGGGAGCCAAGTTGGACCCATCAGGAGCTGGGAGCCAGAAGCCCCACATCCCAGACCATCTTGCCCTGAAAGCTTGGCCCACAGGAAAGGGGAGCTATCCCATACAGCATTCCCTCTATCCCTGCACTGCGCTCCGCTGGGCAGGGAGGGTGGGTGCAATCCTGGAGGCCAAATGGAGGAAGAGGGAGGAAGCCATAGTGCCCTGGTGATGGTGGCACACATGGACGTCCCAGCTCAGGCCTGTGGAAGGGCTTAGGAAACAGACTTTTCCTCTGCTCTTATTGAGTCTCCTGTGCCTCAGATACGCTTGTGAATTTTCATTTCATTACCCAGCTCATATGTTTGCTGAGTACACATGTATGTGCAGGCCTGTGTGATTGAGACATGCCAGGTCAAGGAACAGGCAGGAATTTATGCAAGGTTGCTGAGCAGAAGGAGAGGACCTGAAAAGTGAAATAATAGTCCAGCCACCACCATTGTAGGCTAGCAATGTGTCAAGACCTGAGCCAGGGGTTTTACATGCATTATTACCAATCTGCCCAGCAGCCAACCCTCTGAGGGAGGTATTATTATCTCCATTTTATAAATCGATAAATTGAATGAAGCTTAGAGAAGTTAAGTGACCAGCCTGAGGTCATGCGGTGAGCAAATCTAGGCCAGGATTTGAACCCGGTCAGTCTAAGGCCAAGCCAGAGATGTCTCCACCCAACTCTCTTGGTGTGGTCCTCCTCCATTACGCCCCATCTGTTCCTTGTCTCTGAGGCCCTGGCTGCCCTGGTCTGAGGTAACAGTTCCCTCCCCTCCTCCTCTCCCCTCCCGGCCAGGCAAGGTGGAAACACAGAGTTTGTTTGAGGCCTTGTGGAGCCCGAGAAGCAGTGAGCAGACCTTCACACCAGTCCAGGCCGGGTTCAAAGAGGGTCTGGCTGGCCCTGGGTGTGGGGGGGATCAGCTAGGGCTGAGCTGGGGCAGCTGTTTACAGTAAACAGAAAGCTCTTGAGGAAGGAAGGAGGGGAGGGGCTGGGGTCGTCATGGAGACAGGGACGAGCAGACAGGCCTCAGCCTTGATCCACAATGACTGGTAACGCATCCTTGCCTTCCAGAGCAGAGGAGGCCCAGGGAAGGTTGGGACAAGTCAGCCGGAGCAGGAGAGGCAGGGGCAGACAGGTCTGGCCCGGGGCAGACTCGCTAAGAACACACTCCCACCTCTTTGTGCCTTTCTACTTATTATTAACAATCACAACGCCTGCTTCTTGAGTTCTCACAGTACGTCTGGTGCGAGGCCCTTGAGAATATGTTTTCTTATTTAATCCCAACAATAGCCAGGTGGTAGGTACGATAATAGTCTCTAATTTATAGATGAGGAAATTGAGGTTCAGAAAGGTTAAGCAATTTGTCAAGGTCAAACAGCTTGTAAGTGACATAGCAGAAATTCCAGATCAAAAACTCTTTCCACCAAGGCGGGTAGGAGATGAGCTAGCTGGTGAAACTCTGAGCCCCTCAGATGGTGGGGAAACTGAGTCCCTTAGGTGTTAAGGGGACTTTCCCAGGCTTCTGGTGTTAGTCAAAGAGATTGCCGGGAACAGAACCCATCTGTTCTAGCCCTAACCACTAGACCACACGGCTTCTCCATGGCTTCAGCTGGGAAGGTCCAAAGAGAAACTCCCTTTCTAGCCCCAGTGTGGAGTGTAGACTCTTCCCCAGCTAACACGGTTATCCCTGCGGAGGCCAGGCTGGGCCAGGGTGCAGTGGGGGATGCTGGGGGGTTTCTGCCCACACATATGGTTTCCAGATTCCAGGGGATGAAAAGGAGGCCCTTAGGGGCGGAAATGGGGGATGTGTGATGACAAATTTAGACTGATTGCTTAAAAAAAAAAAAAGAAGCCAAGAAACCCTATAAAATAAAAGCAGAAATTCCACTAGAAAACCAGAGGGAGTTATTTGATTGTGAAACTGAGTGCCACGAGGCGTGCATAGTTTAATGTGGAACAATATCTAGGGTTCTTCCAACTTTGACTGTTCAGAGGATGCCGGGGAGGGAAGGAGGCTCTGTCTGCTGTTCCTGCTTCACCTGCTGGGGCCTGGGACAGGGAGCTAGTCGGGAAGGACACCTGGGAGGATGTCTGGAGTCGGGGCACTTGCAAGCGTCCTGCCGGCTGTGGCCAAGGATCCACACTGGCTCACATGGAGAGCGGCCCAGTGGAGGCTCCAGCTGGTCCGCACTGAGAGCATGGGGAAGGATGAGCTGGAAGCTGGGGGTTTGGGGTATCTCTGAGTTCCAGCCTTAGAGGGAAAGACCAGGAACAAAAGGTAAAAGAGAGAACATCTGCCTGGTATTCTGGTCGGCAGCAGGCCCAAGGGGTCAAAGGTCAAGGGGAGGACAAGGGGGACTTCCTGAAGCTCCCGGGAGAGTGCCAGCCAGGCCGACTGTTGTGCAAGTTCTGGGCTGGCCTGCGAGGGCAGGCTGGCAGAGGAGTCATGCCTGATCAGCGGCCAGCATGGTGTCTGCCCAGCCCTCTTGGCCTGTCCTATGAGACTCCTGGAGCTGGAGTAGTGCCCTGTCTCCTTTCCTTCAGGGAACCAGGACCCCCATCCCAAGGAAGCACTCTTGTCCCACCTGTGGCCATATTCTACATGCCTGTGGGCTTCCTCTCATTCTCATCCTGAACCTCTTTTCCTTAGAATCGCCATTGTTCAAGAAACCAGAAAAACCTACTCAAGCAAGCTTCTTTCTTCCAATTCCACTCTGATATCTGAAGAAGTCAGAGGGCCTTGTGAGGGATGAGCTGGGACAGGTCTCAGGGTCCTACGCCTACAGAAAGGAGGTGCAGAGTAAAAGGGAAGAGGGGCAAGTGCCCAGGGCTGCTTGGGCGCCAGGCCCTGGGCTACCTTGACAGATGGGCGGCACCGCTCTCATTTCAGCCTCACAAGAGCCTTTCCAGGTCTGTAACAGTTATTCACATTTTACAGGAGAAGAAATTGAGTTTCCAAGGGCTTGATTAGCCTGATGCTGGTAATGGCAGAGCAGAGACTTGCACTTGCTCTTTACAGATTATGTCCTTGTTCCTCGGTTCAACCCATTTTGGCTGGAGATGGAAAATGAGTATAAAGAAGGACCTAGGATGGTGCCCTGCTCACGACCAGCATGGGAACACAGTTAATCAAGGCTGAATCTCACGGACAGGGGCAGGATCCAGGATGGAGCCTCCTGTTAGCTACCAATTTGTCTTCTGCAATTCAGCAGCTGTAAAGTCAGGAGGTGGGATCAGCAGCACAATGTCTTTCAAACTCGGTTCCTGGGCATCCTGGCATCTTATGGATATCGTGATAGGGGGCCGGGCACAGTGGCTCATGCCTGTAATCCGGACACCCTAGGAGGCTGAGGTGGGAGGACTGCTTGAAGTCAGGAGTTCAAGACCAGCCTTGGCAACCTAGCAAGACCCCCGTCACTACAAAAAATAGAAATAAAAATTAGCCAGGTGTGGTGTCTGTAGTCCTTGCTACTCAGGAGCCTGGGGTGGGAGGATCACTTGAGATCAGGAATTAAAGGCTGCAGTGAGCTATGATGGCGCCACTGCACTCCAGCCTAGGCAATAGAACAAGGTGTTGTTTCTATTAAAAAAAAAAAAAAAAAACAGAGAGAGAGACATTGAGATAGGAGTGGAGAACAGGCTGAGTGAACAGGAGTGTGGGTCCCTCCAGCCCAGTTTCCATCGGAGAATCTCAGCATACCAATTTCAAGTACTGGACATTCATGAATGTTTTTATTTGAACAAGGCTTCCACAGCACTTTATAGTCTCTATCTGAGGTCTCTGCAGCTCTGGCCTGCTGGGAGTTGTGAACGGTTTAGGTCCTGGCCTGGGAAGAGAAACCAGAGGACCTGGTAAAGGAAGTAGGGTTCACCTTCTAGCCCTGTGGAGATGCCGCGAGGGAACAGGTCAAGGGTCAGAGCTGGGAGATCATGCCATGGAGGGAAGGTGAGCTGCAGCCACCTGCCTCTGCACCTGGCAAACACAAACAGACCTTTGGCCACAGCAGCCTGGGAACCAGAAGCAGCAGCCACCTTCCGGGGGGCCAGACCAGTGCCCCTTTCCCTTTTCTCTGCCCAAGCTTATTCTCAGTGGACATGGGTTGCTGGCCACCAAACTAAGGCCGCGCAGCCTCTCCTGACCTCACGGTATGGTTTCTGACTGCTCAGTAAGGGCTGGTTCAAGGTGAAAGCTGAGCCACGGTAAAGCTGCTCAGGGAGAGGAAAGCACCCAATTACTGGGCATTCAGAGAGTGGGGCCAATCCCCTTGAAATGACAACCCTATTTTGTGACCCTTTTATTGGCCATCCTGGACCAAAGTTTGCCCCTCTGCCTCAGTTTTCCTTTTGGGAATCCAGGCATGAGAATGGTGGCCCTCTCCTGGTGGCTTCAGCACGTATGGCTCCCTGAATATCATCTCCATGCTCCAGGTGGAGGAGAAAGCTGAGGGCTCCAGCTGCCCAAGCACCAGAACTTTCTAGCATCCTCCTATCCCAGTGCCCGCCCCAGGCCTGCCTCTGACCACCATTCACCCTCAACCTGCTGCAGGGCCCAGCCTCACCCCACATAAGCAAAGCTGCCAGCAGCGTCCTTTGTGGTGCTGCTCCCGTGTGGCACTGCCTAGGGGCCCCACCATGGGGCAACAGATGGACCTATGGTCTCTCCAGAACAATGGTGGGGGAGGGGCCCTGGCATCGCCCGCCCCAAACAGGAAGCGCTGCATGAGCTTCAAAGGGCTGGCAGGGCCAAGGGGCTGAGTGGGGGAGCCAGTGCCAGGACTGGCGGCTGCCTGAAGAGATGCCTGCCAGCCTCGGGATGCCCAGCCTGGTGGTGGAGGTGGGGCTGTGGTGGCCAGGGCAGCTGGCTCTTGAGCAGAAGATGTCTGGCACCCTGAGGACAGCAGCCTGTAACCTGGGAGCAGGTTAAGGAAAGAGGGCATGGAGTTTGCTGTTTCCCGGTTCAACTGCCACTCGCCAGCGGGGCTGCAGGTTCTTTCCCAGGCCGCGGTTGGCCTGGCCCTCCGGCAAGTAAGCATGAGGGGCAGGGCTGGCACCAAGCCCGCCGCCCACTCCCTGCCTCCTGCTCCCAGCTGCTCCGCTCAGAGCCTTTTCCTCTCCACTTCCTGTTCACACAGGGGGGGGCGGGAAGTGGAGGGAGGAAGTTGGGGGGAGGCGTGTAGGGGGGACCCATTGAATAAAAGGAATTAACCGTTTCCCTCCTCTGACCTCTGGGAATTTCCGCCTGTGAAAGTGTCTCGAAGAATCAGTAGGGCTGGGGGAGTGGAGGGGAACTGCGCCCCCTCTTGGTCCCCTTCCCCCACCCGGTGGCGGTGGGGCCAGATAACTCCCTCTGGGCCCCTAACCTTTGTTTCCCTGGCGCCAGGGGGCAGCGCCAAGTGCGGCCTGGAGCCTGATGGCCTCGAGCCCCCTCCCAACCTTTGGGGTGGGTGCCAGGCACCAGCCTGCGACCCGAGCCTTTGGGGGAGGGGCAGGAACTAGAACTGGTGGTCTCGGGGGAATGAGCTCACATCCGAGCTGGCCACGCTGAGCCCTGTGCCCTCTCCAGGGCTGGTGCCCTTGGCCAGTCGGCCGCGGTGACAGGAGAAGGGAGGGAGAGGCCGGGCAGGCAGGGCCTGGGACTCTGGGCCGGCACACCCTCCGGCGGCCACACCCCCAGGAGCCAGGGTAGGGAGCGGTGGGCTCGGGAAGCCGGTAGACGGCGCCCCCTAGTGCCCACTGCAGACTCGGCGGGGCGGCCCCCAGGGCCCTCTCCAGGGCGGGCCTCAGGAAGCACCTGCTCCCCAGGACCAGTGGCCGCCCTGCGTCTCCCCCAGGTGGCTTCCTTGTTTACAGGCCTCCTGCCCTGGTCCCAGCGTCACTGCCTGTGGCCACTCCTTCTATTTCCAGTGACCGCTCCAGGAGTAGCTCATTCATCTTGGCCCCTGCCCACGCAGCTGCTCCCCCACCCCACCCCCCTCTGGCCCTCCAGGCTTAGGGCCAAAGCCCTGAGGGCCTCCGCTCTGCTCTCCATTCCATGTCTTGCTTGGCTTCCAGGGATCTAAGAGCTGTGGCTTCCCGTTGCCCTGACTCACCGGAACCCTATTCTGTCCCTGCCAGGGAAGCCTGGGGCCTTTTCCCAGGAAAGAGGAAGCAGCCTAGGACCAGATGGGCTGGCTTAGGAGAAGACAGAAGGGGCAGGGGTGTCCCAAGCTGCTTTAGCCAAGCCCTCTGGGAGCAGGGAGCAATAGGGCAGTGTTTGTTTAACTAACAAGTATTAGGCACCCATTATGTGCAAAGACAGAGGCCCCAGTCTGTTTTCTCTAAGAAAGTGACCCCTTCAGAGGTAGGCTAAAGCTTTATACTCACTGTCAGGGGACAAAGACCCTGAGCCCTCAGATGACTATGGTAGGTGTAAGGGGAGCCTAGGCCACATGGGGAGAAGGAAGCAGGAGCCCTCCAAACCTCCTGGGACAGTGCGAAGAACAGAATTAGGATGCCCTCTACTCAATGGGACCCCTCCCCCACATCTGCTCCCACTTCTGCTTCTGGAGGAAGACGGGAGTCTGAGGGGTCATCAAAAATGGGCAGCTTCCAGCCCTCTCAGCTAACAGAGTCCATGAAGAGATCCTCTTGTTTTAGTGGTTAGGGAATTCTGCAGCAAAGTTCAACCTGTATTGCCAGAGATAAAATTCTTTAAAAAAAAAAGGCGGAGGGGTTCTAGCTGGGCACAGTGGCTCATGCCTGTAATCCTAGCACTTTGGGAGGCTGAGGCAGGCGGATCACTTGAGGTCAGGAGTTCGAGACCAGCCTGGCCAACATGGTGAAACCCCGTCTCTACTAAAAATAAAAAAAGTAGCCAGGCGTGGTGATGTGCACCTGTAATCCCAGCTGCTAGGGAGGCTGCGGCAGGAGAATCCTTGAACCCGGAAGGCGGAGGTTGCAGTGAGCCAAGATTGTACCACTGCACTCCAGCCTGGTGACAGAGCAAGACGCCATCTCAAAAAAAAAAAAGAGGGTTCTTGCTCTGTCACCCAGGTGAAGTGCAGTGGCACAATCATAATTCACTGCAGCTTCCATCTCTTGGGCTCAAGCCATCCTCCTTCCTCAGACTCCCAAGTAGCTAAGACTACAAGTGTGAGACCCCATGCCTGGCTAGGAAGAGGATTAGACTGGAGGGGAAAGCAGCCTGCAGTGGCCAGCGAGGTTGGCCTGACTGCAGGAACTGTCTTGCCAGCTGACAGATCACACCCAGAGAGCTGGGCAGTGCACTGTGAACACCGGTCCATGGGGCAAAGGGTGCTCTGCTGATGTCACGGGGAGACCCCATTCCAGGACTCCCTAGGATTTAGCCACAACTAAAGATGTGTAATTTGTGGGGAGGAGCAGGTCACAGGAGCAAGATGAGAAAACATGTCTGCCAAATGCCATGGATACAGGCCACAGCAGTCTCACCTTCATGCTGGGCCTCAACGTTGTGGTTAAATGGCAGATAGTGGCAGGGCCATCTTAAAGCCAGGCAGGAGCTGGGAAGGCGGGGATCCAAGCTGGCAGAGGGGCAAGCAAAATCTAGCATGCCTGAGGGCTACTCGAGGGAGGAAGAATGAGGGGCTTGAAGTTATGGTTAGACAGTGGAGACTCCAAGAAAATTCTTTTTTTTTTTTGAGATGGAGTCTTGCTCTGTCGTCCAGGCTGGAGTGCAATGGCGCAATCTCAGCTCACCACAAACTCTGCCTCCCGGGTTCACGCCATTCTCCTGCCTCAGCCTCCCGAGTAGCTGGGACTACAGGCACCTGCCACCACGCCCGGCTAATTTTTTGTATTTTTAGGAGAGACGGGGTTTCATCGTGTTAGCCAGGATTGTCTCGATCTCCTGACCTTGTGATCTGCCCACCTCAGCCTCCCAAAGTGCTGGGATTATAGGCGTGAGCTACCATGCCCGGGCGACTCCAAGAAAATTCTTGCGACAAGTAGGGAGGAAGCAAGCACTAATAGAGTGACAGAAATCACTGCTCCCAGCTGCCGGAAAGCCAAGGATTCTGTGGGGAGCAGCACCATCTGCTGGCCAAAGGGAAGAACAGCCCCTGCTTCACAATTCAGGTTGGTTGGCTGCAATCCCCAATGAGCCCTGGAGAGGCAGAGTTGGCGGACAAGGTGAAGGACTGCGTGCCAAGGTGTGGGGGCATGTAGGGCCTGGCAGCCTCCCTGTGACACTCCAGCCCCGCCTGGAGATCACTCACACACCGCTCGGCCCAGCATCGACACAAAGCCACCAGTGCAGTGCAGACAGTTTAATGCTCTCCACCTCCATCACCACCACCGACCATCCTCCACAAGGCCCTCAGCCCCAGGGCACCCTTCACACTGGAGCCCCAGAGAGTGTGCACAAAAGCATGCCCCAACTAGCATCACTTTCTCACCCAATGCCCAGGACTTCGAAGGCTGCCTTCTCACTTCTGGGACACCTACAGGCAGGAGGAAGAGAAGGCTTCTTCTGAGAGAGAAGAGCTGGGATTCCAGAGGCCGCAGAGTGAACAGACGGAAGAAAGGTGCTCTCTCTCTCTCTCTCTCGAGGTGAACAGGACGTGTGTGGGGAATGACAGGGACAGAAGAGGTGCTAGAGGCAGGGGGTGGAATTGGGTCAGATTTCTGACTTCTCCAGGTGAAGGGCCTCTACTGGGAGGCAGGCTGATGGTCTGGCATAACTGCAGCTCTGAAGAACAGCATGAAAAGCTGGCAGAATACACTCACACCTGACACCTCCTGGCCAACAGCGCTACTCTACTCCCGTCAACGTGGTCACAGTGTGGCAATTGCAAGATGACTGAGCAGAGCCTAGGAGGCAGCCTTCTCAAGTGGGTTCAAGCCACTGCTCCCCATTGCCCACCCCCCATCAAAGGTGACACCCTCCTACAGCCAACTGAGCTGCTCCTCCTCGTAGCGCTGGGGGTCGATGAACGGCCGGTCGATAGAGCGGATCATCAGCTCCCCACAGTACACACACTCAGCGGCCACCAACTCATCCAGGTCAGCCTTGAGCTGTTCCCGGCTGGGCCCTGCCGTGGCAGCCCCACCCTCGGCCTCCTTGGCCCGGGCAGAGCCCTTGGCTGGGGGTGGAGCAGCCCCCAGCTTCCTCTGCAGCTCCTCCAGCCGGGCCTGCTTGTAGGCTGGCAGGCCAGGTCGCACAGCCTGCAGCAGGCAGTCAGCATGGAACATATGGCCACAGAGGAAGAGGTAAAAAGGGCGGTTGAGCAGGGGGAAGTCGCAGGTGGCACATTTGTCCTGGGGCTCCACAGTGCCGTAGCGGCCCCGCAGCTCCTGCAGGTCTCGCCGGATGCGCTGGGCACTGGCTGTAGCCTCTTCCATCTCCCGCTGCAGCTCCTGGATGTGGTGGTTGTAGGCCTTAAGTGAGCTGCAGATCGCCTCCTTGAAGTGGTCGATGGTGACGAAATCAGGAAAGAAGGGCAGCACATCCTCAATCTTGAGCAAGGGGCAGCTAGCCAGGCAAGCCATGGCTGTCTGTACATCTTCCTCTTCCTGCACCACGTGCCGTGCGATCTTCAGCCACAGCTTCTTGCGCAATTCCTCATCCTCCTCAGGCAGGTCTGCACACTGCTTGGCCAGGTCCACATCCACCTGTGGGGAGAGCATGGGCTTTAGGGCCAAGCCCCTCCCTGCCCAACATGGAGACTATGGGAGAGAGAGATGGCCGAGGAGAGGCCCCGAGGCAGGATTCCCAGCACTCCTGGAAGCAAGGGGGCCTGCCGCTGCCACAGCTATGTAAAAGCTACTTAGAGTAGTAGGGCTCCAATTTTAGTGAAGTTAGAAATCACCGGGGAGGCTGGGCGCAGTGGCTCAGGCCTATAATCCCAGCATTTTGGGAGGCCAAGGCAGGCAGATCACGAGGTCAGGAGATCGAGACCATCCTGGCTAACACAGTGAAACCCCGTCTCTACTAAAAATACAAAAAAATTAGCCGGGTGTGGTGGCGGGCGCCTGTAGTCCCAGCTACCCGGGAGGCTGAGCCAGGAGAATGGCGTGAACCTGGGAGGCTGAGCTTGCAGTGAGCCGAGATTGGGCCACTGCACTCCTGCCTGGGAAACAGAGCAAGACTCCGTCTCAAAAAAAAAAAAAAGAAAGAAAGAAAGAAAGAAAGAAATCACCTGGGAAACATATTCAAAATACAAATTTTTGAGCCCTGCCCCCAGACATTCTGATTCAGTAAGTCCTGAGTTCAGGCCTAGGAACTGCATGTTAAATAGCACTTCATGCGATGCAGCACCCTCCTCTTCTGCTAACGTGCATGTACCAGGCAGTGTTCTAAGTACTTTTCTTTTTTTCTTTTTGAAACAAAATCTCACTCTGTTGCCCGGGCTGGAGTGCAGTGGTGCGATTTTGGTTCACTGAAACCTCCTCCTCCCAGGTTCAAGTGATTCTCCTACCTCAGCCTCCTGAGTAGCTGGAATTACAGGTGCGTGCCACCACGCCCAGCTAACTTTTGTATTTTCAGTAGAGACAGGGTTTCGACATGTTGGCCAGGCTGGTCTCGAACTCCTGACCTCAGGTGATCCACCCACCTTGGCCTCCCAAAGTGCTGGGATTATAGGCATGAGCCACCGCGCCCGGCCCCGAGTATTTTTCTTTTCTTTTTCTTTTTTTTTTTTTGAGACGGAGTCTTGCTCTGTCACCCAGGCTGGAGTACAATGGCGTGATCTCAGCTCAATGCAACCTCTACCTCCCAGGTTCAAGCGATTCTCCTGCCTCAGCCTCCTGAGTAGCTGGGATTACAGGCATGCACCACAATGTCCGGCTAATTTTTACATTTTTAGTAGAGATGGGGTTTCACCATGTTGGTCAGGCTGGTCTCGAACTCCTGACCTTGTGATCCGCCCACCTCGGCCTCCCAAAGTGCTGGCGCAAGCCACCACACCCAGCCCTGCGTACTTTTCATACACAGAACTTTATCAACCCTATGAGGTAAATGTACTATAACACTGACCCCCTTTTGTGGCCAAATAATCTGAGCACAGAGAGGTTCAGAAACTAACCCAAGGTCACACAGCTTAGTAAGTGGCATAGCCAGAATTCAAATCTGACTTAACAGTCCATGCTCTTAACCTTCCCTCTCTGCAAGGGAAGCCAGCACCCTCTAGCCATGGCCCCCCAAGCCCTTCCACATCTAAAGCTACTGCTCTTTGGGTCCCTCTCCCAGCTGGGGTCAAGACGTACTGGCTTACCTGCAGGGCCAGGTCCACGGCCTCCTCATACAGCTCTAGGACCTTGTAGACATGGACACAAGCGCGGTGGTGGCCATGCTCGGCGCAGAGCCGCAGCGCATACTTGAGGTCGTAATGCACCCGGTGGGGGCTGGCCCCAGCCTGCTCCAGATAGGCCAGTAGTGAGTCCGGCCGGCCACGGGCATACAGTGACAGCAGGTAGTTGTGGATGGCCTGCTCAGTCTCCCCCAGCACGTTCACGCAGAACTCCATGTAGCGGATGGCCTGGCTCACCTGCTGGACCTCACCACCCTGGCTGTAGTTCACCAGGGCAGGAATGAGCTGACGAGCATCCAGCCGGCTGCCCATCTCAATCCAGGCATCTACAAGCTGGCGGGGGATGTGACGGATGAGGATGGGTGAGAACTTGTAGAAGAGCTGGGGGTCACGGTGGCGGGCGAGCACGGCCAGGGCCTCCTCGTAGGCCTCGTGCTGACAGTGGTAAGCCACCACCCGCTCATAGTCCTGCATGATCACTGCAAAGTACACCATGTGTTCTGTGTCCCCATGACTGGCGAGCAGCTCATGGATAGAGGCCCGGCTGGCAAAGAGCCACTCTTTGTGGCGGGGGCTGCTGAGGAAGGTTCGAAAGCATTCCTTGGTTTCTCGGTAGAGAGTCAGGGCCTCTGGGTCGCCCTGCAGAGCCCCAAGCCGGCTCAGGTAGAGCTCTGTCAGCCAGGTGGTCAGCAGTGTGGCCTGGGTACGTTCGGCTGGCTTCAAACTGGCCAGTTTTCGCTGCAGGAACTCAGCCAGAGCCTCCTCCTGTCGGGCCTCCAGGAACTTGAGGGCAATCTCCTCAAAGTAGCTCTGGGTCAGGGCATAGCAGCGTGCGCTCTCCAGGTAGCGACGCTGGCGAAAGCAGAAATCGGCCTCCCGGGCCAGGACCGTGTCCAGGCAGTCGGGCCGCTCTCGACAATACTCTTTGGCCAGATCGAAGCGGTTCATGTCCAGATAGGTGCGCCAGACATCTCGGGCCTCCCGTTGCACGTGGTAGCGGAAGACAGCCCGCTCAGTGTAGGCCCACAGCTGGCCTGTGGAGGAGTCCTTCACCATGTGCTTCAGCGGCCCAAATTTCTCCAGGAAGTGATCCCGCAGCACCACCTGCCCGGTCAGTGTGCACACTGCCTCCACCCGGTCTGCCAGTAGCAGCAGGAAGTGGAACTGGGTCAAGACGATGGCTAGGGGTGGGCTGGCCCCAGGCCCTACCCCCTCTGGGTACTCCCAGACTCGCTCCTCGCTCAGCAGAGAGTCAGGGCGCCCACAGTCCAATGCCCCATACAACACACCATCCCCCATCATCCAGGCGAAGGCCCGGGGTGCGGAGCGCAGCTTGGGGGTGTAGAAGGCCAACTCACTGTAGCCCAGGTTGCTGGGAAACTCACGGAATGGGGGTGGGTGGTCCGTGTAAGCTGCAAAGAGCCCTGAGAAACCCTGGGCCTCAGCCCCCTCTGCTGCTCGGCCTATGAACTGGAAGAGGCGCTGCCGAGTGGTGGCAATAACAAAGCTACGCCCATCAGGGCCCCGCTCGGCCTCAAGGGAGCACACAGGTGCTGGACCCCCTTCTTCATTTAGCACGTACAATGGGCGGAAGTAGAGATCCGGAGCAGGGCCGAAAAGCCCACCTTCGCTGGCTGAGAGCTCTGCTTCAAAGATGTGGCCTTGGGCAGTCCCGACCAGGATGGGGCCTGTGCTGCTCTCCGTGCCCAGTGCCTTGTTCCAACCCACACTCTCCACCAGCTGCCCCTTCCAGCGTGCTAGTGGCCGTACCTTCTGTCCATTTCGGTTCACGTAGAGGACCTCCGTGCTGCTCAGGGCAATCAGCAGGTGAGAGCCTGGAGTGGGGAGAGCATGGCGCCCCAGTGGATGCTGCCGTTCCCATCCTCAGCCTCCTCCTGGCCCCCACACCACCCTCAGAGCCCACCCACCCAGGCAGTGACTGACCAGAGACCCCCTCCTCAGATCTCCACTGTTACTTACCAGTATGGTCAAGGAACATCTTGTGAACTTTTGCGTCATCCTTACGTCCCAGCTCCACGTGGTTGGGCTCATTTGCCTTGCCCAAGTCAATGCTGTGGGGACAAGCGTCACCATCACTTTAGAGAAGGGAAGATCCTTTTTTGGATCATGATCTTCTTTAATAATCTGATAAAAGCCATAGACTTACTTCCCTGAAATATACATCTATGCATAAAATGCTGAATACAGGCCAGGTGCACTGGCTCAGCCTGTAATCCCAGCACTTTGGGAGTCCGAGGTGGGTAGATTGCTTGAGCTCAGGAGTTTGAGACCAGACTGGGCAACATGGCGAAATCCCATCTCTACAAAAAATACAAGAAAATTAGCAAGGTGTGGTGGTACACACCTGTGGTCCCAGCTATTTGGGAGGCTGAGGTGGGAGATCACCTGAGCCCGGGAGGCAGAGGTTGCAGTGAGCTGAGACTACACCACTGTATTCCAACCTGGGCAACAGAGTGAGACCTCATCTCAAAAAAAAAAAAAAAAGAAATTGCTGAATACAGCAGCTCTGCCTATGGAGTAGCCCTGAAAAATATACAGGGCCCTACTTAAGAACTCTCTTGCCAGGTGCAGTGGCTCACACCTGTCATCTCAGCTTTTAGGGGCACAGAGGCGAGAGGATAGCTTGAGCCCAGGAGTTTGAGGCCTGCCTGGGCAATATAGCAAGACCGTGTTCTCCACAAAAAGGGGGGAAAAAAAAAAAAAAGGCCGGGCGCGGTGGCTCACGCCTGTAATCCCAGCACTTTGGGAGGCCAAGGCGGGCAGATCACAAGGTCAGGAGATTGAGACCACGGTGAAATCACATCTCTACTAAAAATACAAAAAATTAGCCGGGCGCGGTGGCAGGCGCCTGTAGTCCCAGCTACTGGGGAGGCTGAGGCAGGAGAATGGCGTGAACCCGGGAGGCGGAGCTTGCAGTAAGCCGAGATCGAGGCACTGCACTCCAGCCTGGGTGACAGAGCAAGACTCTGTCTCAAAAAAATAAAAAGAAAAAGAAAAGAAAAAAGACAAACAACAACAACAAAAACCCTCTCAGCTCTGCAAGCTCCCTCACCTTATTTTGAGAAATCACTAAGGAGAAGTTTTTCCCCTCTGCTCAAAAAAGAATCAGACTTGAAGGAAGAAAACAAAAAGATCTCCAGTGCATCTGGGAAGATAGGCAGAGATATCCCAGATTGCTGAGGTAAGAAGGGAACAACAAAGAGTAGCTCATAGTTACTGGGCACTTTTATATACCAAGCACCATGCCAAGAGCTTCATCAATCTAGTATTATCTCAATTAATCTTGACAAAAACCTTGAGAAGTACTCCTGTTTATATTTTCCTTATGAAATTCTTTCCAAATTATATGCTTGTTCTAACTAAAGAATCGATGCAAAGATGTATAAAGAATGACTTAATTTTCTTCTCAAACTCCTGTTATTCCCAACTGAGAAAATTCATGTTAACATCTTTTTTCATACTCATAACATAAATAGGGTGGTTTTGTTGCTGTCATTATAAAAATGCCTTCATATTGCACATATGTGTATGTGTCTTAATTTGTAAATTTTCTAAATTAATGATATTTCATGAACATTCCACTAGTCAATCGATATAGCTCTAACTTTTTTTGTTTTTACCCCCAAACCCAGCTTTCCAGGATAACTCTTTTTTTTTTTTTCAGACAAAGTCTTGCTCTTGTCATCCAGGCTGGAGTGCAGTGAGCATGATCTCGGCTCACTGCAACCTCTGCCTCCCGGGTTCAAGCCATTCTCCTGCCTCAGCCTCCCAAATAGCTGGGATTACAGGCACCTGCCACCACACCCTGCTAATTTTATATTTTTAGTAGAGAAGGGGTTTCTCCATGTTGGCCAGGCTGGTCTTGAACTCCCGACCTCAGGTGATCTGCCTGCCTCAGCCTCCCAAAGTGCTGGGATTACAGGCGTGAGCCACCTCGCCCAGCCAGGATAATTCATTTTTTTAAACAACTGCATTATATTCTATTTTGTGGCTGAATTGCAGTTTAATCACCATTTTCCTATTGATGAGCATTCAGCATGGATCCAGTTTTTCCCACCACAAGAATGCTCTAATCAATACTCTAATACTCTTAAGTCTACACTCCTAAACAGTTTTTTTTTTTTTCCTTTTCCTTTTTTTTTTTTTGAGATGGAGTCTCACTGTTGTCGCCTGGGCTGGAGTTCAATGGTGCAATCTCAGCTCACTGCAACTTCCGGCTCCCAGGTTCCAGCAATTCTCCTGCCTCAGCCTCCCCAGTAGCTGAGATTACAGGCGCCTGCCACCACGCCCGGCTAACTTTTGTATTTTTAGTAGAAACAGCGTTTCACCATGTTGGCCAGGCTGGTGTCGAACTCCTGACCTCAGGTGATCCACCCTCCTCAGCCTCCCAAAGTGCTGGGATAACAGGTGTGAGCCACTGCACCTGACTTTTTTTTTTTTTTAAAGAGACAGGAGTACAGTGGTGCAAACACAGCTCACTGCAGCCTTGAACTCCTGGGCTCAAGTGATCCTCTTGCCTCGGCCTCCCCAGTAGTTGGGACTGCACCATCACACCTAGCTAATTTTTAAAAATTTGTTTTGGTAGAGACGGGGGTCTCACTATATTGCCCAGGCTGGTCTCAAACTGCTGATTTCATGTGATCCTCTTGTCTTGGCCTCCCGAAGTGCTGAGATGATAGGTGTGAGCCACCATGCCCTGCCAGGCCAGATACTTAACCACTACCCTGTATTGGTTCTCTTTGGAAAGGGATAGGATATTTCCTGAAAACTCCAAATTCACTGCTTTACTTGCCTGGAATAGAAGAAAGGCCCAGTGAGTTAACAGTCCCCAAACACCTCTCTAGTCCCTACTCCTAAGCTCTGTGAGCTCTTGATTACCGGAGCAGTGTATCCTTGCCCAGGCTCATGCACAGCTGATTGCTGGAGACGACAAGACTGGTAATGCGCTCGGAAGGGGTGAAGTCAATGCGCTGCTTTGTGAAGATGGGCACTTCCTTCTCCAGCTGGGCATTCACATACCCTACAGGTAAGGAATGACAAGAAGATTAGCTGTGGAAGAGACAGGTGAAGGGCAAGGAGAGGCAGAAAAAACACCACAGTGCTCCTCGCCACTTTCCTGACATATTCCTATCCCCAGGACCTTGGTTAACAAATAGTTTGATATCAAGTCGTTTGCTGGTCACCTTTACAATAGAGGTCTGGAGCTCTTTCCACACTCTGACAGCAGTGAGGGGTTGATTCTTTGAACCCTTAAGATGCTGTCACAGCATGATATACCTGCTCCCACTGGTAATGGGGCTGCGTGGAGGTGGGACGGGACTGGTGGTCTGGGTATTCTCCCTTATCAGGTCTTTGGCCCAGCAATCCCAGCTTAACTGAAGTAGTATAGCCCCATTCTCTGCCCCCCTCCCTGCCCATGCGGTAATGAGCCTCAGTGTAGAGTTGGCAAGTGCTGGGATATTTTGAGCATTGAATGAAGGTAAAGACTAGAGTGAAAGCAGCTCCAATTCGTTAACTCCACTCACTGGAACAGTTCCCCAGGGCTCCCTATGCCCTCATTCTCCTGGAGACTCACTACTTTCTACAAAAACGTCCCCAAACTCCAGGCTGCACCCAGCTATAGCCAAGGCCAAAAAGATTTCATCTCCATTTTCCCCGTTCAGCGACAAAATTCCCTCTGGGACCCTCCCTTCTTCCTCTGCAATACTCCGCCTTCACCACTTTCTTTGTCCATTCCTTCCCTCCCACCTCCAGAAGGGGCCTGGTGGGAAAAGCATCAGCAGAAGCCGGGAGCCCATTCTAAGTTCTCCCAACAGCCCAACTGCGCCCTGTAGGTGAGTAATTCCTTATCTGGGCCCCAATTCCCTCTCAAAAGGACCCTAGCGGTAGAGCCTAGATCACGCGGCAGCTCCCGTTGCTCTTTCAAACTTCGACTATCCACCAGCTGGGGGCCAAGAGAGCCTGAGGAGAATCAGGGGCCTAGACCCGGAAGGCACGGCCCAGGGGATGACCCCGAGCTCTTGGAGCTGCCCTCCTCGCTGCTCCCACGCAAATGCTAGGAGAGCCGAAAGGGGCAGCGGCACCCTCCTCTTCCTTACCCGAGTGGGGGATGCCCACGCTAGGGCAGCCGGGCTGCAAGACGGCCGAGCGGGACAGCGAGTTCTCGTACTCATCCAGGATGGACGCCATGGTGCCCGGCCTCTGGGCTCTTTGTCCGGGGCCTGGGGATTACAAAAGGGCTACCCCCCCGGGGTCCCCGTCGCCCCAGAATGGAAGCTGTAACTCCCCAGCCTCTGACAGATCCTGGGAACCTGCAGCCGTCGCCTCCTCTTTAAAATCCTGAGGATCCTCTTGCTCTTGCCTTATGCAGCGAGATAATCGGGCAGCCCTCGTCCTTGAATCTGGCGCAGTCTTGCACCTTACTCCCCGCCCCCGCTACAAAAAAATCACAGGCTCCCTTCAGCCGGTGCCAGGTGATCCCAACCTCGCCCCGGCAGCTCAGCTGACTCCCGCCCCCGTGACGCGGGCCTAAAACGTAACTTCCGGGTTCTCAGAGCCCCGCGTACGCTGGCGCACAACGTCGCCGGGCCAGCCAGCAGAAGGCGAGACGAGGGCTGAGGGCTGGGCGCGTGGCGAGTGCTGCTGAACACAAGCCCCGCCCCCAGGATCCTGCTGCAGTTCCGAGCTTTGACACCAGGAGGCAATCCCGGCTTTCTCAGCCGGCCTTCCCCACCCGCCCCGCGCCGCCCAGTTTTGGCTTTCGTGCCCAAGCTCCGCTCCCTCGGGTGGTCTGTCCAGCCTCCCTGACCAGCTCCCGCTCCCGCCTCTCTAAACAGCCTCGGGGAACCTCCCGTTCCTCAATCCAATCGCTGTCTCTATCCCACCGTCACAGGGCACACGCAGACAACTCCTGGCCACTCTTCTCCCTTACCCAAAGGCCCCCCAGCTTCCAGGAGACCGCAGAGCTGGTGGCCAGGCTAGTGGGAAGCCCTGTGCCAGGAACCGCCCTGACCTGCCCCACAGTGGCTCCTTGGCTCAGGGTTGCTGGGCCGCTTCCATTCACTCATTCACCAAAATGTGGTTGAGCACTTACTCTGTGCCAGGCCTTGGGCTGGGCGCTGGGGTCACAGAGATGAGGACAGCCCCTCCCCGCCCTGGAAAAGGTCGTAAGCCAGCAGGGGCGCTGGACCCGTAAATAGACCATTCATACTAGAAAAGCAAGTGATGGATTATCCATCAGGCACTTACTCCACGAATGAGCGTCCACTCTGTGCCAAGCACTGTTCCAGGCTCTGGGGACGTGGCAGAGAACAAGACGGAAAATGTCTCTTGCCTGGTGGGGCGTACCCAGCGACGTGGCCACGGCACTGAGAGCGTGAAGGAGCAGGGAACAAATACCTGCCAAGCCTAGCAAGAACGAGGGACAAGTGGGAGCAAGCGTGAAGGCGGGGGCCGCCCAGCCTGAGGTGGAGAGGGGAGTCCTCAGCCAGGGACCTGCGAGGGCTGGGGCGCGACTGTGGTTGGGTTTTCCTCTCTCACCTGCTTAGGCGACCCAGATGGAGTCTGTTCCCTTCTGGGGCCCTTGGATTCTACCTTGCTAAAGTGGAAGGCTCTGGACTAGGGTCGCCACCGTCCTGGCTCTGCTGGGCGGCCCCCGCCTAACAACTAAGAGCATCCCTTTGCTCTCAGAAGTTTCCAGGTTTGCACCATACCTTATGTGGTTGGGTTACTCTTGCTCAACTTCCTGGCCACGTGCGGAGAACTGTGACTCTCACCAGCCCCACTGAGGGCTATCTGGGCTCTCTGGCTTGGAGGGGCACTAGTCCTGGGGCAGGTGACAAGTATGCTGTCCAGGCTCATTTCCCTTCGCACCAGGGTCCTGCTTCTCTTGACCAAGCCTGCAGCCTCAATGCAGCCTTCCCACCTGAGGTTGCCAGGTCCCAGGAGGGAAGTGCAGGAGCAGGACAATAGGCAGGAGGCTTCCTCTAAGAAAAGTGATCCCAGACAGGGAGCTGCCCTGCTCCATACATAACACTTCACCCCCAGGTCACCTGCCATCTGCCCTCAGGTCTGGACTGTGCAGAGGGTTGTCCCTGCTGCACAGAGCCCATTAGCAGTTGGAGGTCAGCATAGGAGTGCTGCCTTAGGGACACAGAGTACTTCCAGCTACAGCCTCAGGGACCCCAGCACCCCATTGTTGGGCTCCATGGCTCTCCGGGATGTATGGGATAGGCCTGGGTGGACCCTGTTTGTGGCAGACTCAGTACAGTCTCCCTTATGCGTTGATTACCACAGTGCATTTCCACCTACTCATTCTTCAGTTCTTAGGCTGGACTTTGGATTCTTTGAGAGCCACAGAATCAAGTGTGGCAGTTGCAATGAGACAGGTAAGGGATGACTGCTAGGGCATCAAAAGAGAGGATTCCTGTATGAAAGCAGCTGAATTTGACCCAAGACTTGAAGTGCATGTATGATCTCCAAGGGCAAGCTGTATCTCTTATCCCTGCCCAGCCACTTGCTAGCTGTGACACTGCACAGTTGATGCTCTTAGCTTCAGTTTCCTCATCTACAGAGACAAATACCTACCTAGTAGGTCTGTGCTGAGAAGTAAATGAGGGATCCACGTGAAAGCTCACTGCTATAGTATAATGCCCAACATGGAGCATGTGCTTAATAAACTCTAAATGTGACTTTCATCTGACAGTCTCTCTCAAGTCCTCCTCCTTCCTGAAGCCTCTCTGGATCCCTCAGAACTCTTTTTAGAGATGGGATCTTGCTCTGTCACCCAGGCTGGAGTGCAGTGATGTGATCATAGCTCATCTAAACACCTGGGCTCAAACCATTCTCCTGTCTCAGCCTTCCCAGTAGCTGGGATTACAGGTGCGAGCCACTGCGCCCAGCTGGCTTTTCTTATTCTGGCCACTTGGGGGCCCCTAATGATGCAGTGTGGACATTTTGCTTTGATAGAAACTGCAGGAAATAACCCAGTGATTTCTGAGCATGAAGATACAGAGGTGCCTTAGGGAACTCACAGCTAGAGACATACGCACCAGCCTCTAGTCCTCAGAGTCATTGTAGCAGTTACCATGAGACAGGTAACAGGTGACTGCTAAGCCAATGAGAGAGAGGATCTGTGTAAGAAAGCAGTTGAATTTGACCTAAGACTTGAAGAGCATGTAGGACCTCTAAGGGCAAAAAGAGAAGGTATTATGCAGTCCTCAAGAAAACCAAGAGCAGGGCTGAGCACGGTGGCTCACACCTGTAATTCCAGCACTTTGGGAGGCTAAGGTGGGAGGATCACTTGAGTCCAGTAGTTTGAGACCAGCCTAGCCAACGTGGCAAAACCCCATCTCTATTAAAAATACAAAAACTAGCCAGGTGTGGTGGTGCATGCCTGTGGTCCCAGCTACTCGGGAGGCTAAGGCAGGAGAATCGCTTCAACCTGGGAGGCAGAGGTTGCAGTGAACCAAGGTTGTGCCACTACACTACAGCCTGGGTGACAGAGTGAGACTCTGCCTCAAAAAAAGAAAAACAGAAAGGAAAGAAGGAAGGAAAAAGGAAAGGAAAGGAAAAGAAAACAGCAATGGCCTGCAAGCAGTGTGATTTTGGGGTACAACGGTGGAGTGCTAGGGAGTGGAGGGAATGAGGCGGGCTGTGGCCAGGTTGCAAAGTTATTCAATGCGCCATGGGAAGGTTTTGGTTGGGGTTGAGAGAGTATATGATGTGGGTTCTGGAAAAATGGGTGGTGGCTTAGGTGGAGATCCCCTCAGAGCAGATGAGACCCGAGCAGAGGCAAAGGAGAAGCAGTGAGGACCCAAACAGGAGAAAGAACATAGGCTGGGGAGAACTTTCCGAAGAAGGGCCCCCAGGACTTGGTGTCAAGTTAGATTTGAGAAGTGACAGAAGAGTGCAGGATGACTCCTGGGGAGACCTGGCAGATGGTGGCAGTGACATAATGGTCAAGGAGGAGGATCCCGGTGAAGAGGGGTGGGGTCACTTGATTGAGCTCAACCTGGACAGTGGCACATGAGACAACTGCAGGGCACTCCGTGGAGGAGCCCAGACCATGGGCACACTCTTCCAGGACACTCACTAACTCACTCATAAACAGTTGTTAAAAGTTGCATGAATGAGCTCTCTCATGTCTCAGTTTCTATATTTGTAAGGTGAGTATTGTGAGTATAATAGCATATTATGCAAATCACCCAAAGCTGTGCCTCAATACAAAATGCTCTATACAAGTTAACTACCAGTAGTAATTGTTGACTTAGTTAAGACCAAGATTAAAAGGAATGATTTAATTGACTTAATTAAAAATAAATTTTCTGGTTGGGTGCAGTGGCTCACACCTATAATCCCAGCAGTTTGGGAGGCTGAGGCAGGAGGATCACTTGAGTCCAGGAGTTCAAGACCAGCCTGGGCAACATAGTGAGAACTTGTCTCTATTAAAAAAAAAAAAAAAAAGATTTTCTGTTTGAAATAATTTAAAATTTACAGGCCGGGCGCAGTGGCTCATGCCTGTAATCCCAGCACTTTGGGAGGCCGAAGCGGGCGGATCACAAGGTCAGGAGATCGAGACCATGCTGTCTAACATGGTGAAACCCTGTCTCTACTAAAAATACAAAAAAAATTACCTGGGCGTGGTGGTGGGCGCCTGTAGTCCCAGCTACTCGGGAGGCTGAGGCAGGAGAATGGCGTGAACCCGGGAGGCGGAGCTTGCAGTGAGCCAAGATCGTGCTACTGCACTCCAGCCTGGGCGACAGAGTGAGACTCTGTCTCAAAAAAATAAATAAATAAAATAAAAATTTACAGAAAAATTGAGAAGATAGATCAGAGAGTTCCTATATACCTCATGTGCAGTCTCCTTTAGTATGAATATCTTACATTAGTATGGTGCCATTGTTAAAATTAATGAACCAATATTGACATATTATTATTAACTAAAGTTCATACTCTATTCAAATTTCCTTAGTGTTTTTTTTTTCTTTCTTTCTTTTTAGACGGGGTCTCACTCTGTAGCCCAGGCTGTAGTGCACTGGCTCAATCATGGCTCACTGCAGCCTTTTTTTGTTTTGTTTTGTTTTGAGACAGAGTCTCGCTCTGTCACCCAGCCTGGAGTGCAGTAGCTTGATGCGGCTCACTGCAACTTCCACTTCCCAGGTTCAAGCGATTCTCTTGCCTCAGCCTCCTGAGTAGCTGGGATTACAGGCATGCGCCACCATGCCCAAATGATTTTTGTATTTTTAGTAGAGATGGGTTTCACCATGTTGGCCAGGCTGGTCTTGAGCTCCTGACCTCAGGTGATCCACCCGCCTCGGCCTCCCAAAGTGCTGGAATTACAGGTGTGAGCTACCAGGCCCGGCCTGACAGCCTTGACTTCCTGGGCTCAAGCGATCCTCTTGCCTCAGCCCCTCAAGTAGCGTGGACTACAGGTGCACACCACCACGCCCAGCTAATTTTTGTATTTTTTTTTGTAGAGAGATGGTTTTCCCATGTTGCCCAGGCTGGTCTTGAACTTCTAAGCTTAAGCTACCTGCCTGCTTTGGGCTCCCAAAGTGCTGGGATTACAAGTGTGAGCCAGTGTGCCCAGCCCTTAGTTTGAATGCCCTTTTTCTGGAACAGGATCTCATCCAGCATTCCACACTACATTCTCATCATACTATATGAAGGTGCATATCAGCTTGACTTAACACTATTGATCTTACTTTTGATTACCTGGCTGAAGGAGTGTTCTTCAGGATTCTCAAATGTAGTGTTTTTTTTTCACCCCTTTCCTATTTATTTATATCAGTAGAGAATTGTGGACATTTTTTTCTTTTTTCCCTTTTTATTTATTTATTTATTTATTCTTTTTTTGAGACTGAGTCTCACTCTGTTGGCCAGGCTGGAGTGCAGTGGTGCAATCTCAGCTCACAGCAACCCCCACCTCCTGGGTTCAAGCAATTCTCCTGTCTCAGCCTCCCAAGTAGCTGGGAATACAGGCGCGTGCCATCACGCCTGACTAATTTTTGTATTTTTAGTAGAGACGGGGTTTCACCATGTTGGCCAGGCTGGTCTCGAACTCCTGACCTCAAGTGATCCACTCACCTCGGCCTCCCAAAGTACTGGGTTTACAGGCATGAGCCACCGCGCCAGGTCTATTTTTATTTATTTATTTTTAACTTCCAGAACCCACCAATACTACTTTATATTATTACTCAGATTGTTCCTGTTTGGGCCACTAGAGTCTCTCTTTTTTATTTTATTTTATTTATTATTATTATTTTTTGAGACGGAGTCTGGCTCTGTCACCAGGCTGGAGTGCAGTGGCGCAATCTTGGCTCACTGCAACCTCTGCCTCCCTGGTTCAAGTAATTCTCCTGCCTGAGCCTCCTGAGTAGCTGGGACTACAAGGGCGCACCACCACGCCCAGCTAATTTTTGTATTTTTAGTAGAGACGGGTTTCACCATGTTGGCCAGGATGGTCTCGATCTCCTGACCTTGTGATCTGCCCGCCTCGGCCTCCCAAAGTGCTGGGATTATGGGCATCAGCCACTGTGCCCTGCCGGAGGCTTTTTCATTGATGCCTGTGTCCATTTGAAGTACAGCAGTTCCCCCTTATCTGTAGTTTTGCTTTCTGGGCTTTCAGTTGCCTGCAGTCAATAGCAGTCTGAAATAGGTGTGGATAATAGAATAATATATTTTGAGAGAGTGAGAACACATTCACCTAACTTTTATTTATTTATTTATTTTTGAGATGGAGTCTTGATCTGTTGCCCAGGCTAGAGTGCTATGGTGCAATCTCGGCTCACTGCAACCTCCACTTCCTGGGTTCAAGCAATTCTCCTGCCTCTGCCTCCCGAGTAGCTGGGACTACAGGCACCCACCACCATGCCTGGCTAATTTTAGTATTTTTAGTAGAGACGGGGTCTCACCATGTTGGCCAGGCTGGTCTCCAACTCATGACCTCAGGTGATCTGCCCACCTCAGCCTCCCAAAGTGTTGGGATTATAGGTGTGAGCCACCGCACCCAGCCTCACATAACTTGTTTGTTTTTTTTTTTTTTGAGACGGAGTTTCACTCTTGTTGCCCAGGCTGGAGTGCAATGGCGCTATCTCGGCTCACCACAACCTCCGCCTCCCGGGTTCAAGTGATTCTTCTGCCTCAGCCTCCCGAGTAACTGGGATTACAGGCATGTGCCACCATGCCCAGCTAATTTTGTATTTTTAAAAGTAGAGACAGGGTTTCTCCATGTTGGTCAGGCTGGTCTCGAACTCCCGACCTCAGGTGATCTGCCTGCCTTGGCCTCCCAAAGTGCTGGGATTACAGGCATGAGCCACCTCATCTGGCCTACATAGCTTTTATTACAGTCTGTTGTTATAACTGTCCTATATTATTATTGTTGTTAATCTCACAGTGGGCCTAATTTATAAATTAAATTTTATCACAGGTTATGTATAGGGAAAAACAGTCGTCATGTCTCCTTGGACTGCTCTTGACTGGCAGTTTTTAAGTTTTTCAGATATTCCTTGTTTTTGATTACCTTGATAATTTTGAGTACTAGGCAAGTATTTTGTTGAATGCTCTCTGTTGGAATTCATTTAATTTTTTTTCATGTTTAGACTAGGGCTATTTATGGTTTGGGGAGATAAAGAACCATTATCAACACCTCTCTATTATATCGAGGATACACACTATCAACATGATTTATCATCATGACTGATCACCTGACCAAGATAGTGCTTGTCAGGATTCTCCACTACAGAGTTACTCTTTTCCCTCCTTTCCATGCTGTACTGTTTGGAAGGAAGTCACTACACACCTACACACCCTGCACTTAAGGGGTGGGAGTTTTTGCTTCCTTGAGGGTGAAGTATCTGCATAAATCCTTTGGAATTCTGGCATTCTGGCCAGACATGGTGGTGCACACCTGTAGTCCCAGCTACTCGGGAGGCTGAGCCTGAAGAATCGCTAAGCAGAGGTTGCAGTGAGCTGAGATTGTGCCACTGCACTCCAGCCTATGTGACAGAGTGAGCCTGCTGTCTCAAAAAAAAAAAAAAAAAAAAAAAAGACTTACTAAGAAAGAAAACCTAGCAGTCCTTTGCCCCATCCCCAGTTAAATTCCATCTGTTTTCATTGCTCAGAGCCCCAGTCACGCTGATCTAAGGATGTTTCCAAAATGCACCACACCCATTTGGACATTAGAGTGTCTGGTGTTGAGGATTTGCTCCCTCTAGAATGGCTTCCCTGATACTCCTCCCCTTGCCAGGACCAGGCCCCTGTCTTCTCTAATTCTCACCAGACAGGGAAAAGTGTCTCTAGCACACCACTTCCTGGCACAGGGCCTAGCACAGTTGTTGGCTTCCATTAAAATATGCTGAGGAAAGAAGACCCTTGGCCTGTTCAGAACAGCTCTCCACGCCCTTCTTTCTTCTCCTTCATGTTTGGCTCCCTTCTGCATGTGTCTAAACCTACCTGAATCGCCCCAATTCTCAAAAAGTATCCCCTCCCTGCTACTGTCATCCCTCTCTCACTGAGGGAGCTTCTAGCCAAGCTGCTCTCTTTCATCCCCCCACTGCCCTCAGGACTGCAGGCCCAGTGGCCTCACTTGTCTAGGTCAGAAATGAGAGCATCCTCAAACCAGGGGTCCTCGAACAGGGGTTCACACATCCTTAGGGGTATGAAAGGGTCTCCCAAGTGACAGAGGGTAGAAATTATTTTAAGGGAATCAGTTTCCAGATCCCCAACTGCATTGGGCTCTTTCCTAAAGGTGACCAGCAGGTCTAGGTACCTGTAAACAAGTGGCAGGTCCCCTTGCATTCCTACTGCCCGGCCCCTGCTTTAGGAGAAGAAGCTTATCACACACCACTCCATCACAGGCTCAGACCTGGAGCCCCAGGGCTTTGGGAGGCTGAGGCAGGAGGATCACTTAAGACCAGGAGTGGCCGGGCGCGGTGGCTCACACCTGTAATCCCAGCATCTTGGGAGGCCAAGGCGGGTGGATCACCTGAGGTCAGGAGTTTGAGACCAGCCTGGCCAACACGGTGAAACCCCGTCTCTACTAAAAATATAAAAATTATCTGGGCTTGGTGGCAGGCACCTGTATTCCCAACTATTCAGGAGGCTGAGGCAGGAGAATCGCTTGAAGCTGGGAGGCAGAGGTTGCAGTGAGCCGAGATTGCACCATTGCACTCCAGCCTGGGCGACAAGAGCGAGACTCTGTCTAAAAAAAAAACAAAAACAAAAACAGGGGTTCCAGACCAGCCTGGGCAACATAGTAAGACCCCATCTCTACCAAAAAAAAAAATACAAAAATGAGCCAGGCGTGGTGGCGCATGCCTGTGGTCTCAGCTACTCAGGAGGCTGAGGTGGGAGGATGGCTTGAGCCAAGGAGGTCAAGGCTGCAGTGAGCTGAGATCACACCACTGCACTCCAGCCTGGGTGACAGGGCGAAACCCCATCTCAAAAAAAGAAAAAAAAAAGATGAAATGTTTGAGTTGTCAGCATAGTTTATAAGCTTCTTTAGGGAGCATGGGAAATGGGGAGTCAATGCTTTGTGCCAGCACCACATCTGCCAGGAGCCCCACCCTCACCCCGCTGGTTTTTGCTCTCCCCACTACCACTCTCCATGCTGTTTCTCCAGTGGCCTCCTTGGCCAAGCTCTTAAAGCCCCTCTTGTTTTCAGATATGAAACCCAACTTAGCCAACACCTTTGGACAAGTCCCCTACCCCCTCTGAGCTACGCTTTTCTTTTCTCACCTGTAAATTGTGAAGGGGGAACTTAACCATCTCTAATAATTCTGTGATTCTCTAAAAGCTAAACCCAGCCAGGTGCAGTGGCTCACGCCTGTAATCTCAGCACTTTGGGAAGCCGAGGCGGGTGGATCACCTGAGGTCAGGAGTTCGAGACCAGCCTGACCAACATGGTGAAACTCTGTCTCTACTAAAAATACAAAAATTAGCCAGGCGTGGTGGTGCGCACCTATAATCCCAGCTACTCAGGAGGTGGAGGTTGCAGTGAGCCAAGGTTACGCCATTGCATTCCAGCCTGGGCAACAAGAGCAAAACTCCGTCTCAAAAAAAAAAAAATGCCAAACCCTTGTTGTGGTCCATTTAGAGATCTTTGAGGTCAGTGCTCAGGAAATAATGGTTTTCAGAGCACTGCCTCAGAGCTGGGTGCTATGCTTCTTACCTATCCTTTAGTAGTCTAGAAGATATTTCAAAAGATGTTGAAGCCAGGGAACCTCATCTGATTAATGTGAAATCTAATAGCCACCTCTCATCCTTCCAGCCCTGACAACCTTTTAGATCATAAGGCCTGACACACTGTAAGTACTTGGGAAGTGCCTGCTGAATGAATGCATGACTTGGCATGTTAACGTGCATCACATGCACACACTATATCACACGCGTATATATGAGTTAACTATATATTCATCCGTATGACCTATTGCAGAAACTGTTTTCAAACTTAAAAAAATAACTGAAACGGAGTCTTGCTATATTGCCCAGGCTAGTCTAGAACTCCTGGGTTCAAGCAATCCCCCTGTCTTGGCCTCCCAAAGTGTTGGAATTATAGGCATGAGCCACTGTGCACAGCCTGTTTTCAAGCTTTTAAAAAATGATGAGATTTAGTATTAAAAGCAACAGCAGGCCAGGCATGGTGGCTCACGCCTGTAATCCAAGCACTTTGGGAAGCTGAGGCGGGAGGATCACGAGGTCAGAAGCTCGAAACCAGCCTGACCAACTTGGTGAAACCCCCATCTCTACTAAAAATACTAAAATTACCCAGGCATGGTAGAGCGTGTCTGTACTCCCAGCTACTCAGGAGGCTGAGGTAGGAGAATTGCTTGAACACTGGATGCAGAGGTTGCAGTGAGCCGAGACTCAAAAAAACAAATAAAATAAAATAAACAGCAACAATACAACAGCAACAAAATCCAAAATATTTTTTTAATTAAAAAATTTTTTTTTGAGATGGAGTCTTGCTCTGTCGCCCAGGCTAGAGTGCAGTGGCAAGATCTTGGCTCACTGCAACCTCCACCTCCTAGGTTCAAGTGATTCTCCTGCCTCAGCCTCCCAAGTAGCTGGGATTACAGGTACCCACCACCGTGCCCAGCTAATTTTTGTATTTTTAGTAAAGACGTGCTTTCACCATCTTGGTCTGGCTGGCCTCAAACTCCTGACCGTGTGATCCACCCGCCTCAGCTTCCCAAAGTGCTGGGATTACAGGTGTGAGCCACCACGCCTGGCCAATTTTTTTTTTTTTTTGAAATGGAGTCTGGCTCTTGTCGCCAAGGCTGGAGTGCAGTGGCGCGATCTCGGCTCACTGCAGCCTCTGCCTCCCAGGTTCAAGCAATTCTCCTGCCTCAGCCTCCCATGTAGTGGGGATTACAGGGACCCACCACTGCCCAACTAATTTTTGTATTTTTGGTAGCGACGGGGTTTCACCATGTTGGCCAGGCTGGTCTCAAACTCCTGACCTCAAGTGATCTGCCCACCTCAGCCTCCCAAAGTGCTGGGATTATACGCGTGAGCCACCGTGCCCAGCGCCAAAATATTAAAAACCAACAACACCAAGTGTTGTGAGGTTGTGGAGCAACTGGGGTGTCATAAAATGCTGGTGGGAATATAAAATGGTACAACTACTAACAGCCACTTAACATGCATATTTACCTCATGACCCAGCAATTCAATATCTGGGTATTTATCCAAGAGAAATGAAAATAATATGTCCACACAAAGATTTGTACATGAATGTTTATAGCAGCATTATTCATAATAGCTGCAACTGGAAACAAGTCAAATGTCAATCAAGAGAATAAACAGGCTGGGTGTGGTGGTGGCTCACACCCGTCATCCAAGCACTTTGGGAGGCCGAGGTGGGAGGATCACCTGAGTTCAGGAGTTTCAGACCAGCGTGGCCAACGTGGGGAAACCCCATCTTTACCAAAAATAGAAAAATTAGCCGGGCGTGGTGACAGGCTCCTGTAATCTCAACTACTTGGGAGGTTGAGGCAGGAGAATCACTTTAACCTGGGAGGAGGAGGTTGCAGTGAGCCAAGATCACACCACTGCACTCCAGCCTGGGCAACAAGAGCAAAACGACATTTCAAAAAAAAAAAAAAAAATAAACAAACTGTGGTATATCCATATAATGGAATATTACTCAGCAAAGAAAAAAAAAAGAACTGTCCGGGTGTGGTGGCATGTGCCTGTAGTCCCAGCTACTTGGGAGGCTGAGGCAGGAGGATTCTTGAGCCCAGGAGTTCAAGGCTGCAGTGGAGTCATGATCATGTCACTGCACTCCAGCCTGGCAACAGAGACCCCATCTCTAAAAAAAGAATAAGTAAAATAAAAATTAAAAAGCACAAAAAAACAAGCTACTCTTATACACAACAGCATGAGTGAATCTCAAAAACATACTGAGGTGCTGGATGCAGTGGGGCACGCCTGTAATCCCAGCTACTTAGGATACTGAGGCAGGAGGATCTCTTGAGGCCAGGAGTTTGAGTCCAGAGATGAGCGAGACACCCCTCATCTCTAAAAATAAATAAATAAATGGCCAGGCGCGGTGGCTAACGCTTGTAATCCCAGCACTTTGGGAGGCCGAGGTGGGCAGATCATGAGGTCAGGAGTTCGAGACCAGCCTGGCCAACACAGTGAAACCCCGTCTGTACTAAAAATACAAAAAGTAGCTGGGCGTGGTGGTGGGCACCTGTAATCCCAGCTACTCGGGAGGCTGAGGCAGGAGAATCTCTTGAACCCGAAGGTGGAGGTTGCAGCAAGCCGAGATTGTGCCACTGCACTCCAGCCTGGGCGACAGAGCTAGACTCCGTCTCAAAATAATAATAATAATAAATAAATAAATTAATTAATTAAATAGAGCCAGCGTGGTGGCTCACGCCTGTAATCCCAGCACTTTGGGAGGCCGAGGCAGGCAGATCACTTGAGCTCAGGAGGTCGAGACCAGCCTGGCCAACATGGTGAAACCGCCTCTCTACTAAAAATACAAAAATTAACCAGGAGTGGTGGTGCACACCTGTAATCCCAGTTATTCAGGAGGCTGAGGCAGGAGAATCAATTGAACTCAGGAGGCAGAGGTTGCAGGGAGCTGAGATTGCACCATTGCACTCCAGCGTGGGTGACAGAGCCAGACTCTCTCAAAAATAAAAATAAAATAAAAATAAGAGAAAATAAGGAAGTTAGTAGGGGAGTTTTTTAGGTAAAGGTTTTAGGTGGCAACTCTTGCAGGCATTTAAAAAGCTAGGGCTTGGGTGCAAGATCTGAGCGGAAAGAGAGGTTGGAAGGGGGCAGTAGCGGTGGGATCAGCTGGATGGCGAGGTGGAGAGAAATGAAGGGAGAAGCGGAGGCCAAGTCTGGGTGCGAGGGAGCAGGGAAGACAGGACAGAAGTCCAGGAGCCAGCCTGAGCCCAAGGGTGGTCTAGAGGGTGTGGGGACTGAGGAAATGGACTTGAAGGGTTGACCAGCAGCACCATGGGGCAAACTCAGCCCAGCTGGGTAAATTTGCCACAAACTCCCTCCAAGGACACAAGCACATGGAAATAGAGAAAAATCTGTGTTGCTGGGTGTCGTGGCTCACCCCTATAATCCCAGGACTTTGGGAGGCTGAGGCAGGAGGATTGCTTGAGCCCAGGAGTTTGAGAACAACCTGGGAAACATAGGGTGACCCAGTATCTACAAAAAAATTAAAAAGTTAGACAGGTGTGGTAGCATGCACCTGTGGTGCCACATACTGAGGAAGCTGAAGCAGGAGGATCACTTGAGCTTGGGAGGTCGAGGCTACAGTGAGCCCTGATCGCACAACTGTACTCCAGCCTGGGTGACACAGCAAGACTCTGTCTCCACAAAGAAAATAAATAAAATGCATAAAATAAAGAAAAAGGAAGAGAAAAACCTATGGTGGCCCAATTTCCACTGAAAGCTCAGAAAGTGGGTAGTCAAGTTATTGTATTATTATTATTGTATCATATAACTATATTATAATATATAATTATATATTAAGTTATATATAATATATAATTATTATCAGTATGTTGGTAAGCAAGTGTTAAATATAAAATTCTTTTTCTTGAATTCTGTTTTTATTTCAAAGCTTTCTGACCTGCCCATCTCAGTCTCTGAGCTCATCCTAAGCAGCAGGCCTGATTTTGGGGGTCTTGGACTGGAGTATGCAGAAGAAACAGAAAAAGACAATGAGAGTGCATTCACTCAAAAACAACCTCTCTCTGGATGGAGCCCTTGGAATAACTTTTCCCCACCACTGGTGTTCTTTCGTTTTTGTTTTTAATTTTTTTGAGATGGAGTCTCGCTCTGTCTCCTAGGCTGGAGTGCAGTGGCGTGATCTCAGCTCACTGTAACCTCCGCCTCCCAGGTTCAAGCAATTCTCCCTACATCAGCTGCCGGAGTAGCTGGGATTACAGGTGCATGCAACCATGCCCAGCTAATTTTTGTGTTTTTAGTAGAGACAGGGTTTCACCATGTTGGCCAGGCTGCTCTTGAACTCCTGACTTCAGGTGATCTGCCTGCCTCAGCCTCCCAAAGTGCTGGGATTACAGACGTGAGCCACCGTGCCTGGCCGTGGTGTTCTTTTGTTAATCCCTTATTTGCCAGCGGAATAATTGTGGTGGTAGGGTAGGGGGTTGGTTTCTTTTGGTTTATTCTTGTCCAGGTTTTGCTATAGGCATTCCAGTGTTTTCAGTAAACTTAAGATATGGAATTAACAAAAATACCTAATAAAACTTGACAACACTGGCTGGGCACAGTGGCTCATGCCTGTAATCCCAGCACTTTGGGAGGCCGAGGCAGGTGGATCACCTGAGGTCAGCAGTTCGAGACCAGCCTGATCAACATGGTGAAACCTCATCTCTACTAAAAATACAAAAAGTAGCTGGGCGTGGTGGTCCACTCCTGTAGTCCTAGCTACTTGGGAGGCTGAGGCAGGAGAATCGCTTGAACTAGGAGGCAGAGGTTGTAGTGAGCCAAGATCTTGCCACTGCACTGTGGCCTGGCCGACAGAGCCAGACTCTATCTTAAAAAAAAAAAAAACTTGACCACGCCTGAGGGTGGACCTGTGGTTGGCTTGTTCATTCTGGAACAGACTGCCACTTACTAGTTTCTTTCATCTTGGGGCAGGTCCCCTATACTCACTGATAAAATGGGAATAGACACACGCACGCACACACACACACACAGCCACACCTTCTCAGACACACCCCTCTCCTAAGCCATGTCACTTGGTTCTTATGAGACAGGGCAGACTGCAGCACTTTTACAAGTCTAAAGCCATATACAGCTGTGATGGACATTTTGGAGGCAAGATATTACTGCCGTGATTCAATGTCAGGGCTATGGTTGAGTTTTTTAGTTTTTGGTTTTTTTTAAGTAAACTATTTTTTTTTTGCCTTTTTTTGCGGTGGGGGGATAGGGGGTGCAGAATCTCACTCTGTCACACAGGCTGGAGTGCAGTGGCTCACTGCAGCCTCAACCTCACAGGCTCAGGTGATCCTCCCACCTCAGCCTCCTGAGTAGCTGGGACTTACAGGTGCATGCCACCATGCCCCATTAATTTTTTTTTTTTTTTTTGAGACTGGGTTTTGCCATGTTGTCCAGGCTGGTCTTGAAATCCTGGGTTCAAGCAATCCTCCTGCCTTGGCCTCTCAAAGTGCTGAGATTGAAGGAATGAGCCACCAGGCCCGGCATGTCTCACTTATTTATGTATTTAATTATTTATTTATATTGGTATAGACTTGTATATTTCCTGCCCCAGTCCTATAATCTGCTATTTCTCCATGGAGAATGTCAGAGCCAAGTTTTAATCCTAGCAAATGTGTGTCTAGCTGGAAGTTGGGGCAGAAGATCTGGCAGGCAGCAGGAATAAGACCCAGCCTACCCTTAGGAGGGGAGTTTCCCAGCAGTAGCAGCCAGAATTGCAAACTTCCCCAGCAAGTCCTTCTCTGAGAAACAGGTGACTCATCAGCACCTTAAGTTGTTTCCTCCCTCCCCCTCTTGCTGACAAAACTGCCCCTAAACCAGCTCAGACAGAGGGACCTAGGTTGGAAAGTGTCCCCACCTAAGCGGCCAGAAAATAATGACCTGTCTCAGGCCACATCAGGGCTTTTACCTGTGCCCAAGCAGACATCTCCCCCAATTTGTGTATTTACACCCCTCCTGCCTGCAGAAAGGATGAAACAGGATTACCCTCAAATTTACAGCTATAATTAAACTATTATTAAAATCCAGGTAAAAAAACAAGAGCACTGCAAAGAAGAGCGTGTGTGTGTGTGTGTGTGTGTGTGTGTGTGTGTGTGTGTGTGCGCGCGTGTGTAGTAATTCTGTCCCAGACACCTGGGCTGGGGCAGCTTCCCTGGGATCCCTGAATCACAGATTGCTAGCACCAGAAAGGCTTTCAGAGATAAACATGCTTCACCTGTCATTTTATAGGACTGAGACAGATGAAGTGATTTGGTAGGCATCACACAGCTAGTGAGCTGAAGAACTGGGAACACTGGGACAGGTCTCCTGATGTCCAGGTCTTTTAAAATGCCACTCCTGGCCGGGCGCGGTGGCTCACGCCTGTAATCCCAGCACTTTGGGAGGCCGAGGCGGGTGGATCATGAGGTCAGGAGATCGAGACCATCCTGGCTAACAAGGTGAATCCCCGTCTCTACTAAAAATACAAAAAAAAAATTAGCCGGGCGCGGTGGCGGGCGCCTGTAGTCCCAGCTACTCGGGAGGCTGAGGCAGGAGAATGGCGTGAACCCGGGAAGCGGAGCTTGCAGTGAGCCGAGATTGCGTCACTGCAGTCCGCAGTCCGGCCTGGGTGACAGAGCGAGACTCCGTCTCAAAAAAAAAAAAAAAAAAAAAATGCCACTCCTTTTCCAGGAGAGCAAATACAACAGCTTTTGGGCTTTCTAGAGGAATACAAAGGCAGGACAACAGGTAAGGCCTCTTTCACTTGCTAGATGAATAAACTTATGTGGATGTGTCTGAGAAGTTTTTGAGACTTGGGGCTACAATTAGGGATTATTAGCATCCCCAGACATTCAGAGGTATGGCATGTAGGATGAAGACATTGGCATGTAGAAGTGGTTACAGGGGCTCCTACGATTTCCCCATCCCCATAGTCGAGATTTTAATGATTAAGTCATCTTTCTAGCTGTAGTCCTCTCCTTTGGGCTCAAAAAGAGAAAACAAGAAATCTCAGCACTTTGGGAGGCCAAGGAAGGTGGATTGCTTAAGCTCAGGAGTTCAAGACCAGCCAGGCCAAAATGGTGAAACCCTGTCTCTACCAAAAATATAAAAATTAGCCAGGCATGGTGTCATGCACCTGTAGTCCCAGCTACTTGGGAGGCTGAGGCAGGAGAATCGCTTGAACCTGGGAGGTGAAGGTTGCAGTGAGCTGAGGTTGAATCTGTTGATCTGGGCCACAGAGCGAGACCCTGGCAAAAAAAAAAAAAAGAAAAAGAAAAGAAAAATCAGGGAACCTGTCACTTTTTCTAAGAGATGTAAAGATTTGGTTTGGATTTATGGCTTTTTTTTTTTAGACTGAGTCTCGCTCTATCACCCAGGCTGGAGTGCAGTGGCGCGATCTCGGCTCATTTGCAACCTCTGCCTCCCAGGTTCAAGCAATTCTTGTGCCTCAGCCTCCCAAGTAGCTGGGATTACAGGCGCCACCACCACGCCCGGCTAATTTTTGTATTTTTAGTAGAGACGGGGTTTCACCATGTTGGCCAGGCTGGTCTCGAACTCCTGACCTCAAGTGATCCACCCACCTCAGCCTCCCAAAGTGCTGGGATTACAGGTGTGAGCCACCGCACCTGGACGGATTTATGGCTTTTATACTACCAGCTCTTGGAGAAATAGAATTATCTCTTTTAATATTCACTGCCCCTCCCCCTCCCAACATTCTCCTTTCCCAAAACTCGTGAATGGCTGACTCCCTGAAGGTGACGGTGTTTTCTGTGATCTTTGCATAGGCTGAGATGAAAGGGTCAGAGATCAGAGAAAGGATTCTGGGCCTGGTGTCACTTGGTGTGGTTGCAATAAAGAGACAAAATTAGCATCAGGCTACTCTTCACTTGCTCTCCAGGTGACCTTCCCAGGGCTACCTGGGAGATATTGTCTCAGTCTGCAAACTCCTTCTAGGGCAAGGGCAGTGGGTGGCCCAGAACAGCATCTGCAGATAGGTAATTATTATGTGCTTTTGATGATGATGAGATAATATTAGGTATTTGGAGATTTATAAAATATTCAAATGGAAATTGTCCTTGAAGATCCTCCCCAGCTAGCTTCTCAGCACCCTGAGTTCCTTTAGCTGAGGGGAGTGAAAGTGTTCACAGCTTGCCTTCAGGCTGAGTCTAGAGAAAGCTCTCCTCTGAAAAGGAGTACAGTACATTCCTGCCTGCTGTATTCACACTTGTGTTTCTCTGCCTCTCTCATGATCTGTATACAGCTGAGCCTTGAACAACATGGGTGTGAACTGTACAGGTCCATTTTAGGCAGAATTTTTTCAATAAAAGTTACACTGAGGGCCGTGTGTGGTGGGTCATGCCTTTAATCCCAGCACTTTGGGAGGCTGAGGCCTGAGGATCACTTGAAGCCAGGAGTTGAAGACCAGCCTGGGCAAAAAAGCAAGACTGTCTCTACAAAAAAAAAAAATTAAAAAAATGTAGCCTGGCCTGGGGGTGCATGCCTGTAATCCCAGCTACTTGGAAGGCTGGGGCGGGATTGCTTGAGGCCAGGAGTTTGGACGCTGCAGTGAGCTATGCTCGCGTCATTGCACTCCAGACTGTGCAACAGATCAAGACCACATCTCTAAAAATAGATAAAAGTTATACCAAGTGTGCCTGCCTTTCCTGCCTCCCCTTCCACCTTCTCCACCTCTGCCACCCCTGACGCAGCAAGACCAACTCCTTTTCCTCCTTCTCCTCAGCCTACCCAACTGGAGACCACAAGGGTGCAGACCTTTACGATGATTCTAACTTTCTGATACAGGTCAGAAGAAAAAAGTTTGAAAATATGATAAGCCTCCTGGGCGTGGTGGCTCATACCTGTAATCCTAGCACTTTGGGAGGCCGAGGCAGATGGATCACCTGAGGTCAAGAGTTCAAGACCAGCCTGGCCAACATGGTGAAACCTCGTCTCCACTAAAAATACAAAAATTAGCTGGGATTACAGGTGTGAGCCACCTCGCCCGGCCTTTTTTATTTTTTTATTTTTATTTTTTTTTTGAGATGGCGTCTTGCTGCGTCTCCCAGATTGGAGTACAGTGGCGCAATCTCGGCCCACTCAAGCTCCGCCTCCTGGGTTCACGCCATTCTCCTGCCTCAGCCTCCCGAGTAGCTGGGACTACAGGCGCCCACCACCATGCCCGGCTAATTTTCTGTATTTTTAGTAGAGACGGGGTTTCACCGTGTTAGCCAGGATGGTCTGGATCTCCCGACCTCGTGATGTGATCTGCCCGCCTCAGCCTCCCAAAATGCTGGGATTACAGGTGTGAGCCACTGCGCCCAGCCTATTTTTTATTTATTTATTTATTTATTTTTGAGACAAAGTCTGGCTCTGTTGCCCAGGCTGGAGTGCAATGGCATGATCTCAGCTCACTGCAACCTCCACCTCCCAGGTTCAAGCCATCCTCCCACCTCAGCCTCCGAGTAGCTGGGATTACAGATGCACACCACCATGCTTGGCTACTTTTTTTGGGGGGTTTTTTGTTTTTGTTTTTTAAGAGAGAGTCTTGCTCTGTCACCCAGGCTGGAGTGGA
This sequence comes from Homo sapiens, assembly GCF_000001405.40. Taxonomy (NCBI): domain Eukaryota; kingdom Metazoa; phylum Chordata; class Mammalia; order Primates; family Hominidae; genus Homo; species Homo sapiens. The sequence continues at coordinate 40,875,192 of NC_000015.10, read as the reverse complement.
GTGGCCCAATCTTGGCTCACTGCAACCTCCACCTGCCAGGTCCAAGTGATTCTCCTGCCTCAGCCTCCTGAGTAGCTAGGATTACTGGCACCCGCCACCACACCTGGCTAATTTTTTGTATTTTTAATAGAGACGGGGTTTCACCATGTTGGCCAGGCTGGTCTCGAACTCCTGACCTCAGGTGATCCACCCACCTCGGCCTCCCAAAGTGCTGGGATTACAGGCGTGAGCCACGGAGCCCAGCAACAGCAGGCTATTAATAGTTAAATTTTGGGGTAGTCAAAAGTTATATAGGGATTTTCGGCTGACTGCACAGGGTTTCTCGCCCATAATTCCCGCTTTGTTCAGGGGTCAACAGGTTTTTTGTTTGTTTGTTTGTTTTTAGGATCTGTCACACATGCTGAAGTGCAATGGCACTATTATAGCTCACTGTAACCTTGAACTCCTGGGGTCAAGTGATCCTCCTGGCTTAGCCTCCCAGAACGCTGGAATTACAGGCATGAGCCACTGCTCTCAGCCTCAATATTTAAAAAAGTAATTCTTTCATTAATAAAATTATCCCAACTTTTTAATACTCATGCAAACATATGCATAGAGTTGTTTCTTGTAAGTTGAACAAGGTTTAATTTGCACACTTGTTTAACCTGAACATACTGTATTATATGTTCTGCAACTTGCTTCTTCCTCCTAACAATAAATCATGGATGTCTATCTCTTCTTGGTATTCTCATTTGACGATTCTTTGTCCTTGTACCTGCGTGACTCTTGGAGCTCCAGCTTTCTGCCTGCCTTTCCTCCTCCCGGGGTTTTCCTCCTCCTCGCCTGGCCTCGCAGGGTGCCTGGCCGCGGGAGATCTTCGCCGATGGGTGGGGTCCGGGGCCGCCTGAAACATGTAGATGAGATGGGCGGGGCCCTACACAAACCCGCTGGTAGCGCTGGGCCGACTCGCCCAGCCTGGACCCATTCAGTCAGAGGCAGCCAGCGGGACCTGCTTCACCGAGCGCAGCGAAGCCGAGACCCGGGCTGGCCCCTCTGCTGCCCCCGGAGCGGGCCATGCCGCCGCGGGAGCTGAGCGAGGCCGAGCCGCCCCCGCTCCGGGCCCCGACCCCTCCCCCGCGGCGGCGTAGCGCGCCCCCAGAGCTGGGCATCAAGTGCGTGCTGGTGGGCGACGGCGCCGTGGGCAAGAGCAGCCTCATCGTCAGCTACACCTGCAATGGGTACCCCGCGCGCTACCGGCCCACTGCGCTGGACACCTTCTCTGGTACGTACGTTCAATCGCCCGTGCGGCCGCGTGGCTGCGGCGGGGCTGTGCACCGGGGAGCTGGGGCGGGCGTCTCGGCGGGAGGGCGCAGAGGACCCCGGGGAGGAGACTGGAGCAGGCCCCGAGGTGGCGCTGGTGCGGCCCAGGACGCTCTTCCTAACTCAGGCTCTCCCCGCCCCGCCCCTGCAGTGCAAGTCCTGGTGGATGGAGCTCCGGTGCGCATTGAGCTCTGGGACACAGCGGGACAGGTGAGAAGCTGGGCGCGGCCTCTACTGGTCTGCGGGGAGATGGGCTGGAGGCTGGGAGGACCCCATATGGAGCAAATGGAGAAAGCCTTGGGCTCTTGGAGTCTCAGGTTTCCAGCCCCGGGTGAGAAATGGATTCCATGTGTCGGGGGGCTAATCCTTACCACCTGGCCTTCCCACCCCAGGAGGATTTTGACCGACTTCGTTCCCTTTGCTACCCGGATACCGATGTCTTCCTGGCGTGCTTCAGCGTGGTGCAGCCCAGCTCCTTTCAAAACATCACAGAGAAATGGCTGCCCGAGATCCGCACGCACAACCCCCAGGCGCCTGTGCTGCTGGTGGGCACCCAGGCCGACCTGAGGGACGATGTCAACGTACTAATTCAGCTGGACCAGGGGGGCCGGGAGGGCCCCGTGCCCCAACCCCAGGCTCAGGGTCTGGCCGAGAAGATCCGAGCCTGCTGCTACCTTGAGTGCTCAGCCTTGACGCAGAAGAACTTGAAGGAAGTATTTGACTCGGCTATTCTCAGTGCCATTGAGCACAAAGCCCGGCTGGAGAAGAAACTGAATGCCAAAGGTGTGCGCACCCTCTCCCGCTGCCGCTGGAAGAAGTTCTTCTGCTTCGTTTGAGCAGCTATGGCTGCATAGCAAGTAGTAGGCAGGAGGCCAAAGACTTCTGAGACCTGGGGCACCCGGGCCTTTGCGGCAGCTACTGGCAGGGCCTGGCCACCTCATAGGACTCAGTTCCCTTCTGAACACTCGGGGGACATGGGCCTCTAACTGCCCACTCTGATATGCCTGGGTGAGCCTAGGAGGGAAGGCTCTGATTTGGATTTCTCCAGTCAAAGCTCACAGAAAAAAACCTGGCACTTTGATTTTCATGGGATGGTCCTAACAGGGTCAGTCACCTCCGAGCAGTTTGGGAACCCAGTTTCTTGTCCTGGGCCCTCAGGTCAGCCTGGCTGAATTAGGACCCTTCCTTGGCACAGGGGTGAGAAAGAGCTTGGGGAACGCTTGGCATTATGGAGGGCTGGAAGGGGCTCAACCCCGATTTGGAGAGAAGTTTGGGATGGAGTGGGCGAGAGATTGAGAGAGCGAGCAGGAAAAGAGGTCTTGGAGCCTGGGACTGATGGTGGATAAGGCCTGGAAAGAAGATGACGAGGAGGAGGAGAGAGGGAAGTGGGGTGGATGAGGAGCAGGCTGACACCTGGGCTGCCCTCAATCCCCAAGGCCAGGGAGGGCGGGGCTGGCCCCTGGGAAGAACTGGGTCTCTGGGCTCCCTAGGCACTGCCCAAACTGGCTGAGCCAGGAGTGGGGCAGGAAGTGAGAGTCAAGGCCCAGCAAAAGGAGGGGGAGGAGCTGCAAATTAGAACCTGAAGGAGGACCGGGTTGGGGATCATCCCTTTCCTCAAGGTCACACAGCCTAGAAGCTAGAGCAGTGCAGAGTCTGCAAATAAAACCTTAAGTCTGTGAAGGCGTGCGTTGTCTCTGTCATTTCCTGGAGCCCACTCCTCCCTCAGAACCCTCCTCAAGGCCTAACTGCCTGGCTAGAGACAGATTGGGGACCAAAGGACTGAGGCTAGATTGAAAGGTGGGGGCTGGACTGGGGGTGGGGGCAGTGTAATGGGAACTGGACTGTGGGGGTAGGTGTGGAGCTCCCCGCTTGGGGCTCAGCTGGTTCCCAGGAGAGCTAGCGTGGGAAGCGGCCTGGAAACGGGTTTCCCCAGGTGTCAGCGCCAGAGCTGGTTTCCCATGACCTCACCTGGTGGGTGGAGCCCCTCCCCTCCACCCCTCCTTTCTAGAGCACCATGCTCAGCACTGGAGCTCAAGGTCAGTCCCCAGCCTTCTAACTTTTCTGCTCTGTTCCTTCTGGCAGTTCACAGGGCCCTGGGGCTCAGGTTAGGGGACCATCCCCCCCTCCGACCTCTATTCACAGCCTGAACATAAAGGGAACCCATACAGCCTAAACCTCAATCACTGGCCAAAGTTCTTAGACTTGGGTTGGACCCAGTCTTCAGCCTTGGCACCTAAGGAGCTAGTGAAGGTCAGGGTGCTGCTTGTGAACAATTTAAATAGAGGTTTATCCCCAAGTATCCTGTGCAAGAGCGAGTTCATTGGGAGAGGACTTGGAGAGGAGCAGGGATCTGGAGAACATTCCCTCATGTTGGAGCTTGAAGGGACTTTGAAGGACACCCAGGGAGAAAATGAAACAAAACAAAACTTACTTTACCATAAGGAGACTGAGGACCAGACAGAAAAGGTAATAGCTTAAATGATATGTATCACCCAGTGACTGTAAGAGCACTTTGCAAACTCTAGAGTTGGATACAGGGGTATGTGTTACTCTGGGAGAGGAATTTCTTTCTTTCTTTTTCTTTTGAGGTAGAGTCTCGCTCTTTCACCCAGGCTGGAGTGCAGTGGCGTGATCTTGGCTCAGTGCAACCTCTGCCTCTTGGGTTCAAGCGAGTCTCCTCCTTCAGCCTCCTGAGTAGCTGGGATTACAGGTGTGCGCCACCATGCCTGGCTCATTTTTGTATTTTTAGTAGAGATGGGGTTTCACCATGTTGGTCAGGCTGGTCTCGAACTCCTGACCTTGTGATCTGCCTGCCTCAGCCTCCCAAAGTTCTGGGATTACAGGTGTGAGCCACTGGGCTCAGCTGGGAGAGGAATTTCTGAGGCACACCTGGCACACCTGCTAGGCAGCTGCTGGGTCAGATGAGCACTCATGCCCTGGCCCAGCCCACCTCTGAGCCCATCTCCCTCTGCAGGAAGCTACAGCTGTGTGTGTGTGTCTGTGTGTGTGTGTGTGTGTATGTCTGTCTGTCTGTCTGTCTCTGTCTGTGTCTGTGTGTGTGAAAGAGCATGGCTGAGGGACAGAAATCCCAGCCAAGTGAAACTTCAGATAATCCCCAAGTTTAGTTTTAGCCAAGACTGTCCACTTCCTGCCCCACCAGGGCCTGTCCCCAGAGCTCCAGCCAACTGGAGCTCCTTCTGTTCCCTTTACCCTTCAGGTGGAGGTGCTGAGGGTCTCACACCCCAGCAGCATGGCCTGTTGTTACCTCAACCCAGCCTGACACACTCCCCTCTGGGGCAGAAACCTGGGTTCAAGTTCAGACTCTGACACCAACCATGACCTTAGGCAAATAATTTCCCTTCTCTATGCCTCAGTCTTCATTTGAAAAATGAAGGACTCAGGACTCAGACTGGGTTTGAGGTTCTTAAACTTGTTCTGAGGGGCCTTGGACGTGCCTTGGGGTGGGGATCATCCCCCACAAGGGGGTTATCCTTGTACCCGCCCCCACCTCCAACTTCTTCCCTAATTCTCTCTTGTGGTACTAGTATATCCATGTCACCCAAATTGAAACCTCGGTCACCATGCCTCCTCTCTTGCTGGGTCTCCAAGTCTGGTCAGGACCTCTGTCACCCACACCCCAAGGTCCCTGCCACTGCAGCTCCCCACTCCAATCTGTCCCGTGCTGCTGTGTTCACTCTGGCATCCCCCAACTCAAGGCTCAAGACTGTTACTGGCTCTCACTGTTGATGATGAACTTCCAGCTCCTCATTTCAGCATTCAAGGCCCTCTCAAATCTGACAGCACCCTGGACCAGGCCAGCTCGCTCTGGTGATCCCCAGCTATTTCCGACTTCCTGACTCCCAGTCTTGGCTTGTGCCAGATCCCCTAGTTTGGAAAGAGCTCCCTGTCACCTCCCAGATGCCCCATTTCTCCTCATGATAACCAGCTTTCAATACCTCCCTCCTCCAGAACAGATGCTTACCTGTATCAGTGTCTTCACTGCTCCCTTGGCACACTGAGGACACTGGGCGTTCTGCGACTGACTCAGCCTGCATCTTCCCAGCTAAATGAAGAGAGAGAGAGAGCCACGTTTAAGTTCCTTTTGCTCCCACAAGGTCTGGGGCTCAGGCAATGTTTGCTGCTGACCCTGAAATGCTTAGGAATAAAAAGCCAGCCAGTGAGCCCTGGAGAGGCTGGGAGGATTAAGTTTAGCTCCAGATTTGGAGCTTGAAGACTGAGGCCTAATGTCAACAGCTTGCTGGAAAGGACCTCTAAGGCTCTGGCCCCAAGCCTGTGCAGGACAAGAGGGATTCGCTTCTGCTTCCGAATCCACTGGTTCTCTTTGGTTCTGTCTCTTTCTCTAGAATATGGTACCTACTTTTCTGGGGTAGTTTTTTTGTTTTTATCTCTCTGTCTGTTTCCTTGGCCTCTTTTCCCTTTTCTCTGCTCTTTTAAATTATATTTAAAGGAATATTTATTATATGAATTGGATAAAATTATATGTTTCTTACATATACATTCTTACATATGTCCTTATCAATATAAATTGCTTTTAATGTCTGTGTAACCCTTAGTTGATTTTTTTCAATTTTTTCTTTCTTTCTGTTTTTTTTTTTTTTTTTTTTTGAGACGGAGTCTCGCTCTGTGGCCCAGGCTGGAGTGCAGTGGCGCCATCTCGGCTCACTGCAAGCTCCACCTCCCGGGTTCACGCCATTCTCCTGCCTCAGCCTCCCGAGTAGCTGGGACTACAGGTGCCCACCACCACGCCTGGCTAATTTTTTGTATTTTTAGTAGAGACGGGGTTTCACCATGTTAGCCAGGATGGTCTTGATCTCCCGATCTCGTGATCTGCCCACCTCAGCCTCCCTAAGTGCTGGGATTACAGGCATGAGCCACTGCACCCAGCTCTCTTTTTTTTTTGGAGATGGAGTCTCACTCTGTCACCCAGGCTGGAGTACAGTGGCACAATCTTGGCTCACTGCAGCCTCCGCCTCCTGGGTTCAAGCAATTCTCCTGCCTCAGCCTCCCAAGTACCTTGGATTACAGGCATCCACCACCACATCCAGCTAATTTTTTTTTTTTTTTTTTGAGACAGAGTCTCACTCTGTCGCCCAGGCTGGAGTACAGTGGCATGATCTCGGCTCACTGCAACCTCCGCCTCCCAGGTTCAAGTGAGTCTCCTACCTCAGCCTCCCAAGTAGCTGGGATTACAGGCGTGCACCACCAGGCCCAGCTCATTTTTGTATTTTTAGTAGAGACAGAGTTTCACCACGTTGGCCAGGCTGATCTCGAACTCCTGACCTCAAGTGATCCACCCACTTCACCTTCCCAAAGTGCTGGGATTACAGGTGTGAGCAATGGCACCCAGCCGTTTTCCATTTTTTTGAGGCAGGGTCTTGCACTGTCATCCAGGCTAGAGTGCAGTGGTGTGATCATGGCTCACTGCAGCCTTGAACTCCTAGGCTCAAGCAATGCTTCTGTCTCAGTCTCCCAAGTAGCTAGAACTATAGATGTGCACTACCATTAGGTACACACCTAATTCAACAATTTTTTTTTTGTAGGGATGGGGTGTAGTTATGTTGTTCAGATTAGTCTCTAATTCCTGAGCTCAGGTGATCCTTCTGCTTTGGCCTCCCAAATTGCTGGGATTACAGGTGTGAGCCACCTCACCTGGCTAGATTTTTTAAAAATAATGTCTTTTTTTCCATAATAAATACTTATAAAAATTAGAAAATCCAAAGATTTAGAAGATTAAAAAATCTTAAAAAGTATTCTAGGCCGGGTGCAGTGGCTTATGCCTGTAATCCCAGCACTTTGGGAGGCCGAGGCAGGCAGATCACGAGGTCAGGAGATCGAGACCAGCCTGGCCAACATGGTGAAACCTCGTCTTTACTGAAAATACAAAAATTAGCTGGGCATGGTGGCGTGTGCCTGTTATCCCAGCTACTTGGGAGGCTGAGGCAGGAGAATCGCTTGAACCCAGGAGGCGGAGGTTGCAGTGAGCCGAGGTCACGCCACTGCACTCCAGCCTGGCTACAGAGCAAGACTGCCTCAAAGAAAAAAAAAAGGTATTCTAAAGTCTTAACTCCCAAAGACAATCAATAATAATATTTGGGTGTAATTCCTTCCAATCTTTTCTTCTAAGCATCTTTTTTTTTTTTTTTTGAGACAGTCTTGCTCTGTCACCCAGGCTGGTGTGCAATGGCGCGATCTCAGCTCACCGCAACCTCTGCCTCCCTGGTTCACGTGATTCTCCTGCCTCAGCCTCTTGAGTACCTGGGACTACAGGCATGCGGCACCATGTCCAGCTAATTTTTGTATTTTTAGTAGAGATGGGGATTCACCATGTTGGGCAGACTGGTCTCGAACTCCTGACCTCAGATGATCCACCCGTCTCGGCCTCCCAAAGTGCTGGGATTACAGGTGTAGGCCATCGCTCCTGGCCCTATGCATATTTCTTTACACACTTTTTGTGATTATGCTGTGTAGACAATTTTCTTTAATTTAAAAACTTAACTGTCTTTTCATGTTATAAACTGTGACCATGAGGCTGTAACTGTATGTGTATGTTTCCTTACTGTTCCACTCTGACCTGAATACCTTTAAGTAGATCCCCATCTGGGGGCATGTAGGTTATTTACCTTTAAGCTTTTTTTTCTCTATTATAAATGACACTACATCTACAACTGATTGTTTTATCCACCATGGCTCATTGACTATCTACAGAAAAACAGTTCTTCATCTTTGGCTTGGAGACTGGGTCTCCATATAATCCTGAGTGGAACTGATGAGGATGTTTGGGTTTCTATGTCTATGACTCTGTGTGGGGGTCTCTTTCTGTTGGAATATGAGTAGCAGATTGTGGGGTGTTCAATAAATACCAAATGCTGACAAGGTATGTATATATTTGTGTTCATGTACCTTTCCCTGTGTCCCTGGTTTTGCTCTTGTATATTTAAAGTGGGTGTTGTCTTTGTGGAAAAACTCTAAATACAGAAATTCCATATATGTGCAAGTCTGTGTATCTACATCTATAAATACAGTGTGTACCTTTGCGCAAGATGTGTATATGCCTGTGTATCCATGTCACACGTGTCATTAGAAATGTGTATTATAAGGCCAAGCATGGTGGCTCACGCCTGTAATCCCAGCACTTCGGGAGGCTAAGGTGGGTGGATCACCTGAGGTCAGGAGTTTGAGACCAGCCTGACCAATATAGTGAAACCCCGTCTCTACTAAAAATACAAAAATTAGCTGAGCATGGTGGCGCATGCCTGTAATCCCAGCTACTTGGGAGGCTGAGGCAGGAGAATCACTTGAACCCAGGAGGCGGAGGTTGCAGTGAGCCAAGATTTCGCCACTGCACTTCAGCCTAGGCGATAGAGCAAGACTCCATCTCAAAAAAAAAAAAGTGTGTATTATACAGAACCTTATATGTGTATCTATGCCTGTGTGTATACAGCTAGGCTGGACCTCATTTCTTGGGGCAGTGTGTCTGCATCTGTATGTACCTATGCTCATCTCTGTGTGGATCTGTGTGTGCATGTTTGTGCTGGGTGTGCACGCTGGGACTGGGCTGGTGTGTGAGTGTGTGCACACCTGAAGGAGCTGTGGCCTTGCTTTCTCCCTGGGAGCAGAGTCGTGCCCAGGGCAGAGGTGACGCACCTTCCCTGAGCTCCCCATTCTCCTGGGAACGAGCTACAGAGAGACCGAGAGCAGACTGCGTCAGGAGCACCAGCCCCTTCTGTAACCAGCCCAGGCCTCAGGCAGTAACTGCGGTTCTCACAGGTCAGACCTGCCCACTGTGTTTCAGCTGCCAGGAAACCCTGTTCCCAGCACCCTCCTTGGGCCTGGGCCAGATCCCCAGTGAGCAGAATTCAGCAGAGGGGCCACATTAGTCACCCTGTGGCAAGAGCAGGGAGTAACTTCCTGGACCTGGGCACTACTGCCTCTGCATGCAGTAATGCGGAGGCTGCCTCCCATCCTCCGCTCTAATACATCCTTACAACTGAACTCCAAGATGGCCCAGACAGCGGCTTTTTTTTTTCTTTTTCTTTTTTTTTTTGCGGGGGGGACGAAGTCTCGCTCTGTTGCCCAGGCTGGAGTGCAATGGTGTGATCTCGGCTCACTGCAACCTCTGTCCCCCGGGTTCAAGCAATTCTCCTGCCTCATCTTCCTGAGTAGCTGGGATTACAGGCATGTGCCACCACGCCTGGCTAATTTTTGTATTTTTAGTAGAGATGGGGTTTTGCCATGTTGGCCAGGCTGGTCTCGAACTCTTGACCTCAGGTGATCCATCCACCTCGGCCTCCCAAAATGCAGGGATTACAGATGTGAGCCACTGTTCCCGGACCTTTTGTTTTGAGACAGGGTCTCACTCTGACGTACAGGCTGGAGTGCAGTGGTATGATTATAGCTCACTGCAGCCTTGACTTCCTGAGCTCAGAGGATTCTCTCACCTCATCCTCCCGAGTAGCTGGGACTACAGGTGTGCGCCACCATGCCCAGTTGATTTTTGTAGTTTTTGTAGAGATGGGGTTTCACTATGTTGTCTGGGCTGGTCTCGAACTCCTGAGCTCAAGTGATCTGCCCGCCTGAGCCTCCCAAAGTGTTGGGATTATAAGTGTGAGCCACCATGCCCGGCCCACATGGCTTTTATTAGCACCAGTTTTCAGATGAGGGGATAGACCAAGCATGATGACCAAGGTTAAGGCAGAGCTGGGCCTTGGTCCCAGGTTTCCGGACACTGGGTCTATGCCTCTTCCCGGCGTTCCATATGGGGGTTCTGCTCCCCAGAAATGGTTCCCTTAGAGGGCAACAGTGGGAGGCATGATTTCTGGGATTCACTAGGTTGTCCTAGGCTGGGGAGTGAGGGAGCAGGAGGCAGGACAGGTGTCAGCACTGAACAGGCCTGCCCTCTTACTGGAATGTTCTCAAGACTTGCTCCATGAGCAGAGGCTTAAAGTGTTGGTCCCATAACTGGGATGACCATGGAATTCACTGTCATACTCAATGATTTTGTGACTGAACAGGAGCTCTATTAATAACGTGGGTTATGGTCACCCTACCTGTAACCCCTCTGGAAGCGAGACTCAGTCATTGTCACCAGCTCCATGGTCTCCTTGACCCTCACCTGTGCCAGTGTCCCTCTCCTCACCTGGTATCCTGACAACTTCCTGACTTCTTAGCAGTGAGGGGCAGCAGGGGCGTCTTTGGGTCCCGGGTGGGCATAAGGGTTCCTTGGGGTAACTTGGAGCTGGCAGAAAAGCAGCACAGACCCCACCCAGGGACACCTGGGACACCTGCCACATGATCACTCCCTCCCTCAGACCTGTATTCTCTGTGGCTGTGTTCCACTGCTTCTGCCTGTCTTCCCTCAGAGCCCCACACCAGCAAGCAGAGCCTGTCCCTATAGGTCTCTCTCCAGGGGTGGTGAGATCCCTCTCCTTATGCAACAGTGGACCCTCGATTCCTGGGACTGTGTACATTTCTTTACCTCCGCTCCCCTCGCCTCCCCCGGCAAGCAGGCCATGAGCTCTGGTGACCACCCTCTCACCCACAGGGCCTTGGAGACTCAGCCTCCTGTTCCAGCCGCATCCCGACTCGCTGGGTGGCTTTGGCAAATTACCACCTTCATCCTCTTTAGAGTTTCTCCTGGTTGTGAAGTGGGGCTGATACTCTCTGCCCCTCCCTGGCTCCCAGCAGACCTGCAGGGATAAGCAAGATAATAGCCAGGAACTAATGTGGAGGGAGCTCTCAAGGGCCAAGTAAGAGGTATCAGTGCTGGCCCGTGTTTACATGGGTGTGGACCTTTGGTTCCCAGCCTCCTGGGGCTCGGGACCAGCCCTGACAGCTTCTTGGCTTGTGGCTCCTTTGTCCCACTTCCAGAAAAAAGACAGAAACCGAACCTAAGAGCCTGGTGTCTGGAGCAGATGAGATTTGCCTAGCCACAGGGTTTGAGGCTCTGGAACTTTGACCTCCTGGCCTGGCTATGTCCCCAGCCACTGGCTGTGTGACCTTGGGCCAGTCACTGCCCCTCTCTGGGCCTCAACCCCTCAGCTCTGACAGCCTCCATCAGCCCTATACTCAGGGGGCACTCCTAGAGGCTGTAATTGGAGGCCATCGTTTGGAGACAGAAAGGATCTTGTTATCTAGTCCAGCTCCTTCATTCTTCATAGACTAAGTAAAGAAAAAAAGGGGCCCATGGTTAAACCACAGATTAACTCCATGGTCAGCCTGGTTAACCCAAGGTCATAAACTAGTTGCAAAGGGGATCATGTGGACTGTGTGCGGTGGCTCACGCCTGTAATCCCAGCACTTTGGAGGGCCGAGGCTGGCGGATCACGAGGTCAGGAGATCGAGACTGTCCTGGCTGACACGGTGAAACCCCATCTCTACTAAAAAAATAAAATAAATAAAAAATAGCCAGGCGTGGTGGCGGGCGCCTGTAGTGCCAGCTACTCGGGAGGCTGAGGCAGGAGAATGGCGTGAACCTTGCAGGTGGGGCTTGCAGTGAGCCGAGTTCTCACCACTGCACTCCAGCGTGGGCAACAGAGCAAGACTCCATCTCAAAAAAATAAATAAATAAACTTCTTTCTACTTTATACCCATGTTATTTCGTAATTTATAGACTCCTTTAAGCTGTCTTTAGTTCTTCCCCCATAAGGCAAGACATAAGCAAACAAAGGCTAAATAACCGATGACAAAATCAATAAAACCAGTCTCCATCTGGTGCTGGGTGGCCCCTCACCTTCTGCCTGGTTCCCCTGAAACTGCCCCTCCTCTGCTCATCCCTGTTTCTGTTGGTGGCATTGCCACCACAGTCTGGAGTGGCTCCCTTCCCCCGGTCTCCAGAAGCTCTGTCTTCTTCTCCCTCCCTGTTGTCTCTCCCACATCTCAGAGCTTCATGTTTTGGTGATTTCTTTCTTTCTTTCTTAAATATATCTGAGGCCAGGGGCAGTTGCTCAAGTCTGTAATCCCAGCACTTTGGGAGGCCGAGGTAGTTGGATCACCCGAGGTCAGGAGTTGGAGACCAGCCTGGCCAACATGGCAAAACCCCGTCTCTACTAAAAGTACAAAAATTAGCCGGGCATGGTGGTGAGCGCCTGTAATCCCAGCTACTTGGGAGGCTGAGGCAGAGAAATGCTTGAACCCAGGAGGCGGAGGTTGCAGTGAGCCGACATCACGCCACTGCACTCCAGCCTGGGCGACAGAGCAAGACTTGTCTCCAAAAAAAAAAAAAAAAAAAATTTAGAAAATGCAAGTTGACAAAAAACACAAAAACTGTTTTTGTATCAATCTGTAATTGTATCAGTGAGAGACAACACTATGGTCATTTGGGTTAACACCCTTTTTTAGTTTTTTTTTTTTTTTTCCTAAACATGTAGCCTTGAAAAAACCACCACAACAAAAAACTCCACTACAAGCGGTGTCTTTATTTCTTCCCCAGTCTGTTTTCTTAGTCTCCCTGGTTCTGGGCTCCTCTGATACAAACTCTGGGAGCCACTGCAGGTGGGGAAGGAGAGGCAAGCCCTCAGAGAGCCTGTGGGAAGGCTTAGGAAACCCCCGGGCTTCCGGGTTTAGGACTTCCAGGTGGAGCTATTAACAAGAATCTCTCCCCGGGGGAGCTTAAAGGTACCTTCCCAGGCTTTAGTCCTGCTGTGGTTGGGTGGGGAAGGGAGTGGTCTTGTGCAATAGGGCAAACCACTCCTCATTCAGGGCTGTTTATTTTAGTGGGCAGGGATGGGTTTGGGAGAAACCACCCAGTTTTTGTGAGTGTTTACCTGAACTGTTGGGACCAATAAATTTTGGAGACAACTACCCAATATAGGGAAGGCAAGATGCGTTGTAAGGGACAAGATGCTGGGGGTTCTAGGCCGGGCGTGGTGGCTCACGCCTATAATCCTAGCACTTTGGGAGGCCGAGGAGGGCGGATGACCTGAGATCAGGAGTTCGAGACCAGCCTGACCAACATTGATAAACCCCATCTCTACTAAAAAATACAAAAATTATCTGGGCGTAGTGGCACATGCCTGTAATTCCAGCTACTCTGGAGGCTGAGGCTGAGGCAGGAGAATTGCTAGAACCCGATAGGCCGAGGTTGCAGTGAACCTAGATTGTGCCATTGCACTCCAGCCTGAGCAACAAAAGCGAAACTCTGTCTCAGAAAAAAAAAAAAAAGATGCTGGGGGTTCCAGAGGCGAATGCCTAGAAGTCCCAGGCAAGCACCTAATGCTGGGTGGGGTGGGGGAGGACTGTGAATGGGTTAATGCCTGCCCAGCTAAAGAGGACCCTGAACTCTGTGCCTGGATTGCTAGGTCCCCAGAGTTCTCACAAGAAGCTAGCAATATGGATTTTTTTTTTCAATGAAGACTTCTGACTCCTTAAATGTTGGCAACTAAATTAAAGAAACTAAACGATTGTTTGAGTCAAAGCATGATTGTAGGCTGCCAGTGTGCAACCTTTGACTAGCCTTCACCAGAGATCTGCTATGTGCTTCACACAGGTTCCCTCGCCTAATTTACTTGGTGTTGCTTCCTCCCTCTGTCCCTCTCCCTGTGCTGTGACCTCTGGTGATGTAGCCTGCTTATCTGCCCACTCCTTTTTTTTTTTTTTTTTTTTTTGAGATGGAGTCTTGCTCTGTTGCCCAGGTTGGAGTTCAGTGGCATGATCTCAGCTCACTGCAAACTCTGCCTCCCGGGTTCAAGCAATTCTCTTGCCTCAGCCTCCCGAGTAGCTGGGATTACAGGCATGTGCCACCATGCTCAGCTAATTTTGTACTTTTAGTAGAGACGGGGTTTCTCCATGTTGGTCAGGCTTGTCTCGAACTCCCAACCTCTGGTAATCCACCCACCTTGGCCTCCCAAAGTGCTGGGATTACAGGCATGAGCCACCGCGCCCGGCCCACTCTTTAAAGTTCAGATCACTCCTTTCCCCTGCTTAAATCCCCTCCACCCACCAAACTCCCAGCTTCCACCTCCCTGCTTCCAAACTGAGCAGCTTGTGATTCCCAAACAAAACCCAGGATCTCCACTGCCCAGCTTTTGCTCAGTGTGATTTTGTTATGCATGGAACACCCACACCCATCTGCTCATCTTATTTTTTTCCAATCTTTTTTTATTGTGATAAAATACATATAATGTAAAATTTACTATCTTAACCATTTTAAAGTATATGGTTTAGTGGCACTAAGTACATTCACATTGTTGTGCAACCATCACCACCATCCATCTCCTGAGCCTTTTCCTTTTACAAAACTGGAACTCTGTACCCATTAAGCAATAATTCTCTATTTTCCTTTTCCCAGCAACCATCATTCTACTGTCTCTTTGATTTTGACTACTCTAAGCATTTCAGATGAGTAGAATCATACTTGTCTTTTTGTGACTGGCTGATTTCACTTAGCATAATATAGATGTCCTGAAGGTTCATCTGTGTTGTAGCATATGTTAGAACATCCTTTTTAAGGCTGAATATTATTCCACCGTGTATATTGTGTGTACTCCATTTTGCTTATCCATTCATCTGTTGATAGGCACTCAGGTTGATTCCATGTTTTAGCTATTGTGAATAATGCTATGTACATACGTGTGCAAGAATCTCTTGGAGACCCCTACTCACCTAGTTTTTTTTTTAATTTAATTTTATTTTTTTAAGATGGAGTCTCACTCTGTCACCCAGGCTGGAGTGCAGTGGTGCCATCTTGGTTCACTACAACCTCCACTTCCCGGGTTCAAGTGATTCTCCTGCCTCAACCTCCCAAGTAGCTGGGATTATAGGTGTGTGCCACCACACCCGGCTAATTTTTGTATTTTTAGTAGAGACGGGGTTTCACCATGTTGGCCAGGCTGGTCTCGAACTCCTGACCTCAAGTGATCCACCCACCTCGGCCTCCCAAACTGCTGGAATTACAGGTGTGAGCCACCGTGCAGGGCCACTCACCTGATGTTAGACTTTCTCCACGAAGTCACTTATTAACCTTAATCTCCTCCACTTGACCGGCCTCTGTTTTGTTCCAGCAGCCATTTTTCAGATACCTGGTACGCACAAGCAGGGCCCAGCTTGGGAGACGCTAGGATAACTAAGACCTGGTCAGCGCCCTGAGGAGTCTTGTCTGGATAAAGGGAGACACACACTAGCTTGGACTTATGCGTGCAGCGGAGCTGTGTAGAGCAGGAGTGCGTGGAGAGGGCAGCAATGAACTTTGGCTGGAGAGCCAGAGAAAGCTTCGTGAGCTGGAACACGGGGTAAAGTAGGAGCTTTCCAGGGCGGAGGGGACTTCTGAAGTGGAGGAAACTGCCTGTTCAGGACATGGAGGTAGGGATCAAAGTTCTGAGTCATGTGGGTGGGCACAGAGCAGAGGATGGCTGGGGCGGTCTCAGGGATAAGGAGAAGTTTGGGGACCAGACTGTTTTGTCACCGTATCTGCATCCCTGCAGCCTGCACGCCAGAGTGTAAGCGCCAGGAGAGCAGGAGCTGTGTCTTGGCGTTCATTGCTCCACTCCTGTCACCTGCCTGAGACTGAGTCCTCACATCCTTGCAGGAAGAACACGGCATCCAGTCATAGTCACAGCGCCCCCTAGTGACCCCCGAGAGCTCCCACCTCCTCGGGCACTCCCTCTGCACATGCAAGCAGCTGTTACTAGGGGTGGCCCTTTGCCTGGCATCCTCTCACTTGATGTCTATCCCTCCCTGAGAGGATGTTCACTTCAGGCCAACAAACCCTTATTAAATACTTGCTCTGTGTTGATCACTGTTCTGGACACTAGGGTAGAGTCTGAGAACCAACTGATAATGGGGGTTGTTCCCAGTAGGGATCAAGTCCGTTTTGAGCCTCGAAGGATGGACGAGTGTCAGAGTAGGGGGTTAGAAGGGAAAACACGGTGCCCTATGAAGTGGAACAATGGGGATGAGCCCCACCCCCTGCCGCTTACTCAACATTTACTAAACTACGATTTACCAAGGTCACAGAGGGAGCATGGGGTGCCGGGAACCCAGACACAACTGGATGCCATCTGCGGCTCTGGGATCTCACAATCCGGCAAGAAGACAGGCAGTAAAGGAAATAAGAGGTGCTCTGGGCTCAGGGTGGTGTTAGCAGACACAGGGGTGTGAGGCAGGGAGTGTCCACCACCTGCAGTTGTGTGGGAGGGTTTTGAGCTTAGGCTGAGGCGTGCAAAATGGGGAGGTGGTCCATGAGAGCACGAGTCCAAAACCAGGTGTTATCCATCAAAACGAGGCCTGTCCCGGCGTGCTAAGAAGGTTCTGCTTCTTGATCTGGGTGCCTGCCTCAGAGGTGTGTGTCATTATGGAAATTCACTGAGCTATACACTTATAACTTCATATATGTACATTCATGGTAGTTGTACTTGCTTAAAATTTGCTTTTAAGTCCCCCCCCACCCCCACCAACCCCGATACCTCTTTTGTAAGACTAAACTCTGGGGATCCAGTCCAATCTCAGCTCTAGGGCCTTGGGGAGGAAATTTCAATGAATTAGTTTCTTCACCTGTAAAATGCGGATGATTGTATTGTCATCACAAGGGCTGTGTGCAGCGCCAGCAACTCGAGATACGTAAAGCATTTAAATAGTGCTTCCTCTGCCCCTCTCAGCAGTATCAAATTTCTAATGATTGGCAGTGTCTGGCACAGAGGAGCTCAATGTAATTCACTGAATAAACGAACGAATGAGCTCAAAGTATGATTTTTTTTTTTTTTTGGCACCGGGAGGTAGCTTGAACAAATGCAGGGGTGTGGGTTGGAGTGGCGTGTCTCTACTAAAGGCTCCTGGGAAGGAGCTCAGAGCCTGGTTGGGGGTGCTGCACTCCAGCGCAGAAGCCAGGGCTTCTGTTGGGAGGGAGACAGCTAGTCACCTGGGCCCTAACATGGAGGTAGGAGCCAAGGTGCCTGTGCACCCCTAACCCCAACCTCCAAATGAGCAGAATTGTGGAGAGCTCAACCACTCAACAGGCTTGTGGAGAGGCTCACACCAGGAAGAAATGCTACACAGCAGCACTGCAGCCTCCCCACACTCGTGGCTCCCGTGGCCCGCTCACTCCTCCCCTCTGGTGGTCAAACATGGCACTGCTCTCCAAAGTCAGGGGCCAGGCCAGTTTCGAGAGAGACGATGGGAAAACCTGCTCAACAGGGTGGCTGAAGCCTGAACCAGCTGAACAGGACGGTCCCATCACCCCCCAGCAACCTAGTCCCTCTCCTGGCCCACAGAACAGAGCCAGAAACTCCACAAACCACTTTTATTACCCAGTGGGCGGGCTGGGCTGTGATGTTGGAGAACCTTGGGGGTGGGGGCTGCGGAATGCAGCTGAGCTTCTCCTGGCTCTGTCTGCTGGTCTAGGCCAGGGTGGGGCTGATCAAGGGCAGAGAGCTCAATCTTGGGGGAAGAGGAAGAGAGGATAGAGAGGCCAAACAGGCCTCTTCCCCTCCTCTTCACCCATGCCACAGCATTAAATAAACAAAAAGCAACTCTTTACAGCACAAACTACACAGGGAAGTCCTTCCTCCCAGCCCTGGGCGCACAGCATGGAAGAGGAGCTCGGGAGGACAGGGTTGGGGCCTCCAGGGTCTGACACCACCCCACTCCTCTTCCTAGCACCATGGGGTAGGGACAGGCAGCTTTGAACAGAGGAAACAAAACTCCAACTTCCTCCAAACTCCTATGCAGGCAGGTCCATCTAGTCTGGTACTTCTGGCCCAAGGGTTTTCTGCTCCTTCCAAACCTTTGAGCTTTCTCAGGACGTGAGCTTAGCTGAGACTTCTCCAAGAGGGGCTGGAGCCCTGGTCTCTGAGGCACAGTGGGCCTGGGAAACAGGCAAGAGTCTGGTTCCAAAGTTTTTCCCAGCCCAGGCCTCTGCCTTGGCAAGCAGGAAGCAGGGCCAGGTGAGAGCCGGTGAGACCCAGGCTCAGAGGGGCCGCGTGGTGTGGTTATAGACCAGGTGCTCCGTGTCCTCGGTAGTGGAGACAGTGGAGCTGGCAGGGGTGGGTGGTGGGTGGTGGTGGTGTCCGTGGAAGTCCTTTCTCTGGTTCTTGAAGAAGCAGTAACCCAAGATGGCTACCACCACCACAATGCAGATGACCAGGAACACTGCGACAGCCATCTCCACAGAGCCTGGGGGAAGAAGGGGTAGAATAAGGGGCTCCCAGGGCCTGCCTGGTTCTGACACCCACCCCCAATCTATGGAAGAGACCAAGTCAAATGGATGCCAGGTATGGAAGGACATGGGCACCCGACTCAGACCTCCCACATATGAACAGCTGAACAGCTCTGTCCAGGAGCTCAGAGGAACTCTGGTGGGCCTCAGGTCTCAGCTCAAGTCGCTCTCCTTGCAGTTAACTTGGGGGAAGCCTGGGACGCTGCTGACAGACATCGGCACGCACTTTACTGTACTCCCTCCCTCGTGTGTGGCAGGCATCCCCATTTGATTACGGTACTCTGTCTCTATAGGCCACCTTGGCATCCTTCTCAACACAGGTTAGGCTGTCACAACAGGTGGAGTTGATCCGTGAGTTGATACCTACATGCTAACCTCAGTTACAGGACAGATCAGGGCTTACCTGTGCTGGGAATGGGGATTTCCCGCCTCAGGCCAAACACATCCTTCTCTGCAGAATGATGAGGGGAAAGACCAGTCAGTACTGAGGGCTCAGAGACTCAGCTGCTCCCCAGTGCCCCAGACCTCACACTGGCATCCTCTCCCACTCCTACTCCAGGCGCTCTGAGGATGGAGGGGTGACTCCCAAAGGCCTGGGGACAGAGTGGAGGCCACTGGCTAAGCCTTCCCCCATACATGCCCACCCTCTCACTGGCCCACTCACTGGAGATGCCGCGACAAGACTCGAGGCACTGCTGCTCTTCCTCAAAGTTGTTCTTGTTGCCGTAACAACCACCATAGGTAAAGCGGGCGCAGTGTTCGCTGAAGGGGTTGTAGTACCAGCGCGGGATGCTCTCCTTGCAGAGTCCTGTGTCTGGCAGGTCCACGCAGTGCCCTGGGGGGTATGGGGTAGGCTATGGTGAGCGAGTCCATGGCCTCCCTGCCACCTTCTGCTAGGCTCCACGTGGCTGCTGCCCAGCACCTCCCCACCTGCCATGGCTCAGGGAGGGCCTGAGAGGCCCCAAAACACCTGGCCCAGCTGCAGTGGTGCCAGAAAAGGGAAGACAAACCCTGGACAATAACTGTAGGCACAAAAGTAAACTACGCCGACTCATAGTTATTTCAATTTTCTTTCAGCTTTTCTGACTGGGTCACGGTCTCAGTTTTCCAACACTGGGTGGTTTACCTCTTTTTTTTAAAGACAGTGTCTCGCTATGTTGCCCAGGTTGGCCTCAAATTCCTAGGCCAAGCGATCCTCCCACCTCAGCCTCCCTAGTAGCTGGGATTCCAGGTGTAAGCCACCACGCCTGGCTGGTTTACCTTTCTTAAAAAAGAGGATGGGCCTCAGGGTCTGAGCCTTGGCAGGCAAGCAACTAGCTAGAGCTTATTATTATTATTATTGTTTTGAGACAGGGTCTCACTCTGTTGCCCAGGCTGAGGTGCAGTGGTTCCATCTCAACTGACTGCAGTCTCTACCTCCCAGGTTCAAGTGATCCTCCTACCTCAGCCTTCTGAGTAGCTGGGAGTACAGGAACGCGCAACCACATCCGGCTAATTTTTGTATTTTTTGTAGAGATGGGGTTTTGCCATATTGCCCACGCTGGTCTTGAACTCCTGAGCTCAAGCAATCTGCCAGCCTCGGCCTCTCAAAGCGCTGGGATTATAAGTGTGAGCCACCACGCCTGGCAAGCTAAAACTTACTGTTTTATTATATTTATTTGTGTTGTTTTTCAATGTTTGGCAAGTAATAGTGGCTTCCCATTTATGGTAGTGATGTGAAAGTTCCTTTTTAATATATTACATTTAAAAAGTAACTGATTAAGTAAATAAGATCTGAGCAATATGTGGTGGACATGGCTGAAGTTATGAAGGTGTTCGGAGAATGAGTGATGCCTGGAAAACACAGAGCCACAGAAGAAAGCCCAAGAGCCAGCCAGGGAAGAAGCTGAGCCATCTGGAGAACGGGGAGCCCACCCTGGCTCTTTGTGCCCACAGGCCCGTACACCCAGCAGGCCCCTCAGGCACTGCTGGATGGAAATAGTGAGGATGGCAGTGTCAGCGTCTGCCCTGATCCAGGGCACCTGGGGAGGATCTCACCTTTGTCACTGGGGAAATGGATGCGCTGGAGCTCGTCAAAGCCACTCGTGTCTGCAGAGAGGAAAGGTCAGAGTCTCAGACCCAACAAGGGTCTCCCAGGGGTTCAGGGCAAGGCTGTCAGGACCTCCCTGTCTGCTGCCCAACCCCCTCTATCCCCCAGGCCTCACATTTTTCACAGGCAGCCTCGTCGGAGGCGTCGGGGCAGTTGGGGGTGTCGTCACACTCCAGGAAACTGTCGATGCAGCAGCCATTGCTGCAGCGGAACTGGGTGGGCTGACAGGTGCCAGAGCACACTGGACGGGTGGAAGGGAGGTCAGGCTCAAGCAAAGAACAAGTGCCCAGGGCCCACCTTCTACTTGGCCCTCTCTGCCCAGACACAGCACATCCCCCATTCCCTTTCCACCAACCCCACTCCTGCCCCACGCAAACTGGGCAGATCCTCATAGGACGATGCTGGGCTGGAAGGGGTGGGATGTTTGTGGTCCTTCCACAAACTCTGAGGGGAGGAATGGCTTGGTCAAAGGCAGGCTGCTTAGGGGCATAGGGATGATATGGGCTAGAGATGTGGTGGGGATGGGGGATGGGGAGGGGAGTAAAGCCCACCTGGATGGCGCCTTTCCATGGAGGGGCCTGGGAGAGAGAACAGAGAATGAGAGGAGGCATGACCAGGCTCCAGTGGGGATGAGATAATTGGGGTGGGTGGGCAAGGGAGAGCTCCCACCACCCACCTCCCTGGCCACAGAAGAGAGAGACCACTCACCCTGGGGGAAAGTCGCCTGAGCCCCAGAGCTGCCTCTCAAAGGCCCACCTTGCACACCCCGACAGGCTAGAATGCACTCTTCTTCCCGAAGGTAGTTGTTCTTGTTGCCCAAGCAGCCTCCATAAACGAAACTCTTGCAGATCTGCTCCGTGGGGTCATAGTACCAGCGTGGGAAAGAGCCCCGGCAGCGACCCACCTTGTTGGATGCGAGGCAGTAGTCTAGGGGGGAGAGCTTATGAGGGGACCGTGCGGCCAATCCGCACAGCGGGGGCTCCAGGTGCTGCTCCTCACCCCTCCCTCACCTTCTGTCTGCTTGGTGGACAGCACAGTGACTGTGACGTTGGCCGTGTCCTCTGGGTGGTCTGAGCTAGTCACTGTCAGCTGGAACAGGTAGGTGCCTTCCTTGAGTCCCCACAGTTCCACCTGGTTTGGGTCTTTCCTCTGCACACAGGAGTGGCTATCAGGCTTGGGCACCCCCTGATGCCCTTGGGCTGCCCCAGGCCTGGCCAGACACACACCCACACCCCTGGGGAGGCCAGGGGGAGTTGGATTAAATGCATCTTCAGCCTCTCTCCACCCCATCCCATCCGGGGCCATTGGTTGGCCTAGGGCCCCAGAAAGGGGCTCCAAGAAGGCTGGCAGGCAGAGGGCGGGGTCAGAGTCAGCCCAGTGTCTCACCTCTACCCTGACATCCGTGTCACCCCGCAGTAGGCGCCAATCTGTGTTTTCCACATCCTTCAGCACCAGGGGTTCCTGGGGTTGTACCTTCAAGTCTATGCCTGCCCAGGCCTTGGGGATCCCAGACCCTGGCGGGGAGAGAAAGTGAGATAAGGTCAATTCTCACTAGATGGACCAGGCTTCTCTCAGGAGCAAAGTGGGGTGGTGAAAGTATGGGCCCCACCTAGACCAAACTGGGACTCCACAGCCTGCATGGGGTGCGGGTGGGAGCCCCCAACAGAACCAGCTTCTTGATCTCTATTCAGAGAGAGCATGTTTTTGGTATACTGAAGATATTTTTATGTTGTAACCCACTTTCTTTCCTTTTTTTTTTTTTTATTAGAGATGGGGTCTTGCTATGTTTCCTAGGCTGGAGCACAGTGACTATTCACAGACTCTATCATGGCCAGTACAGCCTCAAACTCAAGCAATCCTCCTGCCTCGGCCTCGTGAGTAGCTGGGACTAAAGGTACAATTACCACACCCAGCTGTAAAACCCTCTTTCTGAAGCAAATTACTGAACAAACTGCCATCTGATCTTATTGAGTAAACACACACACACACACACACACACACACACA